>NC_000015.10:29034449-29337480 GCF_000001405.40 Homo sapiens | reverse complement strand
CCTTCTGGAAATTACAAACGTGATAAAATCTCACTGTCACCAGTCAATCAGTAGGGGAATGTCTACAGAAAAAGGCAGGCAGCCCTCCCTGACTCCGCTTCCCTCCCAGCTCTCTGAGGTGGAGCTTTTTGCATCTCCACCCACACTGTTCTCCATGCCCCCACACAGATCCATAGGTAGGCTTTTCTGTTTTCCAGTGTGATTTCAGATGGAAATGGATTGACAGTCCGCACAGCACTCTTCAGCTCCATGCTTTCCCTTAGCATTTCCACATTCCTCCAGGTCAATAAACTGAGACCCAGCCAACTTGCTCTTAAGCTCCATGATACTCTTTGAACGCTGCAGGGAATTCATAATCTCAAATTAATTTTCCTTGCCACACATAATTTAAACACTGTTCTCTCCTAACACCAAGGTAACTAAGTCTAACTTCACATCAAACAAATGAACAGCCTGAGACCTAGAATTCTGGCCATTTTGCACGGGATCTGGGAAGGAGATCTGTAAGATGCTCACCCAGCTGCTGGGGTCAGAGAGGGGATGAGAAAAGCCATGCACACAGCATGGACGGAAGGACCTCGGCGCTGCTGGTGGCTGGGGATGGAGGGGGTATTAGGTTGGCACCATCCAGATCCTTTTCTCATGGGTGCTGGCATCTGGTAGATCTGACTTTGACTGCCCTACCAGGAGCCAGCTGTGGGCCAGGGAGAGCTGCCTGACATTTTTGCTGAAATGAGCATGACATGGACTTGACCTGAGGCTTAAAGGAGATGGCATACGTGAGCACGTGAAAACGGTGAGCCTCCAAGTGCAGGCAGATTCAGGTCACTGTTAGTACACTGTTTTCTTTTGACTTTTAAAACATACTAAGGCTGGGCGCGGTGGCTCACATCTGTAATTCCAGGAGTTTGGGAGGCTGAGGCAGGAGGATCACATGAGCTCATGAGTTTCAGGCCAGCCTGGGCAACATAGTGAGACCTTGTCTCTACTAAAAAAATAAAATTTAGCTGAATGTGGTGGTGTGTGCCTATAGTCCCAGCTGCTTGGGAGGCAAGGTGGGAGGGTTGTTTGAGCCTGGGAGATCAAGGCTGCAGTGAGCTGTGATCACGCCACTGCACTCCAGCCTGGGTGACAGAGTGAGACTCTGTCTCAAAACAACAACAACAAACCATATTAATGTTGGTTTTCTGTCTATTTGAAAACAGTTTGGCATAGGTTATCTACCCAGCAGAGGCCACGCATCCAATTATCATTGGCTGTGAACTCACAGTTTGGACAAGTATGACGATAGGAAAAGGGTTTATGTCCCAGCAAGGAATTTTTTTTTTTTTTTTTTTTTGAGACGGAGTCTCGCTCTGTCGCCCAGGCTGGATTGCAGTGGCGTGATCTCGGCTCACTGCAAGCTCCACCTCCCGGGTTCATGCCATTCTCCTGCCTCAGCCTCTTGAGCAGCTGGGACTACAGGCGCCCGACACCAGGCCCGGCTAATTTTTTTGTATGTTTAGTAGAGATGGGGTTTCACCGTGTTAGCCAGGATGGTCTCAATCTCCTGACGTTGTGATCCACCCGCCTCGGCCTCCCAAAGTGCTGGGATTACAGGTGTGAGCCACTGCGTCCAGCCCCAGCAAGGAATGTTTTCATGAGATAGGAGGAAGATATTTTTCCTTTGAAGTCTGTACAGACAACCAACAGAAGTTGGGGCTGTTTCTCTGGAGAGACACAATGGAGAGCCAGCTCTCAGGTTCTGTGGGGACTGTCTTAGCTGGGCAGTGCCAGGGTGGCTGACCCCAAGGTGGCTGACCTCTGGCTGGGGCAGCGACCCCTGGCCCTACTGAATCAGAAGAGCCCGTATTTCCAGGTCTTTGGCCACATTTTCTTTGGCATATCTGGTACCTCTTGAAATCAGAGCTGTGAAACCCATAAATGACCCCAGAAGGTCATTTTTATTGGCATTTCTGACCTCTGCTGTGGGGTTGAATCCTACTTTGCTTGCAAGCGTTGCAGTGACACTGTTCACCCTGACTAAGTCTCCATTTGATTCAGAGAGCTGTTAAAGAGTATGAACTTGGGGTACGTGTTGTACTGGATGACTTCACAGAGTATGATGTGGTTTGGCAAAGATAGTGCAGGCCTTTGCAGTGGGAAGATACATTAGTCCTGCTTACTTGTTAAAAAGCATCTTTAATGGAATTTCAATTACACCGTAGCCTCCGGATAAACCCATCTAACTGTTCGAGTCTGGAAAGAAAATACTTCACAGAAAAGTGTGCTCCAGTTATCTATGGCTGCACAATAAACCACCCCAAAATATAGTGGCACTAAGCAACCACTTTTCATGATTCTGTGAGTGAGGAATTTAGCAGGATGACCCAGAGACAGACCAGTGACTAGAACCCTCACTGATGGCTGGAGATGGCCGGGGCAGCTGTGCTGGGGCCATACGTTTGGGATCTTGGTTCCCACTGTTGGCTGGGTTCCCTGGGTCTTCTGCATGTCATTTCTGCTGCGATGGAATGTCCAAAAAGGTTCCTTTACTCACATGCCTGGCTGGGATAGACAGAGCAGCCAGGGCTGGCCAGACACCTTTCTGTCTTCAGATGGCGTCTCCATGTGGGTACCTGGGCTTCCTCACCACGTGAGTGATACTTGCTACATAGTGTCTGGCTTCTGCCAGAGCCAGCATTCTAAGAGGCTCCAAGAGGCTTCTTACAACTCAGCCTCCCGTGTCCCAGAGTGTCACCTCTGTCACATTCGCTGGATCACGCAAGTCACAGGCCGGCCGGTGTGCGAGAGGCTAGGAATTAGACTCCACTTTCCTTCAGGAGGAGAAGCCACCTTTAATTTACTACAAAAAGTTCCTTTTCAGTGTTAACCTTAAAGTATTTTAATACGCTCAGTCAAAGTTCAACCTAATGTTCTATTTGAATATTTAATATGTTGTTCAAATGTTTAACCTAATAGCAGAGACTTTCATCGTAGCCCTTAGAATCCTCGAACTATGAAAACATGCCTTTCAGAATTGATTGCGATGAGGAAGAAAACAGCTAGGAAATTCTTAACTGCCTTGAAAGCCCTGCTTGCTGCTCATTAGAGATAAAGTGTTCTGCCTGCCCTGGGTTGTGTACCTTCCTGAGCTTCTAGTAAGAGTCGCGTAGTCTCCGATGGAAGGCCTGGGGGTTCCCATGAGTCAGGCACAGGGACCTTGAAGTGTGACAACAGCAGGATCCCCCGGGACCTTCTTCACTTGTTTTCTGGGTTATCATGTCCCGGGGAAGTTGCTGGAACATCTCTGTAAAACTGAAGTTCACATTACAGGCTGGATTCCTATCCTTGGGCTCCCATAACAAAGTACGATAGACAAGGTGGCTTAAGCAACAGAAATTTATTCCTTCACAGTTCTGCAGACTGGAAAGCAGAGATCAAGGTGTTGGCAGCGTGGATTTCTTCTCGAGGCCCTGAGGGAAAATCTGTTCCAGGTCTCCCTCCTAGCTTCCTGTGATTTGCTGGTAATCCGTGACGTGACGTTCCTTGGCTTGTAGATGCATCACCCCGTCTCTGCCTCCTATTCACATGGCGTTCTCCTCGTGTTCATGTCTCGGTGTTCAAATCCCCCTTTTCCTAAGGACACAGTCAGATTGGACCGCGGGCCTCCCCTACTGTCATATGACCTCATCTTAGTCAATAGCATCTGCAGTGAACCTATTTCCAATAAGGTCACAGTCTCAGGTATTGGAGGTTAGGAATTTCTGTGAATTTTGGGGGAAGGACAGATTCACCCCATAACATAGGATAACCACCAAAACTAATAATTCTGATTATTTTTCCTTGGGGAGTAAGAGAAAATGGATAAGGCTATGGGGAAAATCTTATCACTAAATGGAATGCAAATGAGGAAGGGGGATCCTGCTGGAGGGATAGGGTCTGTGTGTAGCTCGCTGCCCACGTGTCCCCCCAAAGCCGGGTGCCCGGGAGGGCCATGCAGGTACTGTGTGCACAGGGAGTGGGTATTCTCATCACAGGTGCTCACCCTGATGCGCCTGTGTCAAGTGGGGCGGGGGGTGCTGGATGTCTCTGGACTGCTGGCCAGGCTGCCTCCTGGGCACAGTGCTCCTGTCTTCTCTGCAGGCCCTTCTAAGGCCTTCATGAGCCCTGTATGGACTCACTTTTCTCAGCTCAGAGGTCAGAGGTGGCATCAGCTTCTATTTTCTGCTTATGGTGGCGTTTGATGTTAATTCTAGTTCTGCTCTAAAGACAGACTGTGACCCCTCTCTGGCCTCTCCCTGGTTTCCCAGGACTGTGTCCATAGCCATTTCTTCATGTCACTTCACTCTATGTGACCTCCAGTGGGTCTCCTCAGGCTCTAGCTGCTTTCTTAGGTCAGTTCTCTGAGGGGGGCATTTTCGGACCTCCCCAGTTTCTGCCAGTCACCCCTATCTAGCCCCATGTGCTCTAATTAGAATGCACTTTAGAAAGACTCATGCTTAAAGTCCGAGTATAAAGGGTTTTTTTTTTTTTTTTTTTGAGATGGAGTTTCGCTTTTGTTACCCAGGCTGGAGTGCAATGGCGCCATCTCGGCTCACTGCAACCTCCGCCCCGTGGGTTCAAGCGATTCTGCTGCCTCAGCCTCCCGAGTAGCTGGGATTACAGGCGCCCACCACCACACCCAGCTAATTTTGTATTTTTACTAGAGACAGGTTTTCTCCATGTTGGTCAGGCTCATCTTGAACTTCCAACCTCAGGTGATCTGCCCGCCTTGGCCTCCGAAAGTGCTGGGATTACAGGCATGAGCCACCCCACCCGGCTCCAAGTATGAAGTTTTTAGGAAAATGTCTTATGCAACATGTTTCGTTTCTGAAGATGGGCGATGCATTGGGCACTATTGTCTGTGGCTTGGCTGCTAGCATGCTTGCTTCTTACCACGGTTATTTATTCATGCCAGCACCCCAGGCTGCAGAGGAACTCAGGACACCACCTAATCTATTTTCTTCCCTTCAGGAAAAAAACTCAAAGCTTTTTAGCGAAATGAGAATTTATTCCTTTTTTTTTCTCTTTGAAAATATTCAATAATCAACTTCCATTAGAAGCTACCTATAAATAATCAGCATAAATAATTGAGTCTCAGTGGTCTAAAGTAACCACAGATTTTGCATTTTAAATCCAGTGTTTACATGTAAAGCTATGGCTATAGAGTTACACTGGGGTCACGATGATTTCATCTTTTTTTTTGCTGAATTTTAAAACCACCTTCTTTTTGTAATTTCCTGTTTAACTTTGTTATATCTTTGAGGATGCGATGAGAAATTTAACAACTTTCTTCGACCTCTTGTTTAGCTGGTACTAGTGTAAATTTTATTAAAGTATATTTTCTTTTGTCTGTAGTTTTGCCTATTGAGCAGTGCACTTTATCTTACTGTACACCTAAATTATTGACACGGATTATTTATGCTTTAGGTGTTTATATTCAGTTAATCCTGGCAGAAGAATCAGGCTGACAGTGTTGGAGAGGTTCACAGAGAAAATTCTGTTGTGGTTTTGGGGATGATTCGGTGTCCCTCCCCTTAGACTTTCCCTGCTTCCATCACCTCAGCTGCACTGGTGAATCAGTGCTGCAGGTGTGATGGGTGTGGAAACCAGATTCTTGGTCTGTCGGGTGCCTGCCTTTCCCCTGAGGAGCCTGCACTATCAGCCGTGGTTTCAAAGCTTTTGTGCTTTATTTTCTTTACTTAAGTAGAATTGTTGGGGTGAGAAGACGGAGCCTGCAAGGGCAAGTGACTTGTCTTCCCAGCCGCTCAGCTTGCATTTTTGGTTGGTGGATTAACGATCATGCTGTCATTGCTGAATATCGGTGCACCAGTGTTCATACAGTATGCTCAGTTCATGGGGATGTTTAGATGTCACAAGGGAACCCTCTAATTCTGTCAGTTGCACATAGATAGATGAGTCCCTCCTGCTCGAAACTGGATTAGGAGAGTCAATTTCTGGAGGTATGAAAGATGTTTTGAGCATCAGTGCCAAGGACTCGTCTCAGATTCCTAGTGCCCATCGAGAGGCCCCGGACAGGTGTTCTGACCTGACCTCCCCATCTCCTGTGTTGCACTGTGGCCTTCATGACAGGGTAGTATGAGAGGTGTCCCCAGCCCATCACTCAGTCCTCACTGGGTCCTTCATGTGTGTCCATTGTGCTTTTCCCTCCTCCCGGCGGGCCTGCTGTCCAGCGGCACAGACGTCAGCTATTGATCCTCGTGCCACCTGCTGCCGATTGAGAAGCTGCCCTCTTTGGTCCTTCTAAAAGTCATGCTCTAAAATTATTCCTCCATACATCAGTTTTACACCAAGCAAACATTAAGCCCTCATTCCGTCAGTGTAAAACTCACACCACATGTAAATTAATTTGGGTGGGGGATTGAATCCCTGGCAGTGGCAGCTCAGGGGCTTGCCCTGGGTATAGTGGGGACACAGCCCCTGAGCCTGGCCCTGGGGATTCTGCAGCAACCAGCAGCTGTTGGTTTATAAAAGCAACTTACTGTGGGGTGGGGTGTGGTTGGCTGTGATATTTATGCGTTGTGATTGCCATTTGGATTTTTAAATAAAGTTCATCCTTTAGAATAGTTTTATATGAACAGAAAAATTGCCAAGATAGTGTAAAGAATTCCCAGTTTCTTTGTTTGTAACATCTTACATTACTATGGTGCATTTGTTAAAATGAATGAGCCAATATCGCTACATTATGATTATGTAAAGTCCATGGTTATTCATATTTCCTTAGTTTTTACCTAATGTTTTTTGTCTCTCCCAGGATACCATCCAACCCCACATCACGTTTCGTCGCCATGTTGCCTTAGGCTCCTCACAGTTGTGGCTTTTTCATAGACTTTCCTCACTTCGTATGACCTCGACAGTGTTGAGCAGTACTGGTCAGTGTTACGTAGGGTGCCCCTCTATTAGGATTTCTCTGATGTTTTTCTCATGATTAGACTGGATTTGGAGGAAGAAGACCAGAGAGGTAAAGACCATTATTTATTTATTTTTTTTGAGACAGAGTCTCGCTCTGTCGCCCAGGCTGGAGTGCAGTGGCGTGATCTCGGCTCACTGCAGTCTCTGCCTCCCGGGTTCAAACGGTTCTCCTGCCTCAGCCTCCTGAGTAGCTGGGACTACACGCTCATGCCACCACTCCTGGCTGAATTTTTTTTTTTTTTTTGTATTTTTAGTAGAGGCCGGGTTTCACCATGTTGGCCAGGATGATCTCCATCTCCTGACCTCATGATCCACCTGCCTTGGCCTCCCAAAGTGCTGGGATTATAGGCATGAGCTGCCGCGCTCGGCCAAGACTGTTCTTATCTCATCACATCAGGGGGACATACTATCAGTAAGGCATCACTGTTGATGTTGACTTGATCACCTAGCCAGGTGATCACTGAGGGAGTGATTGGCAGTTTTCTCTACTGTGAAGTTCTACCTGCCCACCTTCCTATATTGTATTCTTTGGAAGGAAGTCACTATGTGCAGCCTCCACTTAAGGAGTGGGGAATCATGTTCCTCTTCCCTGAGGGCGGAGTATCTACATAAAGTATTTGGAATTTTTTCCCTTGGGAGATTTGTCCCTTCTTTACTATTTATTTACTTGTGTGTTCAATCATGTATTTATAGAAATATGGACTCATGGATATTTATTTTATACTCACAGTTATAATCCAATGTTACTTTATTGTTAAAAGTTGGCTTCTGTGTTCCTTTGACACACCCCCATCATTGTGAGGTTATTAATTTTTATCACGTTCTTACTTTCTGGCACCACAAGAGGTTCCTGGCTCATTTTGTATGTTTCCTGCCCTAGTCCATGGGCAAATTGGCCATTTCTCCAAGAAAGCTCTGGTTCTTTTGGTTGGAGGTTGGCATTAGAAACCAAAATCTCAGTGCCAGGTGTGCTTGTTATTACTGGGTGGGGGAGAGGCCTTTGCTTCTAGGTTCACTCAGCTGACAAAACAAGGAAATACATTGGTTCCTCTTTATTCGCAGTTTTCATTTCCGTGGTTTCAGTTAGGTGCGGTCAATCATGGTCCAAAAATATTAAATAGCAAATTTTAGAGATGAACAATTCATACTTTTTTTTTTTTTTTTGAGACGGAGCCTTGCTCTGTCACCCAGGCTGGAGTGCAGTGGTGCGATCGCAGCTCACTGCAACCTCCGCCTCCTGGGTTCACACCATTCTCCTGCCTCAGCCTCCCGAGGAGCTGGGACTACAGGCACCTGCCACCATGCCCGGCTAATTTTTTGTATTTTTTAGTAGAGACGGGGTTTCACCATGTTAGCCAGGATGGTCTCGATCCCCTGACCTCGTGATCCACCCGCCTCGGCCTCCCAAAATGCTGGGGTTACAGGTGTGAGCCACTGCGCCCAGCCTAGTTGTTCTATTTTATTATTAGGGATCATTGTTAATCTCTTACTGTGCCTAATGATAAATTTTATCAAAGGTATGTATGTATAGGAAAACACATAGTATACATAGGGTTCAGCATTATCTGTTTTTTCAGGCACCTACAGGGGTATTAGAATAGGGTATTCCACACATATAAGGGAGGACGACTGTATATGAGTGTATACCAACACATGTATATACCTGTAACCTGTAACTATTTCTATATATAACCATCAATAGTCTATTAAGCTAAACATGAGTTCATAGTGATGTCTTCAATGCCAATCCTTTACAGCGTGGATCAGTCCAGCCTCCTCCCCTGTTCCCACTCCAGCAGTGAGAAACCTGGTTCTCACCATCTGCCATCCATTTACTTAATGGTCAGTTTCAAAATACGTGAGTAGTGGTATCAGAACTATTAACCACTGCCCACCTGGGAAACAAATTTATCAACTAGAGTTCATCACTGATGTACAGCTTCTTTGGCCTTTAGTATTACAGACTCCATGATTTTCAGAGTTACTTAAGTCAGCACCTTTTCCCCCCAACCCCTTTCAGTGAGGTTGTTTCGTAGATTGTTTTTTGTCACATTTTGCAAAATTAGGATCCTGAGATCCTCCCACCTTTTAAATACTTTTTAAAAGTTAGCATATCTGCAGATTAGCTCTTTGGCCTGTACAGTTCAATGGGTTTTGACAAATGCATAGTCATGTATCCACAATTACATATCATAAAAATAGTTCACCACCCTGAAAAATTCTCTGGACTTCACTTATTTAATCCTTCCCTCTCTCCCTGAACTCTTACTGATCTTTTCACTATTACTACCGTTTTGCCCTTTCCAGAATGCCATGTCATTGGAATTATGCAATATGTTACTTTTTAAGATTCACTTATTTCACATAGCAATATGCATTAAGATTCATCCATATTGTTTTATGGCTGGATTCTTCATTTATTTTTATGGCCAAATAACATTTCATTATGTAGATGTACCACAGTTTGTTTATCCATTCACCTATTTAAGATACCTTGCTTGTTTACAGTTTTTGGCAATTAAAAATAAAGCTGCTATAAACAATCACATGCAGGTGTTTTCAAATCAGTTATGTAAATACCTAGGAATATGATTGCTGGATCATACAATAAGACTATGTCTCGTTTTGTAAGAAACTTTTAAACTGTTTTCCTAAGTGGCTGTTTTACATTCCTATAAGCAATGGATAAAAATTCCTGTTGGTCTGCATCCTCACTAGCAATTGCATCCTCATCAGCAACTGACAACAAATACTGTCCATTTTTGGATTTTAGCCATTGTGATAGGTATGTAATGGTATCTTATTGTTGCTTTAATTTGCAGTCCCCTACTGGCAAATGATATTGAACATTATGTCATATGCTTATTTGCTGTTCCTGTATCTTCTTTGGTGATGTTTGTTCAGATCTTTACCCTCTTTTTTTTTTTTTTTTGAGATGGGGTCTTGCTCTGTCGCACAGCCTGGACTGCAGTGTTGCAATCTCGGCTCACTGCAAGCTCTACCTCCCGGGTTCACGCCATTCTCCTGCCTCAGCCTCCTGAGCAGCTGGGACTACAGGCGCCCGCTAGCACACCTGGCTAATTTTTTTGTATTTTTAGTAGAGACGGGGTTTCACTGTGTTAGCCAGGATAGTCTCAACCTCCTAATCTCGTGATCCTCCCACCTCGGCCTCCCAAAGTAAAGTGCTGGGATTACAGGCTTGAGCCACCGCGCCCAGCCACCTTCTTTTAAAGTTAGACATTTTGTTTTCTTATTGTTGAGTTTTACTTTTCTTTATACATTTTGGATACAAATTCTTTATCAGATATGTGTTTTACAAATATTTTCTTTCAGTCTGTGACTTCTCTTTTTCTTCTCTTAACAGTGTCTTTGAACCAAACCCCAAATCACCAAGATATTCTGTGTTTTCTTAAAGAACTTTTATAGTTCTGCATTTTACATTTAGGTGCATGATCCCTTTTGATATAATTTTTTGAGTAAGGTGTAAGTTTTATGTCTAGGTTTCTTTTTTTTTGCATATAGATGTCCAATTTTTCCAGCACCATTTGTTGAAAAATCTTCTCTTTTTTCCATTGAATGACTTTGTTGATATTTCAAAGATCAGTTAACTATATTTATGGGCTTTATTTCTGGGTTCTCAATTCCATTAAATTGATCTCTTTGTCTGTTCTTTTGCCAATACCATGTTGACTTGTTTATACTATTTTTATTGTAAATCTTTAAATTGGGTATTGTGAGTGCTTCAACTTCTTTTTTCTTCTCCTTTAGCATTTTGTTGGCTATTCTAGGTCTTTGGCCTCTTCATATAAGTTTGAGAATCAGCTTTTATCTACAAAATAGTTTTTGGATTTTGATTAGGGTTGCATTGGATTTATAGATCTAGTTGAGAAGAATTGACATATTAACAATATTGTCTTTCTGTCCATGAACATGGAATATCTCTATATTTATTTAGGTAATCTTTGAACTCTTTCATTTGAGTTTTCTAGTTTTCTACATATAGTTCTTATACATATTTTGTCAGATTTATACCTAAGTATTTCGTTTTCTTGGTGCAGTGTTTAATGGTACATTTTAAATTTCAAATTCCAATTTTTCATTGCTGGAATATGGGAAAGCAATTGACTTTTGTATATTAATATTGTATCCTGTGACCTATGCTAGCTTATTAGTTTGAGAGTTTCTTGACAGTTCTTTGGGATTTTGTACATGAACAATCATATCATTTATGAACAAAGACAGTTTTATTTCTGACTTTTCAATCTATGTACCTTTTATTTCCTTTTCTTGTCTTATTGCACTAGCTAGGACTTCTAATATGATGTTGAACAGAAGTAGTGAGAGAGGATATCCTTGCCTTGTTCTTTTTTGGGGGAAAGTGTGCAGTATTTCATTATTAGGTGTGATGTTAGCTTTTTATAAACACTTTTTATCAAGTTGAGGAAGATCATCTTTGTTCTTAGTTTGTAGAGAATTTTCTTTCATAAATGAGTGTTAGATTTTGCCAGATGCATTTTCTGCATCAATTGATGTGATATGATTTTTCCTCATTAGCCTGTTGATGTGGTATATTGCATTGACTGATTTTCAAATATTGTACCAGTCTTGCATACTTATAATAAATCCCATTGGGTTGAAGTATATAATTCTTTTCATACATTTTTAGTCTTGCTAATATTTTGTTGAGAACTTTATGTCCATGAGAGATCTTGGTCTGTAGTTTCCCTTTTTTATGCTCTATGTATCTGGTTTTGGCATTAGGGTAATGCTGGCCTCATAGAATAAATTAGGAAGCGTTCCCTCTGCTTCTGTTTTGTAGAAGAAATTGCAGAAAACTGATACTATTTTTTCCATCAGTGTTTAGTAGGATTCGTCAGTGAAATCACCTGGGCCTGCTGCTTTCTTTTTTGGAATATCGTTAATTATTGATTCAGTTTCTTTAGTAGCTTTAAACCTGTTCAGACGATCTAGTTCTCCTTGTATGAGTTTTGGTCATTTGTATGTTTCAAGGAATTAGTCCTTTTTCTAATTTGTCAAATTTAGAGGTATAGAGTTCCTTTGTTATCATTTTAATGTCCATGGATTAATATTGGTAATCCCTTAATTTATTTCTGATATTAATAATTTGTGTATCCTTTTTTCTGAGTCTAATTTTCTCTATTATTTTTCAATTTTCTATTCAGATTTCTGCCTTAATTTTTAGTATTTTCTTTCTTCTGTTTGCTTTATGCTTGGATTGCTCTTCTCTCTCTAGTTTCCTAAGGTACACGCTTATATTATTGGTTATAAACGTTTCTTCTTTTCTGTTATAGGCATTTAGTGCTGCAAATTCTCCTTGAGTATGGCTTTTGCTATACACAATAGTGATAAGTTGTATTTTCATTTTCATTTAGTTCAAAGTATATTTTCATTTCACTTGAGACTTCTTTCAACCATATGCTATTTAGAAATGTGTTTTAAAATCTCCAAGTATTTGGGAATTTCCATCTTTTTCTGTTAGTGATTTCTAGTTTCATTCTACTGTGGTCTAAGAGCATACTTTGTATGATTTCAGTTCTTTTAAATTTGTCTACGTGTGTTCTCTGGCCAAGAATGTGGTCAGTCTTGGTGAATGTTCCCTGTGAGCTTGAGAAGAATGTGTATTCTGCTGTTGTTGGATGTAGTCTATAGATGTTGATGATGTATCAATTACTAAGAAGAAAATGTTGAAGTCTTCAACTATAATAGTACATTTGTCCATTTTTCCTTTCAGTTCTGTCAGTTTTTGCCTCATGTATTTTGACGCTCTGTTTTTAGGTGCATACATGTTAAGGATTGTTATGTCTTCTTGGAAACTGACCTTTATATCACTATGGATGCTCGTATTGACCTCTGATAATTTCCCTTGTCCTAAAGTCTGCTTTCTCTGAAACTAATATTGGTACTCCAACTTCCTTTTGATTAGCATAGCACACTATAACTTTCTTCATCCCTTCACTTCTAATCTGAGTCTTTATATATAAAGTGGATTTTTTGTAGACTACATATAGTTGGCTTTTTATTTTATCTACTCTGATAGTTTCTGTCTTTTAATTGGGATATTTAGGTTATTTACTTTAAAGTGATTATTGCACAGTTGGATTGATGTAGTTAAAAATATCTACATGGTTGGGCACAGTGGCTCATGCCTGTAATCCTAGCACTTTGGGAGGCCAAGGTAGGCCAATTGCTTGATCCCAAGAGTTCAAGACCAGGCTCTAAAAAATAATAATAATAAAAATAAAAAAATAGCTAGATGTGTGCCTGTAGTCTCAGCTACTCAGGAGGCTAAGATGGGAAGGTCACTTGAGCTCAGGAAGGTTGGGGCTGCAGTGAACAATGATCGTGCCACTGCACTCTAGCCTGGGCCACAGAATGAGACCCTGTATTAAAAAAAAAAAATTCTACTATGTTTGTAACATTTTTTGTTGTTGTTCACTTCTTTCCCTTTTTTTCCCTGCCCTTTCTGGTTTGAATAGAGCATTTTTAATGAATCCATTTTATCTCCTCTTTTAGCATATCAATTACACTTCTTTTACAAATTATTTTAGTGGTTGCCCTAGAGTTTTCACTCTACATTTTCAACTACTCTATATTCACTCTCAAATAACACAATACTGGTTCATATCTAGAATAGGTACTGTTTGGGAAAAAATTTCTCAAACTGTGTTTTTCCTCTGCTCTCACAGCACAACGATAATCAACACAGAACCTTCTGTGACCTAAATTGTGGGGGTTTTCCCCACACAGCAGGGAGTGGCCACCAGATGCTTATTCTCTAATTTAATTTTAACATCTTCTACTTGGAAATAACCTCAGACCTCACTGGTGCAGAGCCTGGAACCCATGGCTGCCCCCTCTCCCAACACTAGTCCTAAGTCCAGGCCTCTAGGACTTCTGACCAATCAGCTTTCATTTGGGGTTCCCACAGCCTTCTCTTTGGGTTTGATTAATTTGCTGGAGCAGCTCACAGAACTCAGGGAAACACTTAACATTTACTGGTTTGTTATAAAGGATATTAGAAAGGACACCGATGAGGAGATGTATAGGGTAAGATAGGAGGAAGGTGTACTTGGGTTCCATGCCCACTTCAGGACGCCACCCTCCAGGAACCTCCGTGTGTTCAGCTATCAGGAAGCTCTCTGAACCCGGTCCTCTTGGGTTTTTATCGAGGCTTCATTGTGTAGGCATGATTGATTAAACCACTGGCTATTGGTGATCAACTTAGCCTTCAGGCCCTCTCCACTCCCTGGGGTTGGGGGATTGGGCTGAAAGTCCCAACCCTCTAATCCTGCCTCTGTCTTTCCAGTGAGCAACCCCATCCTGAAGCTGTCAGTTAACATTAGCATCATTAGCAAAAGGACTTTGGGGATTCCAAGGATTTTAGGAATTGTTTGCCAAAAAAAGAGGTCAAGACCAAATATTTCACAGTATCACAGGTACCTTATAAATGAGTATTCTCTGTTTCCTTCTTCCATTTCTTATGACATTGCTATCATTCATTGCATTTATCCATATGCTATAATCACTCAATAGATGTTGACTATTATTACCGTAAACCGAAAGGTATCTGAGACAGGTCTCAAGCAATTTAGAGGTTTATTTAACCAAGGTTAAGGATGCATCCGGGAAAAAGGAACACAAAACCACAGGAACAATCTGTGATCTTACTTTTTCCCAAGAGGATTTTGAGGTCTTCAGTATTTAAAGGGGAAAAGTGGGCAGGAAGGGAAGGAGGGTGGGTGTGGTCACATCACTGAATCCACGTGTTGCACGTGAAAAGGAGGAGACATAGAAATAATCGATTATATATTCATCTAGTGCTCAGCAAGTCGACACTTTACACAAGATAAAGTAAACACAGAGCAGCACTCGTGGAGACAGCTGGCCTCTGTCTGGCCTTTTATCTTTAGCTGTCTGCTGGGCAACAAAAGGAAAGGCAGCTTCTTGTGTGACTCAGCTTCCAACTTAATTTTTCCCTTTGCCATAGTGAATTAGGGTCCCGGGATTTATTTTTCTTTCATATTACTTTAAGCAAACAGTTATCTTTTAGATCAATTAAGAATAAGAAAATATATGAGTGGTTGAGGAGATGTTGGTCAGGGGATAAAAAATTTATCTTAGATAAAAGGGATAAGTTCAGGAGATCTACTGCACAATGTGGTGACTATAGGTAATAACAATGTAGTGTATTCTTGAAAATTGCCAATAGAATATATTTTAAGTGTTCTTAACACAAAAAATAAGTATGTGAGGCAGTGCATGTGTTAATTAGCTCAGTTTAACCCCTCAACAATGTATGCGTATTTCAAAACAACATGATGTGCATAATACATATATATAAGTTTGTCAATTAAAAAATAAGTTTATATTCAAATTTTTAAAAAAATAAGAAAAATAAGACTTTATTTTACCTTCATTTATTCCTTCTTCAAAGCTCTTTTCTTTCCTTGTGTAGATCTGAGTTTCTGACCTATTTCATTTTCCTTTCTTCAAAGAACTCCTTTTTTTTAAATTTAAATTTTAATTTTTAGTTCTGGGGTACATGTGCAGGATGTGCAGGTTGGTTACATGGGTAAACGTGTGCCATAGTGGTTTGCTGCACCTATCAATCCATCACCTAGGTATTAAGCCCAGCATTCATTAGTGATGTTTCCTAATGCTCTCCCTCCCCGCCCACTCCCCCAAACAGGCCCCAGTGTGTGTTGTTCCCCTCCCTGTGTCCATATGTTCTCATTGCAAAGAACTACTTTTAACATTTTTTGCAGGTCACTTTGCTGGTGACACATTTCCTGCATTTTCCTTTCTCCGAAAAAGTCTTTATTTCTTTTTCACTTTTTTTTTTCTTTTTTTTTTTTTGAGACAGAGTCTCACTCTTGTCACCCAGGCTGGAGTACAGTGGCATCATCTCAGCTCACTGCAACCTCCACCTCCTGGGTTCAAGCAATTCTCCTGCCTCAGCCTCCCGAGTACCTGGGATTATAGGTGCCCGCCACCATGCCCAGCTAATTTTTTTGTTTGTTTGTTGAGATGGGATTCCACCATCTTGGCCAGGCTGGTCTCGAACTCCTGACCTTGTGATCCACCCGCCTTGGCCTCCCAAAGTGCTGGGATTACAGGCATGAGCCACCGCGCCCAGCCTCTTTTTCACTTTTATGGGATAATTTTGCTGGATATACATGTCTAGGTTGGTGGGATTTCTTCTTTCATCACTTTAAATACTCCACGCTCTTCATGCTTGCCTTTTGATGATAAATCGACTGTAATTCTTATATTTGTTCATCTATGGTAAGGTGTTATTTTTTTCTCTGGTTTCTTTCTAGATCTTCTCTTGGACTTTGGCTTTCTGCACTTTGAATGAGATGCCTCAGCGTAGAGTTTTTGATAGTTATCCTGTTTGGGTTCTCCAAGCTTCTTTGATCTCTGGTTTGGGGTCTGTTTGGAAAGCTATCAGCTTATTTTATTAAATAAAATAAATGTAATTTAATTTATCATTATTAAATTACATTTGGAAAGTTTATCAGTTTATATTACTTTAGATGTGTCATCTATTCCATTCTCTTTTTGCCTTTTAATATTCCTGTTATACATATATTACACTTTCTGAAATTATACAACTGTTCTTGAGTGTTTTATGGTGGTTATTTTATTTTTATTTTTTCTCATTCTTTCTTGCACTTTAGTTTGGGACATTTGTGTTGACCTATCTTCAAGCTCACTGTTTCTTTCCTCAGCTGTGTCTGGTCTACTTATGAGCCCATCAAAGGCAATTTTCATTTCTGTTACAGTGTTTTTGATTTCTAGCATTTTCTTTGATTTTTTCTCAGACGTTCCATCTCTGCTTATACCACCCATCTGTTCTTGCATATTTGTCCATTTTTCCCATTGCAGCCCTTAGCATATTCATCACAGTGGTTTTAAATACCCCATTTAGTCCTTCCAAATTCTCTGCTGTGTCTCAGTCTGGTTCTGTTGCTTGCTCTGTCTCCTCAGACTTTTTTCCTTGCCTTTTACCATGCCTTCTAATTTTTTGCTGAAAACCAAATATAGTGTATCAGATAATAAGAATTAAAGGAAACAGGCCTTACCTGTGAGGTTTTATATTAATATGGCTGTTATTAGGCTCTTAATATTTGCTGTAGCTGTAGGTGCCAGAGGGTTCAAATTCACCTATTTCTCTTGTTTTTGTCCTTTTCTTGTCTTTGGATTTCCCTAAGAATGCTTTCTTGTGTCTAGCAGCTCCTTCAACTGTAATTTGTGGTAGTTATACTGCAGCCCTGTTGCTGTGGTGGGAAGGTGTGTGTGTGGTGTGTTTTACTCTGATGATGAAATTTCAGTCTTTTAGTGGGCCTGTATCTCTGGGCTATCACCTTAACAAGCGTTTCTAGCCTTTTATTCCTGCCTTAGGTGAGACAGGAAGGCTGCACGGGCATGGGGTCAGGAAAACGCCTTCCCCCAGATGGAATACTGTGTTGGAGAGCAGGCCTTTGTTATGGAGAAGGTTCTGTTCATTTGTCACTAGGACTAGCCTTTCCCTCCCCTGCTACAGCCATCAGGGCTCTTAACCCTGAGAATCTGGTGATGTTCTCAGAGGCAAAACACACAAAAGTGTAGGGTGTCCCCCTAAAACTGCAGCCCCAGCAGTCTCACTTGGAGGCTGGTCCACCCTCAGCCTCCAGCAATTTGTCAGAATTAACGTTTGGAGGCTCCAACTGGGGGCTGGCCCAGCAGCATCTCTAGGTGAGCAGATCTCAGCCGGGACCCTGTGCATTCCCATCTCTTCAGATTTCCCAGTGGCAGTTTGTTCTGCAACCTCAGCTCTCTGAGGGGTCCAAGAAAGGTTGCTGAGTTTCTGTTTGTTCAGCTTTTTTCTTATCATAAGGATGGGAGTGACAACTCCAAGCTTTTTACGTGTTGGAACTGAAACTGGATGTCCTTGTTTGGCTTTTTAAAGATAAATTTGTTATTCCAGATGAATTTCTCACCCAGTGGTTTATGTGTCAGAAATCTGGGCATCTCCGCTTCCCTAGTCCAGGGGCACAGATGCTCTGCCATTGGACTGATGGCAGCAGTGAATTTCAATAGGGAATTAGATGGCACTTGAACAACCCAGGACCTCTGTTCACTCAGCCTGCATTGACTTGTGCTACTTCAGAGGAAACTGGGGCTGTCTGAGCTTCTTGTTCCAAAAGAATGGTCAGTGCTTTAAAGCAGGGGTCTGGCTTGCACTTTCTCTTTCTCTCCACTGGTCTCTAATGTGAAAACCCAAGAGTTTATAGAACATGGAAGCCTTCAGATTTCCGTTCATCTGAAGTGAAGTAAGAAGTGGCCTGCCATTAACTATTTCTCGTGTCTTCAGTACCCATGGCGGTTGTGAGGGTCTCCCTGGCACTTCCTCTCAGGGCTCTGCCTTGGTTTGAGTATGCAGTGCAGATGGCAAAATGAGATGTTCTTACTTTTCATAGCTTTGTTTTGAATAGAGTAGGTACTTTAGGTGGTATACAGTTAATCGTTGCTTTTAATTTTACATATGACTGTAAACAAATTGGCTTCTCTTTGGTAACAGTTTTGTAGAGGAAATGGCTATGTGATGGTAGATGTTCCTGGAGAAAGGGAGCATTCAGTTTGCAGAAACTGGTTTCTACCTAATCTTTGCCAGTTTGGGTTCATCTTTTGCACTAAGCCAACCAATAGGAAAATGTATAAGCCTACCTTGGAGAGCTTGTGGGTTCTGTTGCAGACTATTGCAATAAGACGGTTATCACAATAAAGCAAGTCACACACATCCTTTGGTTTCCCAGAGCATATCAAAGTTACGATTACACTAAGCTGTAGTCTAGTAGGTGTGCAGTAGCATTGTATCTTTAAAAAGTGTACATACCTTAATTTGGCCGGGCGTGGTGGCTCACACCCTTAATCTCAGCACTTTGGGAGGCCGAGGTGGGCGGATCACGAGGTCAGGAGATCGAGACCATCCTGGCTAACACGGTGAAACCCCGTCTCTACTAAAAATACAAAAAATTAGCCAGGTGTGCTGGCAGGCGCCTGTAGTCCCAGCTACTCGGGAGGCTGAGGCAGGAGAATGGCGTGAACCCAGGAGGCGGAGCTTGCAGTGAGCTGAGATCGCGACACTGCACTCCAGCCTGGGTGACTGAGCAAAACTCCGTCTCAAAAAACAAAAAACAAAAAAAAAAGTGTACATACCTTAATTTAAAAATACTTCATTGCTAAAATATACCGACAGAGAGACATGAAGTGAGCACACGCTGTGAGAAAAATGATGCTGATAGACTTGCACCTTGCAGGGTTGCCACAAACCTTCAATTTATCAACAACGCAGTATCTGTGCAGTGCAATGCAACGAAGTGCAATAAAACACGGCCTGCCTGCAATTACTCCTTCAAGTTTGTTGCTGGGAATTTTCCATCAACATATGAAGAGCTCTCTGGAAACGCGGAAAATTTACACCTCTAATCAGGAGTGTTTTGTTGCCTGTGAGAGCCATGTTTCGGTGGACATTCAGAAACACTGTCATGAGGTTTCAAAATCATCGACATTGCCACCGTGCAAAAGCCACACCCTCATCTCACCTTGAGAGCTAGCCAGAGTGGGCGCTAGTCTGTTCATCTCACCACAGCCTCCCGCCTCCTTCTGTGGGTCAGTGCTGAGAATTCTTCTCTTCATCCCACCCGGGTCGGATGAAGGCCTCTGGATCTTGCTGCTGTGACAGTTTTTGCCTCTTTGAGGTGGGTTGGCCTCAACAGCCATAAGTTCAATTCTGCATGAGCCTGTAGCAGCACTTTTTGCTTTAGGGCCATTCCCCATGTTTTCTAGATTAATATAGAAACATTATTGGAGTGATATTATATTGAATTTTTCTATGCTATGTCTAATGCACTCAAGCATTTTAATAAGCCAGCAGTTATGATAATTTTAATGGGAGATTCGTGTTCCGTTTTGCATATGTGATGAACTTGAATTTGATTGAGTCTTTGAATGCAACTCTCGAGAGTATAAAGATCTAGTTCTTTAATGCTTTGAGGTCTGTTCCTGACTATTTTGATTCAAATATTTCTTCATTTTAAAATTATTCTATTTACCAGGACATTTGAAAGGGAACAATGTTTTGCCTGTAGCTTTCTAATTGACCTAATCTGATTACTGTGTGTTTTTTATGAAACAGTAGGCAGAATATGTCAGCAAAGTTTTAGGTACAGCAGGCTTAGCAACTGCGGTCCCACAAATTAAATGTTATTTATGGTAATAGTTATATGTAGTTTTATGGGTGTTACTCAGAATAACATCATTGTATCTGGTATTTGAATTGGGCACTAATTGAGGAATACATTTGGGCATAAATTTAGTTCTATTCTAGTATTGCTATTTTGTGTAATTATAAAACCAAAAGGCTTCATTCTTTATTTCCTCTTTAAAACTCCATGTGAAATCTTACTTTGATGTGATGTTTAGGAAAATATTTTTAGTAATTTGGCATAGTTAAATTCATACCAAAATAAAAAATAACTGGCCTTTGTTTAGTTCTGCTATATGACAGGCTTTGTAATATGTAATAAAACAAATTTGTAATATTTGTTTCCCCCAGTGATTTTAAGTGACCTCTTTATCATATACTAATTTGTCTTGTAACTTAGGTTTATGTGTCTTCTTTTTAAAAGGAAGGAATTCAGGTTCCCAAAACATAGGAAATTTTTACAAACTGGCTGTGTGACTAAGTAGCAGAGTTATTATCTGAACCCATATTTTCATATTTTTCGACATTTACATTGTGGATATCTCAACTATATACACAAGTAAAGAGAATGACATATTGAACCCTATGCATCCATTACTCAGCTATAGCTGCCAGCCACTCCTGGACATTCTTGCGTCATCAGTACCCCACCACTTCTCCCTTGGATGAAGAAAGCAAGCCTGAGACATCACATTATTTTGTGTCAAAATACATACATGCCTACCTCTAAAAGAGAAGGTGGCCCTTATTTTTTATTTTTAAAATGATATAGTCACAATGCCGTGATCACAACTAATAGATACCAATAATTTGGTTTATCATCAAATACCTCATGTTCAAATTTCTGTGTGCCTGTTTCTCTCTTTTTGCATTGGGTTGTTAGGTCTCTTAAGTCTCTCTGTCTCTCTTCTTTATTTTCCCTTGCTGGCCCCAGTGAGCAGAGGCCACCAGAGCTCCCATGTCTCTTGATTATCCTTCAGGAAATAAACCACTTGAGATATACAATTAAATGGTGATATGTTACAGTCAGTTTAAACCGCTCTCTGTGGTTAAGGCACCTGCCCGTTTTACTGGTTCACTTATTTCATTTTGCTTTTGATTTTAGGGATTTTAATTAATTTTTGATTTAATTTTGTTTCATAATTATATAAGACATTTACTGTTACAAAGTCAAATCTATGCAGTAAAGTGTTTTCCCCTGAAAATTCTAGTTATCATTTCTGTCCTGTTTGTATTCCTTGTCTCCCCACCCCCCGGCCCTATAGTAACTACTCTTAGATTTTCGCTTTGTCCTTTCATTTCTAAATTATAAGCAAGCACATGTGCTGTACACATACTGCATGTACGTGTGCCTACCTTGCACATTGTTCCAGCCTTTGGTTTTATAACTTAGTGATATCGCGTGGGGTCAGTCTGTAGCAGTGTATAAAGACATTTCTTATTCCTGTTTACTGCATAATGCGGTTTATCATTTGTCTTTCATTTGTCTTTTTTATTTGCTTCTGGTAGTATTCATATGTAAAGATTTGTATTTTATGTAGTTAAGTTCATCAGTTTTTCCCTTATTACTTTGGACTGTGAGTTATAGGAAATATTTCTCAACTTTCCGGTTAGAGAGGAATTCCATGTTTTTTTCTAATACTTAAAGTGGGGTCTCTCTGTCTCCATTTAAGTTTCTAATCTATTTGGAATCAGTTCTGATATAACTGGTGAGAAACAGATGTGTATTTTTCTTTTTCCATATGGCCATCCCATCTGGATTTATCAGTACTACTTATGAAAAGTGTATGTTTCCCTCAATTATTTTAAATGACCCCTTTGTCATATACTAAATTACCATAGACAAATGTGTTTGTTTCTGGATATTTCCGTTTTATTTTATTGGTCTGTCAATTCATCGGCCAAGAGGGGGGCTTTAAATACATTTTAATATCTGGAAGGGCTAGCCTTCCTTATTGATCTTTTATGGAGTTTCCTTTGTGATTCTTGCTTAGTTGTTCTTCCAAGAACTATATAATCAGTTTGCCTAGCTTCTAGGAGACAATGATGATTTTTTTTAATCAATATGGCATTAAATTTATAGATTAACTTTAGGAGAATTAACATCTCTTTGCTGTTGTATCTTCTTATCCAAGAATATATTTCTTTCCATTTATTCAAAATACTCTTTACTTTCACAAGCATGTCACCATTTTCTTTCTTTTTTGAGACAAAGTCTCGCTCTGTCACCAGGCTGGAGTGCAGTGGCACGATCTCGGCTCACTGCAACCTCCGCCTGCCAGGCTCAAACAATTCTCCTGCCTCAGCCTCCCAAGTAGCTGGGACTACAGGTGTGCACCACCACACCTGGCTAATTTTTGTATTTTTGGTAGAGGCGGGGTTTCACCATGTTGCCCAGGATCGTCTCAAACTCCTGAGCTCAAGCGATCCACCCGCCTCGGCCTCCCAAAGTGCTGGGATTACAGACATTAGCCACTGCACCTGGCCTTCTATTACATTTTCTAACTGTTTATCTATGTTATGGATAAACATTATTGATTTTTGTATACAGACATAATTCAGAGATATTGCAGGTTTAGTTCCAGACCAGTGCAATAAAGCGAATATCACAATAAAGCAAGTCACCAATTTTTTAGTTTCCCAGTACATATAAAACTATGATTACATTATACTGTTGCCTATTAAGTGTGCCACAGCATATGTCTAAAAAAATTATACATATACCTTGATTAAAAATACTTTATTGCTCAAAAATGCTAACAGTCATCTGAGCCTTCAGCAAGTTGTCATCTGTTTGCTGGTGGAGGGTCTTGCCTAGATGCTGATGGCTGCTGACTAATTGGTGGTGGTTGCTGAAGGTTGGGGTGGCTGTGGCAATTTCTGAAAATAAGACAGTGATGAAGTTTGCTGCATTGATTGGCTCTTCCTTTTACAAAAGATTTGTCCGTAGCATGCAATGCTGTTTGATAGCGTTTTACCCACAGTAGAGCTTTTTTCAAAATTTGAGTCAGTCCTCTAACCCTGCTGCTGCTTTATGAACTAAGTTTATATCATATTCTAAACCCTTTGTTGTCATTTCAATAATGTCTGCAGTATCTTCACCAAGAGTAGATTCCATCTCAAGAAACAACTTTCTTTGCTCATCCATAAGAAGCAGCTGCTTGTCCATTAAAGTTTTCTCATGAGATTGCAACAATTTAGCCACATCTTTAGGCTCCACTTCTAATTCTAATTCTCCTGCTGTTCCTACCACATCTGTGATTACTTCCTCCACGGAAATTTTGAAAACCTCAAGGTCACCTGTGAGGATTGGAATCAACTTCTTCCAAACTCCTGTTAATGTAGCTATTTTGACCTCCTCCCATGAATCACAAATGTTCTTAATGGCACCTAGAATGGTGAATCCTTTCCAGAAGGTTGTCAATTTACTCCACCCAGATTTATTACAGGATCACTATGTATGGCATCTCTAGCTTTGTGAAATGCATTTCTTAAATAATAAGACTTGAAAGTGAGTTACTCCCTGACCCGTGGGCTGCAGAGTAGATGTATTGGCTGGCAGAAAAATGACATTAACCTTCTTGTACATCTCCATCAGGGCTCTTAGGTGTATTGTCAATAAACAGTAATACTTTGAAAGGCATATTTTTTTTCTGAGCGTTAGGTCTCAATAGTGGGCTTGAAATATTAAGTAAACCATGCTTTAAACAGATATGTTGTCATCCAGGCTTTGTTGGGCTAGTTCTAGTGCACAGGTGAAATAGATTTAGCATAATTCTTAAGGGCCATGGGACTTTCAGAATGGTTGAGTATTGGCTTCAACTTTAAGTGACCAGCTGCATTAGCTCCTAGCAAGAGAGTCAGTCTGTCCTTTGAAGCTTTGAAGCCAGGCGTCATCTTTCCCTCTTTAGCTATGAAAGTCCTAGATGGCATCTTCTTCCAGTATAAGGCTGTTTTGTCTACACTGAAAATCTGTTGTTTCATGTATCCACCTTCATCAGTTATCTTAGCTGGATCTTCTGGACTTGCAGGTTATCAGCATTTGCTGCCTCAGCTTCTTAAACTTCAGGAACCAACCTCTGTTAGCTTCAAATTCTCATCTGCAGCTTCCTCACCTCTCTCATCCTCATTGAATTGAACTGAAGAGAGTTCGGGCCTTGCTGTGGATCAGATTTTGGCTTAAGGGAATGTTGTGTCTGGTTTGATCTTCTGTTAGACCACTCATAGTTTCTCCAAATCAGCGATAAGGCTGTTTTCTTGATCATTCGTGTGTTCACTGGAGTAGCACTTTTAATTTCCTTCGAGAACTTTTCCTTTGCATTCACAACTTGCTAACTGGTGCAAGAGGCCTAGCTTTTGGCTGCTCTTGTCTTTTAACATGCCTTCCTCACTAAGCTTAATCACTTCTAGCTTTGGATTTAAAATGAGAAACGTGTGACCCTTCCTTTCACTTGAACATTTAGAGACCATTGTAGAGTTATTAATTGGCTTAATTTCAATATTGTTGTGTCTCAGGGAACAGATAGGCAGGGGAACGGCCAGCCTATGAAGCAATCAGAACACATGCATTTCTCAGTTAAGTTCACTGCCTTATATGGGCACAGTTCATGGAGCCCCAAAACAATTATAATAGTATCTTCAAGGGTCACTGATCACAGGCCACTATATCAGATATAGTAATAATGAAAAAGTTTGAAATGTACTGAGAATTACCAAAATATGACTCAGAGACAAAGTAAGCACATGATGTTGGAAAAATGTTGCTCATAGACTTACTCAATATAGGGCTGCCACAAACCTTCAATCCGTAAAAAAACTCAACATCTGTGAAGCATGATAAAGTGAAGAACAATAAAACAAGGTATGCCTATATTTATTATACAACCAGCTTTCTTATTAGATTTTCTTTCTTTTTTTTTTTTGGTGCTTGTTTTGTGGGGATTCTTTTGTTTTTCCACATGTGAGTACATAAACATATGCTCTGCAAATAAAGATAATTTTAACTTCTTCTTTCATGAATGTTATTTCTACAGTTGATTTCTCTTGTCTAAGTACATGGGCTAATACTTCAGACCCAGTGTTAAAGAGTGAGTGCTTGTCTTGTTCCAGACTGTAGCAGGAAAAGTTAGTTTTTCTTTGTTAATTAAGATGCTGGCTTTTGAGGTTAGGTATGTGTTGCATAAATATGTATTTTCTATCTTGTTAGGCATGACTTTATCCTATCCCTCAGTTTCTGTTTTGTTGTTTCTCATAGGAATGAATGCTGATTTTTTCACATACCTTTGGTGCATCTGTAGAGATGATCATATAATTTTTCTCTTTAGCTCTGTTAACAGGATGGACTATATGCTAATGCTGAATCACTCTTGCATTTCTGGAATGAACTGTATTTGGAGTAATGTTTGTCTTCCTGAATCTATAACCTCCATGACTTTATCTGGAAGCTGGGCAAGGTCTTGGCCTAGCTCATAATCCCAGTGCCTACAATATAGTGTGTAATATCTACTTATTGAAAGAATGTTGAGTGGATTTTCTTCCCTTTAAAGATCATACTTTTTTTTGGGGGGGGGATGGAGTCTCACTCGGTCACCCAGGCTGGAGTGCAGTGGCACGATCTCAGCTCACTGCAACCTCTACCACCCAGGTTGTAGCGACTCTCCTGCCTCAGCCTCCTGAGTAGCTGGGATTACAGATGTGCACCACCACACCCTGCTAATTTTTGTATTTTTAGTAGAGACAGGGTTTCGCCATGTTGGCCAGGCTGGGCTGGAACTCCTGATCTCAAGTGATCCGCCCACCTCGCCCTCCCAAAATGTTGGGATTACCCGTGTGAGCCACCATATCTGGCCAAGATTATACTTTTAAAAATAAAAAACAATGCATGTCTCTCATAAATTATTTAAGCAAATACAGAAAAGTACAACAGCAAAGGCAATGAATTACCCAGAAGTATACCATCCAGAAACGATCAGACTGTTATGTGGTCATAAATTCAGAAATCTATCGATCATATAATGATACAAGACACAAGCTATGGAAGAATAATGTGTATGTTTTAAAAAATTGTCTTTGTTTGAAATTAACAGGAGAATTGAAATGAAACTGAAGAGAGAATACTAAATTTTAGATTACAGGTCTCTCATCACAAAGCACATTTGTTTCTAGAGTTAAAAAAAAAAATTCCCAATCTCCTTACGGGTCCTCTTCATTGTAATTTGTCTCTTCCTTCTTCTACAAAATTACTGTGGAGATCTCACACCTTCCCCCATGCCATTATCTTGAATTTTCACTCATGTCTACTCTGTTCCTTGCTGTTTCTAAATTATTTACTAGATTTGCAGTGATGGGGTTTTAATTCTCACGCTGTAATTGGTTTCCTTAGTTCTGTCTCTAGCTTTCTTTTCATCATAGTCTTGTTTTTCTCACTTTGAGTCCTTCCTTTGTTAAGTTTATGTGTGTATTAGGTTCCATGAAGTTCTTGTGGGGAGCTTTGGCGTCTGGGTTGATGTTTCTTTCCCCATTTTCAAGCTCTGTTTCTGCTGACCTTCTGTTTGCCAAATAAGCTGTGGTGTGCTTCCATGCACCTTGATGTACCCACTCTCCTTGTGCTCCTGGGCTTGGCCCGGACAATTCTTCCCTGCCCCGACAGCCTTCAGACCCACCAGGGCCAGTTTCTCTTCTCCTGTCAGAGGCTCCATTTCAGACATGGATGTTGCCTTTGGCCTTGACTGTCTAACTTAGGACAGGGTGGGGAGATCCCCCAGGGGCTGAGCACATCCTTGCTAGGTCTTGGGTTCTTGCTCTTCCCTCTGAGGACCTCCCTAGAGATGTCCCCTTGACCGAGCCAGGGCAGTTCTGCTCCAGTGAGCGTCATCCGTCCCTCAGTCCTGGCCCTTTCTTTCTTGGTTGAGCTCCTGAGTTGCTGCGTAGGAGCTTCTGTTTTAAAGAGATTTTAAAAAATTGTCCTAGAACTACCTGCACCCAACTCAGACCCCATCACCCCAGACTTGAAGGTATTAGTGCGAATTCTCAGCTTCTGTCTGCTCACCTGTGCTCACATAGGTGAGGGCTGGGGAGGACATGGAACCTTCAGGATCTCCTTTTCTCCACTTATTTCTGTCCTGCCCCCCCTTTCTAGTTCATGACAGGACATGATGCCCCTTTCTTCCTGTCTTGATTGCTGCTGGTGACACTCATAAGATGTTTGTCTGGCTCATCTCATGAAGAATCAGGAGAGGGACCTTCAGTCCACGTCACATGGAAGCAGACCCTCGGAGCATGCAGGGTCTACTCCCAGGCCCCGTGTTTCCCTCTGACAGTCTCAGTCCTATGCCCAGGTCAGTGTACACATTTCCTGAGGGCCATGCATGCCAGGCTTCAAGCACAGGCATGACATATGTTATTGTTCAAAATCTCACAGTCGTCCTATGGGATAGGCATTACCACTGAGCACTTTTTTTTTTTTTTTGAGACAGAGTCTTACTCTGTCTCCCAGGCTGGAGTGCAGTGGCATGATCTCAGCTCACTGCAACCTCTGCCTCCCGGGTTCGAGTAATTCTCCTGCATCAGCCTCCCAAGTAGCTGAGATTACAGATGCCAGCACCACACACGACTAATTTTTTGTATTTTTAGTAGAAACGGGGTTTTGCCATGTCGGCCGTGCTGGCCATGCTGGTCTCAAACTCCTGACCTCAAGTGATCCACCTGCCTTGTCCTCCCAAAGTGCTGGAATTACATGCGTGAGCCACCGTGCTTGGCCCACTGAGCACTTTCTATAGAGAAGAAAGCCAGGGTTCAGGGAAGGTCATCAACACACACTTGACTTGGACCCCGGGAGACCTGGTCTAGAGTCTGCTCTTTTAGCATATTGCTGCCTCTGTGGGAAAGCAAGTGAGGTGATTTTGTGTCATGGAAACTAATTACCGCGACAGTGGTAACAATACTACAACATGTGAGTGGGCCTTGGTATTACAGGAACTGAAACTATTTTAAAAGGGATTACTCTGATAGCTATCATTATCACTATACTCAAATTAATGACTTCTTTCTGAGTATATTTTTGTGTTATAATACATTCAATTATAGGGGAGACAGAATTTCACCTCTAATCTCCTAGGGTTTTCAGCTGGGCCTGTGAATTAAATTGACACAAGACAGATTAATAGGAAAAAGCACACCAATTTATATATGTTTTATGTGACTCAGGAGCCCTCATAAGGAAATGAAGACCCAGAGAAGTAGCAAAACACAAATGCTTTTATACCAAGATGGACAAAGAGAGGCAGCTGGGGACAGGTACACTGTGTGGGGAGGCTGAAGGAGTAAGAATCATTTCACAGGGTCTCTTGGCTCTTCCTCCCCATCGAAGAATGTTTCATTCTCCTGGTGAGGGAGGACATCTTTCACATGGCAATGTTTATCTCCTATTTTCAGGAAGAAAAGGGGTGATTAGAATGTCCTTCTTGCCTCTGCTGTTTTTCAAGGGTCTTTAACTGAAAACAGTATGCCAGAGCTCCATATGTTGGGGTTGGGTATTCTGAACATCTTCAACGTCATTCTAAAAATAATTCCTGTTATGTGCAAGGTACCACTGCAGCTGCTTTATATATGTGGACCATTCACTGCCTCCAGTCACCTGCAAGGGAGCTCCTATCCCTGTGTTGCTGAGGAAGAAACTAGGGGTGGGAGGAAATGCAGTGAGCGCTAGGGCCGCACCGCTGGTAAGGGGAGGCAGCTGACTCAGGGGCAGGTCCACTCGGCGCCCAGGACAGGGTCTCCCTGTGGCACTGTGCCGAGTCTCTGCTTTGCCTGGTCCTGTGAACTGTCATTATCAGTAGTGAAAGTGTCTAAAACAAGTCACCACGCTTTCCTTTTTTCTTTTTTTTCAGACAGAGTCTCTGTCAGCCAGGCTGGAGTGCAGTGGCATGATCTCCACTTGCTGCAACCTCCACCTCCCTGGCTTAAGCAATTCTCCTGCCTCAGCCTGCTGATTAGCTGAGATTACAGGCGTGAGCCACCACACCCGGCTAATTTTTGTATTTTTAGTAGAGACGGGGTTTCACTGTGTTGGCCAGGCTGGTCAAGCATCAAGACAGTTCGAATTCCTGTTAGGAGTAATTGTTGAGGTCAGAGTTTATGGAAGAAGTAATCTGTAGACAGGCATCCTAGGGGGAGAAATTTACTCAATTTAAAATTTTTCTCTCTCAGAAAAATCATAGAAATATATAAACACATTATTACTTATTTGTTGACATTACAACCCAACATATTGTTTCTCTTCTAAAATAATTTTTTAAAAACTCATTAATAGGTATTTTAGTCATCTTGGGGTGTCATAACAAAATAATGTAAACTGGGTGGATTAAACACAAAAATTTAGTTTTTCTCAGTTCTGGAGGCTGGAAAGTCCAAGATTAAAGTGGCAGCATGGTCTGGTTCTCGTGAGGACTTGCTTCCTGTCTTGCAGACGGCCGCCTTCCCACTGTGTCTTTACATAGCCTTTTCTCCATGTGTGTGCAGGTAGAGAGAGAGAGGTCTCTGTCTCTTTCTTCTTTTCTAAGGCCACCAATCCTTGTGGGTCAGGACCCTACCCTTGTGATCTTAGTTAGCCTGAAGTACCTACTAAAGACCCTATCTCTAAATATAGTCACATTGGTGGTTAAGGCTTCAACATATGAATGGAGAGGGCACACTTTAGTCCATAGCAATAGGTAAGTTAGTTTTTTCTCTAAATCTAATTTCTCCTTTTTAAATGTTTTGCTATGTTCATATTTCATCCAATATCTCTTGCAGTTGGATAGTAAACACCAATGGGAAGGATCTGTATCCAATGCCTGATCTACCTTAAACCACTAGCAAGTTCTTCATCTTTCAGTGTTAAAGTGATGATTATGATAGAAAGCAATGTCAATTATCAGCATGTTCAGGTTATTTAAACGTTTATTTTGACTTCAGGTTTTTTTTTTTTATGTTAGCTGAAGCATGACATGATCAGCTTTTAAAACATGGCTGTTCAAATTTTCCTATTTCGTCAGATAATTGTCAATTTTTTTTGTATAAAAGGAAGGATAGAACACCCTGTATGATTTTAGTAGAGAGATACATTTGAAATTAATGTTCTCATTTAGTTACAGAAAGCTAGAGAGAAGTACCACTATAAATAATTGAGTTCTTGGCAAATGAACTTAAAAATAAAAAAGAATATTTGCCAGCTGGGTGCAGTGGCTCACTCCTGTAATCCCAGCATTTTGGGAGGCCGAGGAGGGTGGATTGCCTGATCTCAGGAGATTGAGACCAGCCTGGGCAACATGGCGAAACCCTGTCTCTACTAAAATGTACAAAAAATTAGTCAGGCATGGTGGCATGCGCCTGTAGTCCCAGCTACTCAGGAGGCTGAGGTTGGAGAACCACTTGAACCAGGTAGGCGGAAGTTGCAGTGAGCTGAGATCGCGCCACTGCACTCCAGCCTGGGTAATCACGCCACTGCACTCCAGCCTGGGTGATCACACCACTGCACTGCAGCCTGGGTGGCAGAGCAAGACTCTATCTCCAAAAAAAAAAAAAAAAAAAAAAAAAAAAAAAAAAAAAAAAAATTACCAATTATTTTTCAGTATATCTTAGATACACTACTATAACTTCCTCTTGAGAAAAAATATGAAACAAGTGTAAAAACCTGGCATAGCATTATCAGAAATACAAGTATGTGCTTTTAAAAATGTGCTGAATTATAAAAGTTAATTAAAACTAAGACATTGTCATGTGGTATCCTAAACTTGTTACATATAACCTTTTCCATGAGAAAAGCAAACCTTTTTCTTCTCTGTGAGTGTAACTCTCTTGGTGTCTTCAAGCTTCTGGAATTATAGGATGGCTATTTCCTTTCATATTCAGGTGCACCGCCTTGCACCCCAATGCCCCACATTTAGGAAATGCAGCATGCTCAATTCCTCTTCCTCATCCCCCCCAAGGATCCTTGTGCCCAATTCAGGAGATTTTCCTTGTCATCCTGACTCCAGGTTCCTGTCTATGCTGAATGCTCAGGTTTCCCTGAGCCCTGCGCCTCCCACAGTCAGCCTGTACCACCCTACTTGCCCCAGTGGGCACTGCTTCCCATCCTGAAGGATCACCAACAACCCACTGGGGTATCGCAGCGCTGCCTGGGGCCCCAAGGCCCTCATATGGCCAAATCCCGCAGTCAGTGATTAGACTCTTCTCACCTGACCCCACAGCAACATTTGAAACACATGCTCCATGTGGCTTCCAGTTCGGTAGAGCTGCTCAGCCCTTCCCTACCTCACTGGCTGCTTCTTTAGCCCCTCTTGCTGGCTTTTCTTCCTAAAGGGGAAGTGCTTCAGCACGAAGCCCCGAGTCTTCCTCTCTATCCAGCTTCTCTCTCTAATGGGATTTCAACCAGACCCATGGCTTTAAAAACTATCTTTAGTTCAGCTTCTTTTTTGGGCTCCAGACTCATGTATCCAACTGGCCAGTCAGCACCTCCATATGGATGTCTGGTAGGCATTTCCATTTTAACACATCCAAAGCAGAATTCTTGATTCCACTCCCAAGTCTGTTCTTCTCCCCTCTGTTCTGTCCCAGTAATGGATACTGCCATTTACTCAGTTTCTGAGGCCAAAACTTCAACAGTTACCCTTGACTCTCGCCACTCCCTCTCTTCCTCTCCCTCTCAGCAAAGTGCATCAACAAGACCTGTTAGCTCTGCCTTCGTAGTATATCCAGGGTCCAGCCACTTCTCATCACCTCCAGCACAGCTTCTCTGGTCTGAACCACTTTAATCTCTTGCTGGACCAAGGCAGCTGAAATACTCTCCCTGGCGCTACTCCTGCCTTTGAATCCTGTGCACCACACAGAAGCCATGATGAACTTTTAAAAACCTGTAAGTCACCTCATGTCACTCCCCAGTTCAAAATTCTCATTTGTCTTCCAGTCTCACTCAGAATAGTCTTCTGAACTCATTGTGCCGTGCAAGCTCCAGTATGACTTGTCCTCTGCCCATCTTCTGGAACCAGAAATTCTGGCAGAGAATTTAAATGAAAAATTTATCTTTGCATTTGATAAGCCCTTTATTTGTTCATTCAACCAATATTTATTGAGTGCTTTTCAACTATTAACACTGTTTTGAGGATTTGAGATAGATCAGGGAACAAATCAGACCAAGATCTCAGCCCTCATGGAGCTCACATCCTAATGAAGGCATATAGTAATAGACTAAAAATGGTAACGTCTGTTAGAAAGTAGAACGTGGTACAGTTGGCTGAGGGAGTGATGGGGGCAGAAACTATCATTGTAAATAGGATGGTGACAGCAGAGCTGATTGAGCATGTGACTCTTGAGCCAAGTGAGGGAGTGAGGAGGTGAAGGAGTTTGCCTTGCAATGTCTGAGGCAGAGGGAATAGTCAGTACGGAGGCCCTGAGTGGGACTGACAGTTCTAAGAGCAACCAGGAGGCCCTGTGGCTAGAGGGAAGTGAGCAGTGGGGAGGAAAGAGAGGGGATCATAGAGGAAGGGAGAGGGAAGGAAACTGCAGGGCCTTGTAAGTCAATCTAAGTCCTCTGCCTTTTACTCTGTGTGCTGTAGGGAGCCACTGGGAGGTGTTAAGCAGAGAGTGTCATTGCCTGGCTTAATTTTTTAAAGGCCCACTCTGGTTGGTGAGTTGAGAGCAGGCTGCAAGGGAGGTCTTGAAGGAGGGAACAGGTAAGATGGCTGTAACAGTGTCATGGTTGTTTGCCATGTAGTCGTATGGTTTTGAGTGATTTTCTTAGTGTTAATTTCTATTTTTATTGCACTGTGGTCTGATAGTGTGGTGGCTATGATTTCAGTTTTTTTGCATTTGTTGAGAATTGTTTCATGGCTGATTGTGTGGTCAGTTTTAGAGTATGTGCCATGTGCAGATGAGAAGAATGTACATTCTCTTAATTTTGGGTGGAGAGTTCTGTAGATGTCTGTTAGGTCCATTTGGTCAGGTGTCAAGTTCAGGTCCCAAATATCTTTGTTAGTTTTCTGCCTCGATGATCTGTTCAATATTTTCAGTGGAGTGTTGATAAAGAAAATGCCATACAGCCGGGTGCGGTGGCTCACACCTGTAATCCCAGCACTTTGGGAGGCCAAAGCAGGCAGATCACCCGAGGTCAGAGGTTCAAGATGAGCCTAGCCAACATGGTGAAACCCCATCTCTACTAAAAATACACAAAAATTAGCAGGGCATGGTGGCAGCTGTCTGTAGTCCCAGCTACTTGGGAGGCTGAGGCAAGAGAATCGCCTGAACCTGGGAGGTGGAGGTTGCAGTGAGCCGAGATCACGCCACTGCATTCCGGCCTGGGTGACAGAGTGAGACTCCATCTCAAAAATAAAGAAAAAAGAAAGAAAATGTGGTACATATAAACCATGGAATACTATGCAGCCGTAAGAAAGAATGAGATCATGTCCTTTGCAGCAACATAGATGGAACTGGAGGCCATTATCCTAAGCAAATTAATGCAAGAACAGAAAACCAAATACCACATGTTCTCACTTATAAATGGGAGCTAAACATTGGGTACACATGGACACAAAGAAGGGAGTAATAGACACTGGGGCCTACTTCAGGGTGGAGGGTGGGGGAGGGGGGTTAGGATCAAAACACTACCTGTCGGGTACTGTGCTTAATCACCTGGGTGACAAAATAACCTGCACAACAACCCCCAACAACATGCCATTTAGCTCTATGACAGTGTACCCCTAAACCTAAAAAAAGTACCCCTATAACATGTGTCCCTAAACCTAAAAAAAAAATAAAAGGCTGAAAAAAAACCCAGTGTCATGGTTGGTTTTATGTGTCAGCATGGCCATGGGCTATCTGTCTGAAATCAAAGTCAGTTTGGTTGGAATCATCTGAGAAAAGCATTAAGCATTTCTGTGCAGCTGACTACATCAACTAAGAAAACAAATAGCAACTTGTTCAGAATGCATAATACAAATGTAAAAGGCTGAAATAGCTGCAAACAAATACAAACTAAGTGATGACATGAAAATAGACTCTTCCTGTCACCTTTTCAGCAGCTATGCCTGGGGCTGAGAAGGATACAGCAGGTGCCAGCAGCCCCATATTTCAAGTGGCAGGCCAGGCCACCCAGCCCCTGTGAAGGAGTGTCGTGTGGGCTCCGAAGTATCTTAGAAGCTTAGGGTGGAGTGGATGCAAAGTGGCTCCGAGTAGAAGCGGCCCCTTTGAGTCTGCTCAGACTGGCCTGCTCCTCCCTGGGTAATGCAGAGTTGGTCAGGTCTGGGGTCGCTGGGATCAGCCTCAGCTCATGAACCGGATCAGGATCCTCAGCAGGCGGCTGTGCAGCATTAGAATCAATTCCAAATGTGATGCCAGTCTTCCATTATTGTGGCATTTGGAAATAAATGTTGTGTAATTGATTTGGAGAATAAACAATAGGTAAACAAATAAACATAAAAAAAGCGAATATTTCAAGACAGAGCGTTCCAAAATTGACACGCCTTGCAAATTGCTCAAGGGTTCCAAAACCGTTCTTCTTTCTTGCGGGAAACATCCCATTTGCACCAACCCTCTTTTTCCGTTTTCTATGAAATGAGTTTAAATGGTTGGCAGAAAAAAATGGGATGTAATTATTTTTGGCAAGCAGAATAGGGTTATAAATATGCCCATTTTGAAGCTATTGTGAGAGCTCTTTTCTCCATTAATTTCTCATTCATTTGCAAATCTAATATAAAGTACTCTCGCTGTTAATGGACTTAAACTTTATCAACTTTCAGTAGAACTGATTTTTATTTTGCTTCAGCCGGCAAAGGATATTGCTGCAGTGTGAGTGAGCTGCATCTTCCTTTAAAACATGGGACTCTATACCTCCTTAACTCACCAGCATCATTCTACTTTTTAAAAAGTCAGTGAATGGGGATTTTTTGTATCAAATACCAAGACGATAAGTTGAATGAACAGCTTGGACTCATGATAAATTTAACAGGAATTTTTTTAAAATCTTGGTATGCATTTTTTAAATGGCTTTTTTCAGAATAGTTTTGGTTTTCCATTTTTGTTACATGGTCTTATTGGAAGAGAAGCTTCCACTCGACTGTCATATCAGATATTTGCAATATGAAGATGAAGAGTGAAAATGGGCCACAAACTGAGCAAACATCAAAAATGAAAAAAACAGGGAAATGGGCATGGGTTTAGAGCTTCAATATGCATAGTTAACAAACAAAGACCCCGGGTGTCTTAGTTTGTTCAGGCTGCTATAACAAAATACCATAGGCTGGGTAACTTACAAACCATAGACATTTATTGCTCACAGTTCAGGAGGGTTAGAAGTCCAACATGAAGGCACAAGCAGATTTGGTGTCTGGCAAGGGCTCACCTTCTGCTTCATAGATGGTACCTCCTCGCTGTGTCCTCACATGGTGGAAGGGGCTGGGAAGTTCTCTGGAGCCTCTTTTATAAGGACACTAATTCCATTCATTAAGGTTACGCCCTCATGATTTAATCACTTTCCAAAGACCTCACCTCTTAATACTATCACACTGGGAATTAGGTTTCTATATGTTAATCTCATGGGCCACAACGTTCAGATTACAGAACCAGGGTTTCCAAAATGCTACTTCCATTGGGTCATTCCCAGGGAGCCATCATTGAACGTACAACCATGCCTCTCCTTAGTCAAAGGTAGTATCTGGAGACACAGAATCAGACATAAAACTTAGTATAAAAAGTTTTAAACCATATTTATTTACTAAGTGTTTTTCTGTCAACTCTGTTATACTGCCTATTACCGTAAAATCACAGAAAAGCAGACGGTGTAGAGAACAAAGTGCTCTGATTATCTGAAATTTTTGTTACTGAAAACTCTAAGGACATGCATAAGTAAAAGTACTTCTGCCTTAGCAGATAGAAAATATTGAACATTATCTAATCCTTATGTGACAAAAGAAGACCTCTCAGTGATTCAAGGAAGTCCTTAAAAACTAGCATTGCTTTTCTCGATTCTGTTAAATAAAATTACCCTTATTTTTTATTTTATAACAAGTATTATTTTAGGTAGCAAGAATTGTAAAGAAAAACTGTTTTAAATAGTCCATGATCATACTGTCAAAAAACTCCTGTTGATATTTTAAAATAAAAATATGAGTAGCATGGTTAGAAAATCCAAACTTTGCAGAAAAGTGCTAAATGGAAAAGTAAGGCATCCTTCCCACCTGTATTTCAGTCCTTCTCCCTAGAACTTCCATTATGAATAGTGTTTTTTACTTCTTTCAGAAAACACTGATGATGCATATCCACACATATTTACCTGTATAGAAATTATTTTTTAAATGGAAATAAAAGGAGCATATTAAGACTATGTTCTGTTCGGGCACAGTGGCTCATGCCTGTAATCCCAGCACTTTGGGAGGCCCAGGCAGGCAGATCACGAGGTCAAGAGATCGAGACTGTCTGGCTAACATGGTGAAACCCCGTCTCTACTAAAAATACAAAAAATTAGCCGGGCATGGTGGCAGGTGCCTGTAGTCCCAGCTACTCGGGAGGCTGAGGCAGGAGAATGGTGTGAACCCGGGAGGTGGAGGTTGCAGTGAGCCGAGATCGCACCACTGCACTCCGGCCTGGCTGACAGAGCGAGACTCCATCTCAAAAGAAAAAAAAGACTATGTTCTGTACCTCGCTTCCTTCTCATAATAAATCTTGGTAATTGTTCATAACAACACATAGAGTTTTAATTCATTCTTCCTAATAGCAACATATATTCCATTTTAACCCAGTGATTATCTACCATTGGTGATGCCATGCCTCAACATCCATCCATCCCATCCACTCATCCATCCATCCATCCATCCATCCATCCATCCATTTATCCATCTATCTATCCATCCATCCATCCATGCATTTACCCACCCTCCCACCCATCCATCCATCATCCATCCATCCATCCATCCATCCATCCATCCATCTACCCACCTACCGATTCATCTGTCTACCCATTCATCCGTCCATCCATCCATCCATCCATTTCTCCATCCACTTATCCATCTGTACACCCACCCACCCACCTACCTACCCATCCATCCATCCATCCATCCATCCATCCATCCATCCATTATCCATCCATTTACTCACCTACCCATTCATCCATTTATCCACTCACCCACCCATCCATTCATTTACCCATCCATCTGTCCACCCACCTACCCATTCATCTATCCATCTATCTACCCATTCACCCATACATCCATCCACACATCCATCCATCCACCCACCCACCTAGCCATCCATCCATCCATTCATCCACCCACCCATCCATCTACCCACCCACCCACCTACTCATCCATTCACCTACCCATCCACCCATCCATTCATCCATCCATCCATCCCCCACCTACTCATCCATCTACCTACCCATCCATTTAATCAACAGCTAATGTTTGTGTGCTTTATTATATACTAGGCTCTGGGGATACAGCAATGAATAAAATTAGACAAAATATACCTGCCTCATGAAGCTTACATCCTCATGAGGGAAGACATAGAATAAAAGTATAGTTAAATAAGTTAACTATATTATATATTATAAAGTGATAATTACAGGCAGAAAGGGGGCCAGAGAGGGTCAGTGGGCACAGGATGGGGATTTTGATTTTTCATAGGGAGGCCAGAGAAATCCCACTGAGAAGTGACTTGAGAAAGAAGAATGTCCAGCCAGGTGGATGTCTAGTTAAGAAGGCCCCAGACAGAAGGAAGAGCAAGTAAGGTCTGTGATGCTGGAGCCTGGCTGGTGAGTTGAAGGAACAGTCAAGAAGCCAGTGTGCTGCAGCCACGTGACCTGGGGCTGAGTGGTAGGTAAAAGGTGACGCTGAAGAGGCAGCAGTTCATCTCCACCACTGCGTCTTTCCAGCAGAGGCCCAGACATCATGGAGCAGACACAAGCCATCTCCACTGTGCCTGGAGAATTCCTGACCCACAGACCTCATGACCATAGGAAAGTGGTTTTCAGCTGCTGAGGCCGAAGGAGTTTGTTAAACACCAGTAAGCTGTAGCCAAAACTCCTAAACCAAGTATGCTAAGAGTTTTTTTAACATGAATACTTGTTGAACACAGTTCTGTAATTTTCTTCATCTGTCACATAATCATAAAATATTTCTTCAACCTGTTATGGATAGACCAAGCTTCCTGGATCCAACCTTATGTGGTCATGGTGTGTTATCATTTTTATGTACTTCTAGTTTATTTCCATGGACATTACTCTTCTTTTTTCTTTTTTTCACTTTCAAGTCACGTTTGTTAAAGTTTTGTTTAGGATCTTTGCATTTATGTTCATGAGAGAGATGGTTCATATCATTTTCCTTCATGAAAGGTCTTATCAGAGGTTGGTACTAAGATTATGCTGCCTTTAGAAAACACAGTGAATAGTTCTTTTTCTATTTTCTGGAAGAGTTCATGTAAGACTGGTAGTATCTCTTCCTTAAATGGTCATTAGAATTAATTCACTGTTGAAGTCATCTGGCTGTAGGATTTTATTTCATGGAAGGTGCTGAATTATGATTCAGTTTCTTTAATAGTTACAATATATTCAAATTCAGTATTTCTTCTTCTTGTGTCAGTTTTGGTGGGTTGTATTTTTCTAAGCAATCCTCCATTTTATCTAAATTTTCAAATGTATTCCTATAAATTTGTTGATAATATCCTCTTATTAGCTTTCTAATGCCTGTAGGAGAAGTGATACCTCCTTTCCATTTCTGATAGTAGTTATCTATGCCTGCAGTTTGCTTTCTTCATCAATCTTACCTCAGATTTGCCAGTTTTATTAATTATCAATGAATTGTTTTTCCCTTTTTATTGTATTTTGAAATTTTATTTCATTGCTTTCTGTCTTTATTATTCCTTTTTTTTCTCTTTTCTGAAGATTTAATTTGCAGTTCTTTTTCTAAATTCTTGAGATGAATGCTTAGGTCATTAATTTTCAGCTTTACTTCTCTAATAAATGCTCTCAGGGCTATAAATTCCCTCTAAACACAGCTTGACTTGTATCCTATTAGTTTTAATATCATTCCGTTCAAATTATTTTCTAATATTGATTATTTCTTCTTTGATTCATAGGTTACTTAGAAGGATATTAATTTGTGAACATAGGTTTTCTAGTATCTTTTTGTTATATAGTCCTAGCTTAATTATACGGTTGTCAGAAACCATACATTTTCTGTTTCAAACTTTTGACATTTGTTGAAGCTTGCTTTTCTGCCCCATGTGTGGTCAATTTTTGTCCATGTTCCACAAGTTTAAAAACCATGTGCATTCAGCTGCTAGATTCTTTTATTGTTTCAACACTAAATGTGCATCCTTCAGACACTGCAGTTTAGTTTTGTTTTGTTGGATTTTTTTAAAGTCTTTTTGTCTCCTTTTATCTTAATGGGTCATTTTTCCTTATAGTCTAGCTGTTCAAGAGCCGAAGCATTTCACCTGTAGACCCCGCATGGATTCACTGATTACCTACTTTTGCTGCAGTTCAAAATGTTCCTGTGTTCTGTATATTTCCTGTTAATAAGCAACAGGATTTAGAGGCCTGATCAGACTCCAGTTCTTTCTCTTTGGTAAGATGATAGGTGGGATTCTGTTCATTCATAAAGAGGCATGCCAAAGTCTGGTGTTCTCTGTGATTTTAGCAACTTTTAATGTGTGATGCCTGGATTCATTAATACACTGAAGGTTGCAAACTGATGATATTCTAATTCTACAATTTCCTCATCATTTATTAGTTTGATTATTTGATATAGAGATGGTACTAGTTATCTACTGTGCTTTGTTATTTCCCTTTATCTGTCATCAGGAGAATACATTGGTTTTTGAGCATCCTCTAGAAGTGGCCAAATGGTGTTTTTGTAAAGATCATTATGAACTTCATAGACATGTTTTACTCCCTGCAATTATTATTCCCTATGATGCGTACACTGTTCTAAGTTTGGCCAGTGTGAGCTTTCCATATGTCTTTTGTCAGTGTCTCTTTGGTCATTTTGGTTGTCTGAAACTTATTCTCTAGTGAATTCATCTATTAAGTTTTGAGCGTATGCTGGACATTGTAAATGTGATACGGCTGAGTGTCTGGATTTTAGATTTTGTTCGCTTCAGAGAGTGTTGAATTTTGTTCTGGCAGGTAGTTAGTTCATTTATTTGTGGATTAGCTTGGTGCTTTTGAGTTTGTTTTTAAGATTTTTTATGGTAGGTTTCCAGCAGGGGTTGGTAAACTTACTGTAAAGGACCAGGGTTTATGGGTCACAGATGGTCTGTGACATATATTTCTTCATTAAAATGTAAAAGTCATTCTTAGTTCACAGGCTATATGATAACAGGGCAATAGGCCACATTTGACCCATGTGCTACAGTTTGCCAACCAATGGCCTAGAGTAACCCTTACTCTAGAGCTGAGATAGACCTGCTCTTAAGGGATGGCCTTTCTAGAAAGCTCTGATTTGACCAATTCTCTCCCTGATGGATGCTCTGTTGTTTTAAACCACCCAATTTGTGGTACTTGATTACAGCAGCCCTAGAAAACTAATACATATCCCAATCCAGTTGTTACTGTAACTAGGATTACTGGATTTATATGTTATTTTAGTAGAACTGACATCTTTATAGTATTCAATATATGTAATGTTTAATTTAAAAAACATCAAGTTTTATGATTTTCTGTAGAGTTTCAGAGTTTTTACTTTGCTTTAGGTTCATAATATTTTCTGTCGATTTTGGGCCTAGTTATTTTGTAGTTTTGTAACAATTTTTTAAAGGATCTCTTTTTCCAATATTTGTTCTGAGGATTTCATGTGTTTTTTAAAATAGGTCTAATTCTGCCTTCTATAGCATCTTACATTTGCCCTTCTGTAGATTCATTCTTAGCCCTTCTGTTTCTCTCAATCCTATAATCCAAACTTTCAGGAAATCCTACAAATCACCCTGAATGTAACTATTTCTCATCACCTCCACTGCTACCCCCTCATCCAAGCCACCATCATCTCTTTTCTACATTACTGTTTCTATTAATTGGGATTCTCTAGAGAAATAGAATCAGCAGGATGTGTATATATACATAGAGAGAGATTGTTTTCAGGAATTGGCTCATGGTGTTGTGGAAACCTGCAGGGTAGGCCAGCAGACTGGAGACCCAGGGAAGAGTTACAGTTCGATCCAAAGCCCTTCTGCTGGCAGAATTCCTCCTTGCTCAGGGGAGGTCAGTCTTGTTCCCTTGAGGCCTTCACGTGATTGGATGGAGCCCACACACATATGGAAAAGGTTTCAAAGTTTTTTATACAGCAGTCCCCTCTTCCCCAAGGTTTCACTTTCCACAGTTTCTGTTACCTTTGATCAACCATGGGCTGCAAATACTAAATGGAATATTCCAGAAACAGACAACTCACAAGTTTTAAATCCACTGTTCTGAGTCGCAGGATAAAAATCTCCTGCTGTCTTTCTTCATCCCTTTGTCCAGCGTCTCCAGGCTGTCCACACTCCCCACGTGGCCGTCACTTAGTAGCCAGGATGGTTATCAGACATACATCGCAGTGCTTCCGTTCAAGGAACCCTCATATTACTTAATGGTGGCAAAACACAAGAGTAGTTTTACTGGCATATTGTTATAATTGTTCTGTTTTATCAATAGCTATTGTTATTCTCTTATTTGCTTAATTTATAAACTGTATCATATGTATGTAAGTATAGGAAAAACTGCTGCGTAGGGTTTGGTACCATCTGCAGTTTCACGTATCCACTGGGGGTCTTAGGATGTATCCCCCTAAGGATAAGGGATGAGTACTGTGCTGAGTTTTATGTCTGATTCTACATCTCCAGATGTCGCCCTTGACTCAGTAGAGGCCTGGCTGTCAATTCAGCAGTGGCTTCCTGGGAGTGACCAGGTGGGGGACACCAAGTGGGAAAGAGGTGCAGGGGGACCTGGCCCTCCCTGAGGCCATGCCACTCCTCTTCTCCCACTCCAGCTGCCCATCGTCGTCAGTGCTGACTCCAGCTTCATGCTTTGAGGGAGGCAGCATTTCAGATGGAGCACAGGCAGGGGTTTTCAGTAGACAGTTCATTCATTATTTCCTCTGGAAGTTAGAATAAGCACATTCACGAAGTCCTGATTTACATGGGTTTTTCACTGTTCTTGGAATGAAATCCAATCCAAGGGTCTTCATGAACTGACCCCTGTCACCCTGTTTTCTCCCTCCCGATGGTCTGGCTCTAAGAAGCTTCTCTCAGTGCCTGGGCTCTGCACATCCCCCTCCATCCTTGCAGCACCGACAGCCTTCTCCCTACAGCAGGAGACTGGCGGCTTGGAGCCTGCAATGAAGAAGGCTCCCCACAGGGTCCCAGCCTCGGGACTTCACTTTCCAAGATGCCAAATTGTTCCTCAGACACCTTGACCTGTGCCTCTAGAATGCAGACTTAGCTACTTTCATCATTGTTTTCTGGGTAACTGTAAATAAGACACATTCAATCTCCTTGTGGAAAAGAAAGCACAATATTTTCTGTCAACCACGTTGCTGGAACCCTTTTCAGAAAGTCACGGCGTTTTAATATCATCCTGGAAATTATGGCACTTTCATTTCCAAGATTCTAAGATTTACCCTTGTTTATATATGGCTGTTTGGTTTCCCAGGTAACAAATAACAGTGAGTGGGTCTGCTGGAGGAAATGTGTGAATGTCTCCTTTTTTGTCAACTAAACCTTTCTAGGACAGTGGACTTGGTCCTGTAGCAAAAGAGACACGTTTGCCTCATTTCCCCACTGTGGAGGCCCAGGGCGGGCTGTCTCCCTACTCATCCCACTGCTGACCTGCAGAGACCCAGGACAAGTGCAATTCTATGCCTGGACCTCCTTCTGCCCCTCAGACTCGTCACCATCTCCCTCTGTTAGCAGGGAGTGGGCTGAGGTTGAAGGCAAAGTTGGTTCCTTCTGGGCTCTGGCCACTAACGGGAGTCTGCCCACACATTGCCTGCTTCTTTGAATTTCCAGAACCTTTCAATAACGCTGCTTCCAGGATTGGTCAATGTGCTTTCCCCTCCCTGTTTCCTCATTCCTGGGCCCTAATCCCAGCTCCTGGGGCTGGGGCTCTGGCTGCCCATACCCACCCTAAGTCTCCTTGTGTTGACTGTCCCCCCAGAGGGCCCTCTTTGCTTCTGAGCACCAGACCTAGTGGGCAGAGGCTCTTGCTGTCTGCTCTGGGCTGCAAGATTCCTTGGCAGTGACATGGGGGGTGGAGGTTAGGCTGCAGGGAGCATCAGAATTGTAGGCCCAGCTCCTCTTCCCAGACAATCTCCCCCCACCCTCAGTTTCCCCACAGTTACTGCAGGATGCGCTGTGAGGACAGCATGAAGGCACTGTCTTGGGCATGGCAGCGAACCCCAAAGAATTCCATTCCCTAGAATACCTGGACTTGGCATGGTGTGCAGGCAGTGGAGCGGGGGTGGAGGGTGTGGACCCCACACTCCATCTCTCCATTAAGAGAGTTGCTCAGCATGGCCAACTTCCACGCTTCCCCGAGTGTGAAGTAAGCCATGCTGCAGGATTAGAGCCAAGCCAAGGACAGAGGGGACGGCCTGGACAGAGCGATGCCCACAGCAGCTCACACCTGCTTCTGGGCCTGCTTGCATCCCCACTCTCTGCCTGGGACCTGGGGGAACCCTTCCTGGTTCTAAGAGTCAATAAATTTGGCCGGGCGCGGTGGCTCATGCCTGTAATCCCAGCACTTTGGGAGGCCAAGGCGGGCGGATCACAAGGTCAGGAGATCGAGACCATCCTGGCTAAAACGGTGAAACCCTGTCTCTACTAAAAAAAAAAAAAATACAAAAAATTAGCCAGGCATGGTGGCGGGCGCCTGTAGTCCCAGCTACTCAGGAGGCTGAGGGAGAATGGCGTGAACCCAGGAGGTGGAGCTTGCAGTGAGCCGAGATTGTGCCACTGCACTCCAGCCTGGGGACAGAGCGAGACTCCGTCTCAAAAAAAAAAAGAGTCAATAAATTCCCCTTTTTGTTTGAGGTAACGGGAGTTGAGTTTCTATCACTTACAACCCAAAAACCTCCCTACCTAGTGCATCTCTTCACTTTGGTTTTCTGTCCTCCTCCGGAGCCTTTGCCTGACTTGAAGATCTTAATCCAGAAAAAGCATCATGTTAAGCAGTGGATGTTGGGCCATGAGCCATATAGACCCAGCCTTTTTGTGCCATTATCTTTGACACATGGCCACTCAAATAGATTCTTGTAACTACACAGCTGTAGTAGAGAATGCAGCATTGTGCTTTAATACTAAGCAGTATTGAGAAGCCATAAGTTTTGATTTTTATCTTTTTCTCATGGCAAATGTATTTGGCCTGCATCTGGTATTCTTTATGACCACGTATGTTAACAGTAGAAAAGAAGTGAGGAATGAAAGAAGCAACTGATTGGATTTATCCTCTCTCTAGCCCTCTCCTTTTAAAACCAAAGATGTACAGCTTCTAGATGGAGACCTTATAAATTTTCCAAGCCATATACATATACATGATCTTAGTACACACTTCTGTGTTTTATGGAATATATGAAAACGCATTGCTGGGCGCAGTGGCTCATGCTTGTAATCCCAGCACTTTGGGAGGCCGAGCAGGGCAGATCACCTGAGGTCAGGAGTTCAAGACCAGCCTGGACAACATGGTGAAACCCCATCTCTACTAAAAATACAAAAATTAGCCATGCGTAGTGGCACGTGCCTGTAATCCTAGCTACTCGGGAGGCTGAGGCAGGAGAATTGCCTGAACCCAGGAGGCAGAGGTTGCAGTGAGCTAAGACCGTGCCATTGTACTCCATCCTGGGCAACAAGAGCAAAACTCCATGAAAAACAAGAAAGAAAGAAGGAAAGAAAGAAAGAAGGAAGGAAGGAAGGAAAGAAGGAAGGAGATTCATATATGAAATTATGTACTGAAGAAAGAGAAAAAGAAGGAAAGAAAGGAAGAGAGAAAGAAAAGAAAAGAAAAAGATGGATGAAGATTCATATATGAAATTATGTACTGAAGCCTGTCAGTGATGATCAGTAGTTAAACTGGTGAAATGCCTTGTTAAGAACATGAAAGTGCTGGCAAAGTTGCAGTAAGTGTCAGTCTCCAGCAGGTATTCTTTGGGTTATGCAGATAGAATTCCTATGAAAGGTGGGAAGATGGATATAAATGATAGCACTCAGGATAGTGTCCACTAGTAGAAAATCAGATCATGAGATGGGAGCCTGGATTGTGTCCCAGCATTGGCAAACATTGGGTGGTGGGGCAGTTTTTCAGACCTCACAGGGCTTTATCTGATTTAAAATGGTAATAATAATATTTTCCTTTTGTTCTTTGAACTGATATTTTAAATGTACTCTGAACTTCTTGGAAGAAAAAAAAAACCTATGCAAACCTAAAAGTTTTGCTGTTCTTAGCAGTGGTTACAATGAATATTCAAAATAAATAGGTATTCACGAAATAGTTATTGTTTATCACTATTTCTCCTGAAGCACCATTAAAATGACAATAAAAGAATAAAAGAAAAAAGATTCAAACTCACAAAGAGGAGATGAACAGATGGAAAATGTCAGCAGCATTTTGGAAGCACGAGAAGTGTATCATTGTGTGGTTGGCTTCGATTTCTTTCTGCTTATCCACCATGCTGAGAGCTGGGGGTCCAGGGTGGGGCAGGAAGAAACAAGCTGATTTGTGCCTCAGGGCCCTGCAAGGGCTCAGGAATTAGAGTCACCAGATGTCTCTGAAGGCAGGAATGTGGATGGGGCAAAAGGAGCACTGGTTTACAGTCTGTGATATGCAGGCAACCCCCTCAGAGCCCCAAATGGAGCCTGTGCAGCTTTGTAACTGTCCATCTGACCCCAGTAGCAGACAGAGGTTGAACCAGAGAGACATCAGAGTACAAGGATGTCTAGTACAGCTAAGGCAGGAGTGGGGGTGCCTGACAGAAGATCGTCAGGATGAGATAGTCTATGCTGCAGTAACAAAAAAACCCTTGAAATTTCAATGGCTTAACGTAGCAAAGGTTTGTTTCTTAGTCACAAATGCATAGTATGGACTGGATAGCTCTTCAGGGCAGCTTTCCTCTGTGTGGGAAGGGAGGTAATGAGACCCCTTCCATGGCCCCCAGAATTGCTGTCTAGGGGGAAGAAAGGGATGGGGGAGGCACCTGATGGTGAGCACCTCAGGCCAGAGGGGACACACCCCTTCTACTCACATGTCCATTCACCAGACTCAGGCACATGGCCCATCCCAGCTGCAAGGGAGGCAGGAACTGCAGGGGGGCACATGGATGTTCTGTGAACACTGGGATTAAGTCACTTGGGATTAAGTGAGAGCCTTTGAAGAGATGAGGCCGCATCTCCATCGGCCTCCTCAGCTTCACTCCCTTTGGCTCCCACAGTGCTGGCTGCTAGTCTCAACAATGCCCTGGCAGGAGCTGCAAGAGTCCTTTCTATAGAAGTTCACGGCCTAGAGAAAGGAAATCACAGGCAGAGGAACCTACTGGTGAGGCCCACGGATAGACAAGCTCTGTCTAAGCACAGACAGCATCAGTCAGCATTTGTGTTTCTGTCTTCTTATGTGGCCATTCTTTTAACAGAATTGTACTGAGCGCCTTCTGTGTGTTAGAAGAGCTCTGGCTCCTACGGATATAACAGTGAACAAAAGAGGCAAAATTCTCATTCTCCCAAAGCTGCATTCTTGTGCAGGGAGATTGATCATACAGAATGGGCAGATAAATCATATACCAGATGCAGGTGAGTGTTATGGTGAAAAAGTAAAACTCGTTCAAAACCTCGGGAGTATGGACATGGGGTGATACCTGAATATAGAGTCATGGGAAAGGGCTCATGGTCCCCAAGACCTGCAGGAGGCAAGGGAGTGAGCCGCGTGATTCTGCAGGGGAAGAACTTTCCAGGCAGAGAGGACAACCCGTGCAGAGCCCTGAGGTGGAAGCACGCCTGGCACACTCAAGGAACAGACTGCGAGGAGAAGTTATGGCTCGGGAGAGTGCCCTCAGGGAAAGTAGGAGGTGAGGCTAGACAACAGGGGCTGCCCGGTGTGCAGACTGGTGGGGGATTTTAAAGAGTTTGACTTTTTTGAGGACCATTGTGGTGGTGAGGTGAGGAGGGACTTGCAGGAGGGTCCCTCTGGTACCTGTGCCCTGGGAGGCCAGGGCCAGATCCACAAAAGCAGTGAAGGAATGAGATCCATTCATGTTGCCGCATTTAGCCGTAGTTCCTCCTTCTTATTGCTGTACAGTGTTTCGTCGTATACATCCTGCATTTTATTTATGCATTTTGTTGTTGATGGACATTTAGATTATTTCAATTTGGTGACTATTACAAATAATGCTGCTGTGAACTTTCACTTATATATGTATATATATATTTTTTGAGATGGAGTCTCACTCTGTCACCCAGGCTGGAGTGCAGTGGTGCGATCTTGGCTCACTGAAACCTCCACCTCCCGGATTCCAGTGATTCTCCTGCCTCAGCCTCCTGAGTAGCTGGGTTTACAGGTGCGCACCACCATGCCTGGCTAATTTTTGTATTTTTAGTAGAGATGGGGTTTTGCCATGTTGATCAGGCTGGTCTCAAACTCCTGACCCCAGGTGATCCACCCACCTCGGCCTCCCAAAGTGCTGGGATTACAGACGTGAGCCACCACACCGTGCCTCATATCAAATCTTTTTGTGCACTCTCTAGGAGTGAAATTTCGGGGTGCATAGGTTCAACTTTAGTAGATAATGCCAGATCATTTTCCACAGTGGTTGGTCCAGCTTACATTACCCCACCAATGTTCCTGTTTTTCCCCATTATCACCCGCACTTGATGTTGTCAGTCATTTTCATCTTAGCCATAGGGTGGTGAGTCATGGTGTCTCATTACAGTTTTGTTCTGCATCTCCTTGATTGCTAATAAGGTAGAGTGCCTTTTCATGCTTACTTGACATTTAGATGCTCTTTTTCTTGAAGCCCTTATGTTCCATTGTGTTATGTGCATTTTTCTTTTCTTTTTCTTTTTTTTTTTTTTGAGACAGGGTCTCCCTCTGTCACCCAGGCTGGAGTGCAGTGGCGTGATCTTGGCTCGCTGCAACCTCTGCCTCCTAGGCTCAAGCAATCCTCCCACCTCAGCCTTCAGAGTAGCTGGGACTGCAGGCATACACCACCACACCCAGCTAATTTCTTCTAATTTTTTGTAGAGACAGGGTTTTGCCACGTTGCCCAGGCTGGTCTCTAACTCCTGAGCTTAAGCAATCTGCCCACAGCCTTCCAAAGTTCTGGAATTACAGGCGTGAGCCTCTGCACCCCGCCCATTTTTCTTATTTATTTTGTATGTTCTGGAAATGATCCCGTCATTGAGTTATTTGTGATTTGTTGGGCGGATATATACATATATGTATGTACATACATACACATGTACATATATAGTTATGTGTTATGTGCTTAATGACAAAGGTGTTCTGGGAAATGCATGTTGTGTAGACATCATAGAGAGTACTTACTCAAGCCTAGATGAGGGTACAGCTTACTACACACCTATAGGCTATAGGGTACAGCCCATTGCTCCTGGACCATAAACCTGTACAGCACGTTACTGTGCTGAATACTATAGGTGACTGTAACACAGTGGTGAGCATATGTGCTTCTAAACATACCTAAACACAGAAAAGGTACAGTAGAAATATTGTACCGTTAATTACTACACTTAATATAGAGTTATGAGGGAAGATCTCACCATTGCTGGGGACCTGAAGGAGGCAAGGGAGTGAGCCATGTGGGAAGAACTTTCCAGGCAGAGAGAACAGCCAGTGTAGAGGCCCTGACAACACCAGGTGTTGGTGATGATGGGGAAACAGGAGCAGGAGCACTGTGCTGGGCGTTACAGTCAAACGAGACCACTGTGACATACGTGGCCCAGACTTGCCTAAAACAGCATTGTGTGGCACATGACTGTATATGCACACACGCACGTATACAAATATGCATACAGAACAGTATGTGTTTCTTGCTTTCAGAGGCTTGCCTTTTCAGTGGTCTTTTTGGTGTCTTGATTTAAAAAATATTTTTCCTACCTCAGGGTCACAGAGTTTTTCTCCTGTTATCATCAAATAGCTTTATTTTCCCACCTATATTTAGAACTACAGTTTACCGAAAGTAAATTTTTGTTTAAAAAATGTAATTTCATTTTTCTGTATGAATATCCAATTGATCCTGGGCTATTTATTCAAAAGACAGTCCCTTCCCCACAGCTGTGCAGTGCCATCTCTGTGACGAATGAGTGTCCTCCTAACCGTGGGTCACTTTCTGGATTCTCTGTTCGATCTTGTTGGTCTTTTTGTCTATACTTGCATTAATACCAGATTGTCTTAATAACTATAGATTTATAAATAAGACTTGGTATCTATAACATCAGCATTTTGTTGTTCAGACTTGTTTTGCTATTCAGGGCCATTTGCATTTTCACATGAGCTTTTTAGTAAATTGGTCAAATTGTATAAAGAAACCCTGCTGGAATTTTTAATGGGATTATATTGAAGCTTTTGATGAATATGGGGAATATTGATATCTTTACCGTAGCATGTCTGCTATGAACATGTATTTGGGTCTCACGTAATTTATCTCAATATTGTTTTATAATGTTCTGAGTAGAGGCACTGCATATCTCTCATTAGATATATTTCTACTTTAAACAAAATAAATGTGTGTGTGGTATTGTGATTGAGTATGGTGTTTTGGTTATCTATTGCTGTGCCACAAGCCACCTCAAAAGGTAATGGCTTAAAACAACAATAGTTTTATCATTCCTCAGGATTCCATGGGTTTTCTTTTTTTTTTTTTCTTTTTTTTTTTTTTGCTGGTCTTGCCTAAACTTTCTTCTGTGATTGCAGTGTAGCTGGAGCAATCCAATTGTAACCGAATGCAGGCACGGCTATTTGCTGCTTGCAAAGCCGAGAACAAGGATGCAATACAGTGAAAGGAAAGTGACTTTATCCCAAAAGCTTTCTTCCCCATTCCATGGGGAAATGGCCGCGGATAGTGCCTGAAAGAAACCATTTCAGCTTTTTGGGTCAAGGTTAAGGGCTTAAAAAGGGTGTTTGGTATGAGGGGCATGCAGGAGTGATGAGGAGGTGCCAGTCTACATGACTTGTTCCTATGACTATCTTGCGTTATTGCCCCATCTGGTGAATGGGCTGGTGCCATCTTGGGTACAGCCCAGTTGCAAATTAACTGCAGCTTGGAAGTAATCTGCAGGTCAGGGAGAATCCCATAGTGGCCCGAATTGTTTCAAGATTTAGTCTCTGGAACTTCTAAACAAAAACATAATTAGATGAGGGAAACATTGTGCCAGGGAGTTCCTGGTAGAAGGAGGGAGAGCAAAGACTATTATCTCATGCTAAGGGCAAGACAAGGAACAGGCAGGAAGGAGAAAGAAGAAATACTTTTTAAAAACAGGACACTCAATTACATAATGGTCTAAACGGCCTCACTCTTCTATTTGGAACTTTGATGCTGGCTGCTGAGCCTTTCCTGTCATCCCTAGTCAGTGGCATGGGCTGAGCTCTGTCCGTGCAAGGAGAGCACTACAGTGGGGACCGTGGCCAGAGGACAGAAGTAGAGGTGTCAGCCTCCGAGGCCGGGGCTCCAGGACTCAGACAGTGTCACTACCGCCGCATTCCATTGTTCAAAGCAGGCCACAAAAGGAGTTCACATTTGAGAGGGTGGACAGATAGTCCCTGTCCCTTGATGGAAGGTTCAGCCACCCACATTTTGGTACAAAAGGGCATGTAGGGGGGAGATTGCGTTGCATCCATCTTTGGGAAAATGTACCACATATGCTGTTATTTTCATTCTATTTTGTTATTGGAAAATAGAAATAAAGCTGATGTATGTCTATTAACCTTATATCGAGCTACTTTGATAAATTCAGTGAGTCTATTAACTTATCTTTACATTCTTTTGAATTTTCTGCATGTAGAATCACATCATTTGAAAATAAGATAACTTGGGGTTTTTCCCCAATCTTGTAACTTTTATTTCTTTTTTCTGATTGCACTGACTGAGACTTCCAGTAAAATGATGAAGTGATGATGGCAGCTTTCTTTGTTATTTCTTATCTTTGAGGCAACATTCTCATTATTTTACATATGATGTTTAATGGAAGTTGTTGTAGTGATTGTTTAAGTTCCTTTCTATTTCTAGCCTGCTAAATTTTGTTTTGTTAGTTTAAAAAAAATCATGAATAAATGCTGAATTTTATCATATGACTTTTCTTTTTTGGGGGAAGACCATATGAGAGAACTCCCTTATTCTGTTAATATGGTGAATTATCTTGATTGGTTTTTGAATGTTGAACCAACCTTATTTCCTTGACTGAACTCAGCTTGCTCAAGCTGAATCTCTTGATTCTGTTTGTTAATGTTTTGTTTGGGATTTTTTTATCGTATATTCATGAGAGAGATTGGTCTTTCATCTTCATTTTTCAAAATGTCCTTGACAGATTTTATATGGAGGTTAAACTTCCTTCATAAGACACAATGGGGATTAGTCCCTCTTTTGCTTTTCTGGAAACATTTATTTAAGGCTGGTGTTATTTCTTCTTCAAATGTTCAGTGGAATTTACTAGTGAAGTCATCTTGGCCTGAAGTTTTCTGGGAAGGGAAGTTTGGAATTCCAGATTCAGAAGCTCCTAGAATTATTCAAACTTTGTGATTCTTCTTGCATCAGTTTTTCTTGGTTGTGTTTTTCTAGGAATTTGCCCACTTTCTCTGTTTTTCAAATGTTTTGGGAAAGGCTGTATATAGTATTCTCTTTCAGTCTTTTTCATATCTGCAGGGAAGTGCTTTGCTATTGTTCATACTTCTGAGAGAGCACAAGAAAGCTGGTTTGGAAGTCCTGAGAGAGGTTGAAGCCCAGGGCAGGGGTACTGCCAGGCTGGTACTGACATGGAGAGCAAGAGAAAAGGAAGAAGCAAGTTCATCTCCTCTCCCCACTTTTCAGGCTCCCTCCATTGCCTCTTACTGGAAGAACCCAATAGAACACCATCTAACAAAAGAAAACCACAGCTTAAAGAGCCCCCACTCCAGCGTCAGGGAGCAGTGGATTTGAAATTGAGAAAACGTAGCTTAATTACCAGCACACCCTTCTGCCTGAATATTTTCAGTGTCCTCTTCATCTCATCCCACCTGGAGGAGAAACCCTGGGAATCATGTTTCTTTTCACTCCTTCGCCCTTGTCTTCTCCTTATTCCTGGAGTATGCTGAGATTGGGGCTAGGATCTAACTAAAATTTTCATTATTTCATTTCAAGAATCCTCAAGAAAAATTGTGTTATAACTTGCATTGACGTTACCATTGTGCATGAAGATTTAAAAATAAATATTACGAGATTCACTCTCACTGTTGATCACTGCACTCTGTCTTCTCCCTTGGACCCTTGTTCTGATCTGGCTCTTTGGTAGCGTATCCTGGAGTATTCACAGAGAGTATGCAGAGAAGCTGTGTTTCCTGACTGCAGGTCCAATCATTGATTTCTCTGTAGTTGCCTGGTGGAGGATTCCTCATCAGTTCTTTCTTCTCCCTAGCCACTAAATGTTAGCCCATGATCTATTACTTTCCATGATTGCAGGTGAGAAATGTGATATTAGACTGGTTATTTATTTTTGGTTTTTTTTTTTTTTTTTGAGATGGAGTCTCTCTCTGTCACCCAGGCTGGAGTGCAGTGGTGCAATCTTTACTCACTGCAACCTCTGCCTCCTGGGTTCAAGCGATTCTCCTGCCTCATCCTCCTGAGTAGCTGGGATTACAGGCCTGCACCACCACACCTCACTAATTTTTGTATTTTTAGTAGAGATGGGTTTCACCATGTTGGCCAGGCTGGTCTGGAACTCCTGACCTCAAGTGATCTGCCCACCTCAGCCTCCCAAAGTGCTGGGATTACAGGCATGAGCCACCGCGCCCGGCCCCTAGACTGGTTATTTCTAAAAGCAATGTGTTCTTCCTGTCTGGAAGCTTATATGATTTTCCTCCCTATTCTGGAAATTCAGCAGCTTTGTAAGGATGTGTCTAAATTCAGCATTTTCAGAACCCTTTCAATCTTAAGACTCGATTGGTTTTGTTTCTTTGGCATTTCTTTTTTTATTCTCTCATACTTTTGTTTTCTCCCTCAACTCCTATTATTTACATAGGATGCATCCTCCTGCATCCACCCTCCATATCTTGATCCTTAACTCGTGATTCTTAGTTCATTAACTTTTTATCTTGTGCTGTGGGATACGTCTTTCATTTTATCTTCCTAAAATAGTAATTTGGTTTTTAGTGGGGACCGTTCTTTTATACAGTACCTCTACTAAATTTTTAAATGGAAAAAGTTGAGCATTTGGAGTTTCTCTTAGGATCCAGGAACAACAAAACAATAAAAAAAATCAAGCATTTTTCTGTTCTGGCAGCATTTTTTGTGCTCTAATAATATCTCCTTATGAATTCTCATTGTTTATATTATATAGTCTATTTCTGTATCTGTCATTAGTTCTGCTCTGTAGTAGCCATCTGTTCTAGAATTTGGCTGTCTCCTTCCTTCAAACCACTGTCCCTCTTAGGGGGCACATGAGTTTGCTGTGCTGCATTGTTTTGGTGGGTGTGGAGTTTCCCCAGCGCTGGTTTGGGCCCAGCTGCAGGCTATGATAGCTAAAATCCCCCCCAGGCCATGGTGGATTGATAGAGATGGGGCCAGGCATGATGGCTTATGCCTGTAATCCCAGCTACTGGAAAGGCTGAGACAGGAGAATCACTTGAGCCCAGAAGTTCAAGGTTACAGTGAGCTATGCTCACACCATTGCACTCTAGCCTGGGTGACAGAGCAAGACTCTGTCTCCAAAAAAAAAGAAGAAGAGATAGAGGCAGATAGGGTGGGATTGTTTTCCCTCCGCAGTTGCACTGGCAAACTACACTGTCTCTTCTCCTTATGGTGAGGGTGGGGATAGTCTTTTCAGAATCAAGTAGAGCTGAATTGTCCTTGGTACTACCTTGCAACTTCTCTTTCAAGTGTGCAGGACAGGCTCCCTCTCATCTGCTCCAGAGCCCCCAGATTGGCCAGCTGACCCCACTCTGGCCTGGGATAGCTGCTTCTCACCCTGGGGTCTGCCAGAGATGCAGACTGTCTCCAGACTGCCTGACCTTTGGTCCAGAGATTCTTGCTGGACTCTGGTCTTTGGTCCCAGCTCCCTGTGTGAGCATGGCCCTCTATCATAGGCCATGGGGAGCAACAGTGGGTCAACCTCTGGACACACCCCCATACCAGGCATCACCAGTGACCACTGGAGGCAAGAGAACATCTGGCTGGTTGGCCCGAGGCTTTCAAAGCTCATCTGTCCCCTGGCCATCACCATATTGAGACCAGTTGTAGCCAAGAAACGGTTAAAGGGCAGACTTGGATGTGCTGGAGGAGTCCAGGCAACAAGAACAGACCGGTATGCCTGAAGCCCTCTACAGCCTCGGGTTAAAACTTCCTGTCTTCTTCCAAGCAAACAGGGGACCAAGACTGTAGCACATAGTGGGGTCTCAAGAGTCAGGGATCAGCGACAGGCAATGTGACAGGCATCTAAAATATTGAATTCATGAGGTGGGTGGAGAAGAGATGACTTGCTGGAAACGAGGAACAATTTGAAGAGTGCTAGGGAGCTTGTGGTAACTCCTGAGGTCCAGTGTGCAGTGGGAGAAAACTCCTTGATGGATACTCACAATGGACCACTCACTGAGGACAGGCATCATTCAAGTTAGGATGATGTATTAGTCTGTTTTTGTGCTGCTGATAAAGACATACCCAAGACTGGGTAATTTATAAAGAAAAAGAGGTTTAATGGACTCACAGTTTCACGTGGCTGGGGAGGCCCCACAGTCATGGCAGAAGGCAAAGGGCACGTCTTACATGGCAGCAGACAAGAGAGAATGAGAACCAGCTGAAAGGAGTTTCCCCTTATGAAACCATCAGATCTCGTGAGACTTACTCATCAGCATGAGAACAGTATGGGGGAAACCTTCCCCATGATTCAGTTATCTCCCGTGGGGTCCCTCCCACAACATGTGGGAATTATGGGAGCTAAGATGAGATTTGGGTGGGAACACAGCCAAACCATATCACATGATGTCCATGACATATGAGGATACATCTTTATAGCTTCCAAACAAATCCTGACTTTCTAACCTACAGACTTTAGTTATCTGGGCAAACCATAGACCCTCCCCCTTTCTCAGGTCCCAGGTAACATTGAAATATCTCTTTGCCTTAGAGAGGGAGGCAGACTACCAACCTGTAGTCTCACATTCTTGAGCTGTAGTCTACCTGAACTTGAGCAGCATTTCACGCTCACATTCAAATGTCTATAGATCTCAGAGACAGGTGGAGTGGGTTGGCACGGCTTCACCAGGTGAAGTCTGTTCCTCTTGTTGGGACTCCCTAGTCTACAGATGTCAGCTGGGAAGCTTTGGGGTGGCTTTTGGCTGCAAGTGATACAAACCAATTCACACAAGTTTCAATAACGAAGGAAGTTATTACGTCAAATGGCAAGTCCAGAGCGGGGTTGCCGCAGGGTTAGCTGGTTCAGCAGCCTCACAAATTCAAGGACCTAGAATCTTTCCAGCTTTCCCCTCTGCCAGTTTCGATGTGTTGATGTGGTGGCTTAGCTCTACTCAGTCATGAGACAGTTGCCCCTGCTTGAGGCAGTACATGCAGATGTCTGGTATGGGGGTCCAGTAGAACAGGAAAGTTTTCCTTCTTTTTTTCCTACAATCTTCTTTTTTAAGAGCAAGTAAACATTTCTCAGATGCCTCCAAAAATACCCCTTGCAACTCATTGGCCAGAGCTCGGTCACATGTCCACTCCTAAACCCGTCACTTATTATATAACCTCCACTTTAATAGGCTGTATCATTTATTTATACATTTAGAAAATATCATCCTTAAGTAAGACTAATCAAGTAAAACCATAAATGGATAATAAATTACAATGAGTTCGGCAGAATTTCTATAAATTATATCTAATAATCACACCTAGGCACAAAGGATTAAGCGTAACAGGTGTATTCATATTACTATGTGAAATTTCCCAATACACAGCTTTTAAATATCCAGAATAATAACCATGTTGAATTAGGTAATTTGCTTAGAGGTAAATGTGGAAGGAAAATAAATGCATGAGAGTATGAACCACTTGGATAATGATAAACAATTGAACAGCTCAAGAAAATTTCACGGGTACATTTTTAATGACTGATTGAATCCTAGGAAGCAGTTAATTCATTAATACTTGCTTTCCCAACCACCTCTCTCAAACGTGTGGGATTAATAAAGTCTTAAAAAAAAAAGTACTGCTTCTCAAAAAGGATGCCCCGGTTTATCCATGCAGATGAAGGGATGGTGTTGCCAACTTCAAGGGGCAGCAAACCATCAGAAAACCAAGCTCCTCCGCCTTTCATGCATTTTGAGGAAACGCCTTCCCATGGCGGTTCCCCGGCTGCTGGAAGCAAAGCTGCAGCCACGCCAGCTGAGACATCACCAGGCAGCAGGGTCCTTCTGCTCTCTTCCTTCCTGATGAATGTGATTCTAACCTGTGTGGGGGGGCATTGGCTGGTCTTTCATAACCCAGGTGCTGACATGTGTCTGCCAGGGAACATCTTTGTATTTATAAGGTTGCTATTTTTTCCTGAGGTTACAGAGTCCATTCTGTCTTCCCTGTATCCTGCCTCTTCCTCTTCCTTCCCCAGGCCTTCTTTGTACCTCCTTCTGTCCAACTGAGATTAAGCTTGTTTATTTCCTGGAATGCCATTCTTCTTTATTTTGTCTGTTCAAGGCTTTTGACAGCTCCACATAGCAGCCAAAGCATATCATGCAAACTCAAGGAAAGCAGCTGGGGAGAAAACCGAAGTTTCCTTTCACATTAGGTTTCTGGGGGCTCCTCACTCAGGGGGCCAGAGACTTTGTAACAAATGAGTTGGTCGGCCTGTCCTAGTGGAGTTGTCACTATGCTGAGCATGATTTACACGTTTTCAGAGAATGCGAGTAGAGATACGTCTTTTAATGATCTAATAGAACTGAACATTGTAGATTGAAATATTTGTTTTTAATCATGGGTACTTCAGGATCACATATGTACATAACTGAGGGTTTTTTTTACTGTGAAATGCGGATACATCAAAACGGAAATGTGAGAATTCTAGTTGAGCACAGGCTTTACTCATTTTAACAGTTTTTCATACTAAGGAAAGCAATTATCACATTTTTGCAATACCTCATTTTTTTTTTTCCAGGCGAGCAAAAGAAAGTCTAGATAAGAAATTGGGTTGCCCATGTACAAAAGGCACACCACCTGACTTTCTTGCTCCCTCCAGGTAGAAAGATACAACATGATTTCTCATGTTGATATAAAGTTTGTGAAAATAGTTTTTTGGAGGAGTAATAAATTCACTTGTCCATATTAACTAGCATCCCACTTATGTGGATCGGTAGACTTAATTTTAAGATGTCAGTACTACCCAAATTGATCTGCAGACTCAAAACGAGCCCTGTGAAAATCCCAACTGAGGCCAGGCGCGGTGGCTCATGCCTGTAATCCCAGCACTTTGGGAGGCCAAGGTGGGCGGATCACGAGGTCAAGAGATCAAGACCATCCTGGCCAACATGGTGAAACCCCGTCTCTACTAAAAATACAAAAATTAGCTGAGTGTGGTGGCGTGCGCATGTAGTCCCAGCTACTCAGGAGGCTGAGGCAGGAGAATCACTTGAACCCGGGAGGTGGAGGTTGCAGTGAGGCGAGATTGCACCACTGCACACCAGCCTGGTGACACAGCCAGGCTCCATCTCAAAAAAAAAAAAATCCCAACTAAATTTTAGCAGGAATAAACAAGCTGATTCTCAAATTCATATGGAGATGGAAGGGACCCAGAATAGCCCTAATAATCCTGAAAAATAACAGAACTGGAGCACTTATACTTTCTAATTTCAAAACTTACTAACACTCTGCAGTAACCAGGCAGTGTGGCGGTGGCACACGTCAACATACGTGATGGGCTGCAGTGTCTCCCCCAGAATTCAAAAGACTCAACCTCAGACTTACTGTGTGTGGAAATAAGTTATTTAAGTGGATTAAGTTAAAATGAGGCCTTTACAGTGGGGCTCTGGTCCAACAGGACTGGTATCCTTATAGTCAACAAAAGGAGGAAGAGACACCAGGGATGTACATGCACAGAGAAGGGCCAGCTGAGAACACAGTGAGAACGTGGTCATCTGCAGGCCAAGGAGAGAAGCCTCAGGAGGAACCAAACATGCCGACTCCTTGATCTCAGACTTGGAGCCTCCAGAACTGTGAGGAATCACTTTGTTGTTTAAGCCCCCAAGTCTGTGGTATTCTGCTGTGGCAGCCCCAGGAAACCAGTGCACATGTAGAGCAATGGATTAGAATTGAGGCTCCAGAAATAAATTCTTACATCTGTGGTCAACAGATCTGCAGAAAAGAGGCCAAGGATATCCAGTGGGATAACTGGAATGGGGTCTGTGCTTCTCCCTTTCCTCTGTGAGTCATGTTGTTGGGAGTCACTGAAAAAGTATGAGGTGGCAAGTAGCAAGAGGCCCAGCAGGTTTTGCTTTTATGGTCACGATGCATCAGAGGGCACACTGTCTACATGCCTTTTGAAGTACTATGAAGGGCCTCTTGGAGCCCAGGCCTCACAGGGGGCAAACTGCTGGCTCTCCCAACCTTGAAGCCTGGCAGCAGTTAGCCTGCCTCTCCCAAAGAACAACAGCCTGGGACAGGGTCTTGGAGGACTATTCTCAGAAAGGGGACAGCTGTGGACTCTCTCAGAAGGGAGACACGGGCTTCTGCCAGCACAGACCCCACAAGTACCACACAGTCCTTGCTTTTCCCAGGACTTCCTTGGGAAGGGGCAAGCCCTCTTCTCCGCATGCAACTTCATTGCTAAGCTCTCACTTGTGTCTCAGGGAGGGAGGAACCCTGTACTGGATCTCTTCTGCAGATCTTGGGGAACCCATGGCCTCTGATTACCCTCCAGTCCTGGAAGCATGCTTGCTGTGGTTATTAGTCCAAGGGAGGGAGCTGCAGTGGGGTGGGGGTGGGATCAGAGAGGCGGGGCCTGTGTAAACCCAGCTCCCCAGGACTCCTACAGTCACCTGTTTCTCTCTTTATGGTTGTTATCTCCCTCAAGACCACCAGTTATGTATACATGGGGTCTTTCTTGTCTGCCTTGAATATTTTTATTTTTTCTCTAATTTATTTTTTTTCCATTTCAACGTGTTCAGTTTTCTCATAACCTATTCGCATTGTCCCTGTCTGGATATTAGCTTTGTCAGCTCTCTTTGTGGACATACCTCTGTCCTGTGCATATATCTCTACTTTAGGCTAAAGCGTAGTCTGGAAGAATGAGGTTTCTGTCATCTTGCGTGGTATAGCAAGTGGGGAAGTGCTCTGGGTTAAATATGGAGAACACAGCCACTTTAGAGTAGGAGATGCTTTAAGGCAGGGGTTCCCAAACCCCAGGCTGTGGACCAGTACCAGTTCGTGGCCTGTTAGGAACCTGGCCGCACAGCAGGAGGTGAGTGGCAGGCGAGTGAGCATTACTGCCCGAGCTCCACCTCCTGTCAGATAAGCGGCAGCATTAGATTCTCATAGGGATGTGAGCCCTACTGAGAACTGCAGGCGGGGATCCTCAAACCACCCTCCCACTCCCGCACCTTCCATAGAAACATTGTCTTCCCCAAAACTGGTCCCTAGTACCAAAAAGGTTGGGGACCGCTGCTTTAATTTATATTCCAAATTGTGTAAAACTCCTTTCTGCAAAGGTAAATCACCAGATTGATTAGCTCATTTGTACTTTTTTTTTTTTTTCTTTGAGACGGAGTCTTGCTCTGTGGCCCAGGCTAAAGTGCAGTGACACAATCTTGGCTCACTGTAAGCTCTGCCTCTTGGGTTCAAGCGATTCCTGCCTCAGCCTCCCGAGTAGCTGGGACTACAGGCACCCGCCACCAGGCCTGGCTAATTTTTGTATTTTTAGTAGAGATGGGGTTCCGCCATGTTGGCCAGGCTGGTCTGGAACTCCTGACCTCAAGTGATCTGCCTGCCCCGGCCTCCCAAAGTACTAGGATTACAGGCCTGAGCCACTGTGCCTGGCCCATATATACTTTCCATATGGAAAAGTACAGTTCTTCATAATTTGTCTCTCCCTTACCCCTGTTGCCACCAACTAAAATGATGAGCACATTCCCCAACCACAGAACACTGGGAAGAAACATAACAAAAATGTCATATTGTTTTCAATTCACCTCTCATTATATTCAAAACTCCTCATTGGTTTTAACCTTCCCTAGCTCCAAAGTCTCATTTCTTACTACCCTTTTTTCCCCTGAATAATAGGATTGGCTACTGATTTAGCCAGACCTTGTTCACTTTCAAGTGACAGGAACCAACTCAAAGCAGATTAAGCAAAAGGAGATGCTTTAGTAATTCATTATCTCCAGGAGTCTGATCTTGAACTCAGCATCCAGGGATTCAAATGGCAGCATTAAGATTGTTTCCCATCTCTTAGATCTCTTTTGAGTTGGCTTCGCCCTGAGGCAGGTTTTTCAGAAGCAAGGGCACAAGTGGCTAGGCTTACATCACCCCTCAGCTTGTGAGCTCAGAGGGGCGAGAATCTGTCTGAATGTCCTGGAAGGATGCTGACTGAACTTCTGAACCAGTCACTGTGTCTGGCCTGAATCCTGTGCACTCAGGAAAGGAAGGCAGCCCTATACTAAGGTCTTTTAAAGGTGGGAAGAGGCTGTTTCTAAAGGGAAAGGATACAGAACAAAGGGATTAGAAACCAAGCAAACGAAGAGAATCTTAGTGACCACTATCAAGACCTTGGATGTTTGTAATTTTATAACTTAATAGGCCCTAATGATTTTCATAAGTAAAGGGCCCTGGATAACTGGAAGATGCATTTCTTGAAAAGAGAGTCTAAGACCAGGCTTCTGGGCCAAATGGCTGCAATGCTTGGAAAGCACTATCTTGTCAAGGCTCACCTCTCCACCCGCTTCCACCAGCCAAGGAAAACTCTGTTGCTGCTTCATCAAAATATTCATTTATGAGGGACAAAGTGTTATTAGGTAGTCTACCATGTGACCTAGGCAGGAGGGATCTTTGCTATGAATGAATATATATAACTGTTGTAAATGTGTGGACACAAGGGACTTTATTGCAACCATTAAGATGTCTGGATTGCTTTTCCTGCTGTCTACCCACCAAAATAGTATTTGCCTCCCAACTCCCTTGCTCACATGCTGCACATTGGCCCACTTTCTTCCACTGGAAAAGGCAGAGAACAGCTCATATGTGGTGGCTGCATGCTTTGATCATTGCCTTTCTTCCTAAGAAGTCCTCACCTGCTTTTAGCACTGTGTTGCTGTCAGAAAAATTAAAGCCTTTTTCTGATTCACAAGAAATACCATGAATGAAGAGGAGAATCTAGTAGATAATAAAGATGATTAGAGTTTCTTGGCAGGCATTTGCTATCGAAAAGACAAAATAAAACATTTAATTACTATAAACATCTAAAGAGCAATTTGTAGTAGGCATTTCCTTGTTCTTTGCACTTGAAATCTTAGCTAGCTTAGCTTTTGCCTCAAAGACTTTTGATTTTTTCTTTTGGGTCTAGTAATTAAAGCATGAAGGTCATTAACATAAAGTGTTTGAAAATGTTTTTCTTTTTTAACCACTTGTCTTTGTGACTTCACTGCCTGAACAGAAAGTCACAAATGCCATATTCGAATCACACTGAATGTATTGAACATGTGAATGTGCATAGCTGCTATGGCATAGTGTCACTTTGAAGTTAAACTTCATTGAAAATATATTTTTTATTCATCTCCCAAGCAAGAAAATCAGGGTTGATTTTTATTTTTAAAAGCAAATTAACTTTAATAGTACCTTGATATATATATTTCTTTCCAGCCCTTTTGATTCTTGTGTACATGTGTTTTGCTGCAGTGAACATCTTTCTCATCGTTCTACTGAAGGATGGCAGAATATGCTGCCCGCCCAAAATATGCCACTTTGGCATAAGGATTACTTTGAGCTAAAGGCACTTGAAAAATAGCAGATGCAAGAAGGGCATTTGAATTTCCTCTTTTCTTCCTGAAAACAGGAGATAAAAACTCCCATGTGAAAAATAGCTTTACTGTACCAAGAGGAAAGAAACATTACTCAATGGGGATTCAAAGCCAAGTGAATTCTGTACAAACAACTTCGTTAAAATAATTATCTCCCTTTATCCTCCCCACATAATTTACTTTTCCCACAATTACCTCTCTTTGTTCAACCAAATATAAAAGCATTTAGGTTTTGCCACCTCTTTCGGTCTTCATTTCCCTAACAAGCGCTCCTGTGTCCTGTAAAACTTAAATGAAGTTTGAATGCTTTTCTCCTGTTAATCTATTTTATATTAGTTTAAGTCTCAGGTCCAGCTGGGGCCCTTCGAGGGTGGAGGGAAGGTTTTGCCTCCCCTGCAGTATATACAACTTTGTGTAGTCCTCAAATATTTTCCTTAACAGAAATCCCTGGAAAGAAGCAAATTGTTATCAAACTACCCTGCCAGGCACTGTGCTAGGTACTGGGTAAACCTATCTCACTTAATCCCCTGATGCCAGGTTTAGGCCTCATTTTGTTGACTTGGAGACTTAAACCGGGAGGAGTGTCAGTATCGTACAGGTTTCTAATGTTAGTTCATCTGATCCCAAAGCCCTTACTTTTTCAAGGACACCATGTCTATGTTTGCTCTGAATCAGTATACAGTTAAAAGCCCACTCTCTGGAGGCAGATTGGCTGTGTTCAGATCTCACACCTACCACTTACTCGCTATAGAGCCTCAAAACTTAATAATCTTCTCCTGTGACAGTTTATTTGTGAGAAGAGAAACATAATAAATGCACATGCCTGATAGGTTTGTTGTGGGGATTAAATGAAGTCATACCTGTAAACCACCTGGAATAAGGTCTGACCCACCATTCACTTTGTATAGTAGTCCCCCCTTGTCTGTGGAGGATGTGTTCCAAGACCCTCAGTGGATACCTGAAATCGTGGACAGCACCAAACCCTAAATCCACAATGTTTTTCCCTATGCATAGATACATACTGTATTAGTCAGGGTTCTCTAGAGGGACAGAATTAATAGAATAGATGTATATATGAAAGGGAGTTTACTAGAGTATTGACTCACATGATCACAAGGTGAAGCCCCACAATAGGCCATCTGCAAGCTGAGGAGCAAGGAAGCCAGTCTGAGTTCCAAAACCTCAAAAGTAGGGAATCCAATAGTGCAGCCTTCAGTCTGTGGCTGAAGACCCTTGAACCCCTGGCAAACCACTAGTGTAAGTCCAAGAATCCAAAAGCTGAAGAACTTGGAGTCTGACTTTCAAGGGAAGGAGGCATCCAGCATGAGAGAAAGATGAAGACCAGAAGACTCAGCAAGTCAAGTCCTTCCACGTTCTTCTGCCTGCTTTTATTCTAGCCGCACTGGCAGCTGATTAGATGGTGCCCACCCAGATTGAACGTGGGTCTGCCTCTCCTAGTCCACTTACTGAAATGTTAATCTCCTTTGGCAACACCCTCACTGACACACCCAGGAACAATACTTTGCTTCCTTCAATCAAGTTGACACTCCACATTAATCATCACACGAACCTATGATAAAATTTAATTTACGCCAGGAGCGGTGGCTCACACCTGTAATCCTAACACTTTGGGAGGCTGAGGTGGATGGATCACTTGAGGTCAGGAGTTCGAGACCAGCCTGGCTAACATGGTGAAACCCCATCTCTATTAAAAATACAAAAAAAGCCAGACGTGGTGGTACACACCTGTAATCCTAGCTACTCGGGAGGCTGAGATGTGAGGATCTCTTGAACCCAGGAGGCGGAGGTTGCAGTGAGCCAAGATCGTGACACTGCACTCCAGCCTGGGCGACAGAGCGCAACTCCATCTCAAAAAAAAAAAAAAAAAGTTTAATTTATAAATTAGTCATAATAGAGATTAACAATAATTGATGAGAAAAATGAAATCTTAAGCCCTCCAGCTGACTGAACAGACCCCCTCTTGGCCAAGGGGACCCCGAATAACCTTGGAAACCCTCACCCGCTCTAAATGCCATTAGGCTTTCTTCCCTAAGAGCTAAACAGAAATCAGCCCTTTCAAAAGACTCCACTGCTGGTATAAACCAACCACCTGATGCTGCCCCTCCCTTTTGCAGTTTTGGCACAATTGACCAGCAGTTCTTCCTGGTAAAAGACCACCAACCATGGAGTAGTTCTGGCCAGTCTATGGAAGACATGCAGTCAGGGTTTTCATGTCCTCTACTTCACCTTTTGATGTCAGAGGGCTGAAAACTCCTACCCTGGATCATGCTAACACTGCCAATTTTGGAATATGGGTCCCAGGGAGAGACATGAAGTGCAATTGCGCATATGCACATTTCTCCTTGCATAAATGTTCATGACTCCTCCTATAGCTTATTAAATATGTATATTTGGCCACCCCATTCTGCATAGATTCCTGCTCCCTTTGCCCTCCCTTGAAGTGTCTGTTTCTGGCTTCTAGCATGAGGTTGTCTTCCTAGCCTGTTGGAATGGCCGCCCCGCAGACTGCAACCCTTTATGAGAAATAAAGCTCTTTCCAAATTTATGAACCTCGTCATCCTTCAGTTGACACTAACAATAAAGTAGAACAAATATAGTGTAATAAGTTATATTGTGGTTTCTCTTTGAAAATATCCTAATATTTTCGGACTGTGGTTGACTGCAGGTAACTGAAACCACAGAAAGTAAAACTGCAGACATGGAGATGGAGCAGCAACTACTATAATCATTGGCTGTTGTCGGTTATATTTATTGTTACTAATGTTAGTATTGTTATCACCACAGTTTCTCCCCAGACATCCATGGCTTCCAGTATCAATCCAAGGTGGAATGTGGGTCTGGATGACTTCTCCATGCAGGGCCTAAAACTTCATTCTAATACTCTTATTTTATGTCTGCATTTTCTCACCTGCATTCTTCTGGAAAGAGTGTAGAGAGATGTTTTGAGACTTAAAAACTGGTATCTCTTCTCCTCTATCTTGAGTAATGACAGTCTGCTATCTAGGTAAGCGTGCTGCTGGAGGACACTGCTGATTTTCACAGTGACAGGGGTAGTCTGACTGGTGGGCTGCTTGGTAACGTACATGAATACCTTAGCAAGAAAGAGCACTGAAAAACCAGCCCAACTGTTGACAATAGCTTTTATCTAATTTTCCACTTTCCCCTTATATCTCGGTCACTGAACTTTTTTGACTCAAGGCACTGTAGCAGGACGAGCCGCAGACAAAATCTCTCAGACACCGAGTTGCACAAGGAAGGGCTTTATTCAGCTGGGAGCATCGGCAAGCTACTGCCTTAAAATCCGAGCTCCCCAAATGCACAATTTCTGTCCCTTTAAAGAGCTCACAACACTAAAGATTTTACATGAAAGGGTCGTGATTGATCAGAGCAAGCAGGCGGTATGTGACAGGGGCTACATGCACCGGTGGTCAGAGAGAAACAGAACAGGGCAGTTCTGTTCTTTATACAATGTTCTTCTATACAATGTCTGGAATCTATGAATAACATCGGTTTCTAAGTTATGAGTTGATTTTTAACTACTGGGTTTAGGCCAGGCAGGCCCAGGCCTGGTTTTGGGCCTGGCGCTGGGCTGCCTGTATTTGGTTTTACTTCCTTGTTGTTTTTTCTTAAAACAGGTACTGAGTATAAAACAATATAAAACAATATGAGACGGTCTCTCTATTCCCTCAATACAACATCCACATCCTGCAGTAGGGACCTTTTGCAGAATTCTAGATGGCAGGAAGCTTCTATGAACCTAAGTCCAGATTTTAATTTGCAAGGAAACTGAAGCAGATGAATTTTCTCATTGTAAAAAAATGAATGCCTTGATAATATATTTGTTTTTCATAGTAGGCCTTTGTCATTAAAATTGATGCCTGAGGATATAGTTGCATCTTGTGTGGAACAGTAAGTTATTACTCATTGCATACCAGATTTTAGCATACTTGCATTAGTTCATGGAATATGATTTTACATTTACTATTGCAGTTCCAGTGCCATTATCAGATTGCATTTTCCTACTGAATTACAAACAAAAGTGTTATGCTACTAACAATTAACAAAATTTTAATAAGGTTGTGTTTGATGCTATTACTCAGATAATGTGTTCTAAATTGCTTTCCTTTGAATATATTTGCATTAAAGAGGAACTCAATTTGGTTCTTTGAAGAGTTTATCCACTTTCTGGGTAGCTTTAAAAAGACACAGGGAAATTCAGTTTCTTCTTTGCAAGTAAATAGAGAAGAAACAAATTTGCTAAGATCTGTAGAAGTCATGGCAGCAGACTGCTGATGGTTTGAGTTAATGAAATGACTCATTTTGGCTACTTGAGTTGCACAATTAAAATATACAGTAGAGACTGTATATCACATCATAGATGAGAGATAAATCCCCCAGTGTTCTCTTTTTTTTCCTCAAAGCTAATATATTATGAATTAAGAAATTTAAGAGCTCCACATTATTGCAATTCTTGATCAGTGATGCCCCAAATTAAGTAGTAATCTCTTGAGAGTGCACGTTTGTTTGCAGCATTCCTCTTACCCATTTCTGCTAAAATTGTGGTTGTGACGAAAGCAGTTGTTTTCCAAAAGATAAACCCATGTGACCAAGCTAAAACATTTACCTAATACTGACACGTTTTTTGTGGTCTTCTCATAGTTGTCTAGCTAAAGGAGTTTAATGCAGAGAATATAAATACGGAAATAGTGAAACTGAAGTCCTGCTTGCGCAGAAAGCCTGCAGCCGACTTTGGTTTTTAACAGACTCCACGGGGCATTAGAGAAAGTAACTGGGGGCAGTGGGATGGAGGGTATGAAATTGGGTGGAGGGACGAAAACTAAGAGCCCTCTGGGTCTTTTATGTCCTTCTACATTTTGTGTAGAAATAAATGTTTTTACTTTACTTCCACGGTCGGCCCTTCCTCTTCACCTTTTTTTTTTCTCACACGTTCATCCTCTGAATTCTTTCCGTTTACAAATGCTCCCGATTTAGAAACTCATAATACTGTCTGTAAAACTTGCCTGAGCCTGTGTGGTCTGAATTTAGCGACACACTTGTTTAGGAGTTTCGGTTCTCGCTCTCTGTTTGCATGGTTTGGTAACAACACTTCACTATACTAAAAATCATCGCCCGGACCTGCAGGGCTGCACGGAAAACGCTGTTCCTTTTGGTACCCGCCGCAGCCGCGCAGGCGCACCGCCCAGCCGCCCTGACGCAAGGCGCAGGCTTCATGACGCAGCACGCAGTCTCAGCCGACACTGCGCGCGCCTCCAGGCACCGGCGTTAGCGGGTCGCCGACCCGCAATCCCCGCCGCGGCTGCTTGCCTACCGGAGTGTGCGCCGGCACCTGCCGCCGGAGACATGTTGCAAAAACCGAGGAACCGGGGCCGCTCTGGCGGCCAGGCCGAGAGGGACAGAGACTGGAGCCATAGCGGAAACCCCGGGGCTTCGCGGGCCGGGGAAGACGCCCGGGTTCTCAGAGACGGCTTTGCCGAGGAGGCCCCGAGCACGTCCCGCGGGCCGGGCGGCTCGCAGGGGTCGCAGGGCCCCTCGCCTCAGGGCGCCCGCCGGGCCCAGGCCGCCCCCGCCGTGGGGCCCAGGAGCCAGAAGCAGCTGGAGCTGAAAGTGTCCGAGCTGGTGCAGTTCTTGCTGATTAAAGACCAGAAGAAGATTCCGATCAAGCGGGCCGACATACTGAAGCACGTCATCGGGGACTACAAGGACATCTTCCCCGACCTCTTCAAACGGGCCGCCGAGCGCCTCCAGTACGTCTTCGGGTATAAGCTGGTGGAACTTGAACCCAAGAGCAACACTTACATCCTCATCAACACCCTGGAGCCTGTGGAGGAGGATGCCGAGATGAGGGGTGACCAAGGCACGCCCACTACGGGCCTCCTGATGATCGTCTTAGGGCTCATCTTTATGAAGGGCAACACCATCAAGGAAACTGAAGCCTGGGACTTTCTGCGGCGCTTAGGGGTCTACCCCACCAAGAAGCATTTAATTTTCGGAGATCCAAAGAAACTCATTACTGAGGACTTTGTGCGACAGCGTTACCTGGAATACCGGCGGATACCCCACACCGACCCCGTCGACTACGAATTCCAGTGGGGCCCGCGAACCAACCTGGAAACCAGCAAGATGAAAGTTCTTAAGTTTGTGGCCAAGGTCCATAATCAAGACCCCAAGGACTGGCCAGCGCAGTACTGTGAGGCTTTGGCAGATGAGGAGAACAGGGCCAGACCTCAGCCTAGTGGCCCAGCTCCATCCTCTTGAAAGGTGGATTCAGAGGGACCCCCGGGACAAGGGTCTGAGACCCAAAGGCACAGTTTAGAGGATTGGGGGAAGGGAGAACGAACCCAGGGAGCATATTGCTGTAAACGCTTCAATGTGTGTAGCTTTAGGATGTGTTTGCAAAGTTTTGTTTTTTTAATGTTGTGTTATTTTGCTCCAGATTTTCATCTATAAACAAAGGAGCATTTGTTTTGATTTTACTCTTTTTGGTATAAAAAATTTTGCTAGCTTAGTAAAACGAATTGGAAAACTTGACTATGATCTGGAACAGATAATGCAAGAAGGAACACATAAGTAAGTTGCTTTGGTGCCAAGAAAATAAAAAAGCTATTATCAGGTCTCCTAACTACCCCAGTTTGTAAGGAAAAATAAAAGTTTTTATAAAATTAAAAAAAATAATTGCCTATATCCTTATTATGTTAACCTATTTTATTTTTCTATATTTCGTACATATATAAGTATTATTCATGGTTCCAAGCAATGAGTGTAATGTATTTTCTCCCAATAGTAATTGTTTATATTCATAATTATTCAGCTCTGCTGCTAAACACGTAGTTCCACTTCGTTTTTTTCTTCTTGCTACTGTAGTTATTACAATAAATACTGTATTTTTGAAGCACTTAAGCATTGTGTGTTTTTTAAATCGTGGGTCATGAGAGAATTTCATGACTGGAAATCAACATCTTAAAGTTTTTGCTACATATTAAGGTCAATGCTGTTTTGTAGAAGTTGTTTCACTTTTGTGTGAAACAAAATCAGGATCATGAGGTGAAATATATTTCTCACTGTGGATCTCAAAAAGGCTTATAAAACAATAGCGTAACCATTAACCATGCCTGTTTGGGAATCGGACTGTCTGGGTTGAGATCCTGGCCCCACCATAACTAGTATATGAATTTACATAGGTTCCTTAGTTTGTATGCAGATGTTTCTTGACCTGTAAAATGGTTTTAGTCCGTGATGTGGAGAATTTTATTTGTTATTCTTTAATGTTTTTATTTTTTATTCTCCTTGGTCTGGAGCTGCCACTTTTTAAATATAACTTTTCTTTATCTTTTTTTCCAAATCATTCCTAGGAGAGCAATTCCTGGTTCAAAAGATAGTCCTCTAGTCTCACTCTATTGTATGGGGAAATATAACGTGTATGGTGAGTGTGCCCCACATAGAACATAAGAGCAGGACATAAGATCTACCTCCTAGGGAGTTAGGTATAGGGAAAAGGGTATGGGTCTTGGGGCTGTCTGGCAAACTGAATTTGAATTACGGCTCATGCTAACTTGTCAGCATGGTGGTTGTGGGGGTAGGTTTTAAGCTCTCTGAATCTCAATTTATCTGTAAAATGAGAAAAATAATAGCTATATAATAGTTTTATGCACTAAATGAACTAGAAGAGTTCATAGTCCCATTGTGTTCCTCCATTACGTGTAGCAGATGCTGTTTTTAATGCAGAGATTCAACACGTTTTATTCAGTGGGCAAATAAGTTAATTGTTTTAGGGGGAGGTGCTGCAAATTAACCTTGAAATAAGGCAAATATTTTTAACTCGGGGAAAAAAGTGAACTTCATCAACACTGGACGGAATGTCATTTAAAAGAGTCTATAGTGAGTATGGAGGAATGTGATAGGTTACTGGGTTTTATTTCATTCTGTTGAATTGGGATTTGCATTTGTTTCATCAGTGGAATATGTTTGGCCCTTACAGGCATTTCTTCTTGATCTGCATTTTATTTCAGTGTATAAACTCCTTCCTGCCTCCTGGTCCCCTTACCTCCCTGACTCAGCTTTCTCCTCCTCATGCCCTCTGATACTCGCATTCTCACCTGTATAATAAAAATTATTACCCAGCAGTCACCACCAGTTATATCTGAGGCAAAATTCCCCCCGCTTTTCTCAGAGGTGTTAGCAATTTACCATCGATAATCTTGTTTCAAATTTTAAAATATGAAACATCAGAGGCCACATCAAGGCCTTATATCTTTTCCTTCTCACCCTCCCCAGAGGTAACAAAAGTCTGTGGCTATCGGGCTGTTGTATGACTTTATAATTTTACTATACATGTATATATACATAACCAATATAGAGTTTTATTTTGTGGGCTTTCATGATTTATATAAGCGGTGTTACGTGTGTCCTTATGCAACTTGCTGTACTCACTCACCATTATGTATTTGAGATTCAGCCATGTGGATATATGTAGACCTGATTCACTCATTTTAATTGTTCTTTTATGGGGGAAAAATAACTATCCATTCCTTAATGTCTGGACATTTAAGGTCTTTCCAGTTCTTTGAGATTTGCAGGCATTGTACAGTACTTCTTTAGGCACATGTGTGAGTTTCTCCAGCCAGAAACAAATGGAGCAATCAAGGACTATTGCCAAGCTGCTCTTGAGCTTGTGTCAAGTTACACTCCCATCAACATTTTATACAGTTTTGTTTTGTTTTTGTTTACCAATCCCTCCACCTTCACCCCCTGTGAACACTTGGCCTTTTCAGTATCTTTTCAGCCATTCTGGTACAGTGTGAAATGATAATTTATTACGGTATTAACTTATACCTGTTGCTTACTAGTAATGTTAAGTATCTGCCTATCTTTTGCTCTCACTCCTTTTTGAGTGTCAGATTTCATGTCTTAGACCTATTTCTATTGATTTGTAAGACATCTTTATATGTTCTACATGTTAATCCATGGTCTGCTCTATCTATCTAGTGCAAATACCTTCTCCCACATTTTCACTTCTTTTGGTCATACAGATCATTTGACCTAAATGTGTTACGATCATTAGTGTTTATAAGAGCTACATTTGTGTATAGTGCTTTAAAAAATTCCCCTAATCCTAAAATTGTAAATATGTTTTCTGCCTTTTTTCCCTAAGTGTTCAAAGTTTTGATCTTCACATTTTATGCTTTTAATCTGCTTTTGTGTATGATGTGAGGTATGGAAATAGTTTTTGTATTTTTCCTATATGGATAGCCTAGCACCAGTTTTTCATCATTTATACTTTCCACACTGATTTATGACACTCAGTATTTTGTAGCAATGTCCCATGTATAGATAAATTTATGGCTAGGACTGAATTGGTTTATTTGCTATCCATTTGCAAATACCATACTGTAATTCTTTTTTTCTTTTTGAGACGGAGTCTTGCTCTTGTCGCCCAGGCTGGAGTGCATTGGCACAATCTTGGCTCAGTGCAATCTCTGCCTCCTGGATTCAAGCGATTCTCCTGCCTCAGCCTCCTGAGTAGCTGGGATTACAGGTGCCCGCCACCACGTCCGGCTAATTTTTGTACTTTTAGTAGAGACGGGGTTTTGCCATGTTGGCCAGGGTGGTCTCAAACTCCTGACTTTAGGTAATCTGCCCGCCTCGGCCTCCTAAAGTGCTAGGATTACAGGCATGAGCCACCTCGCCCAGCCTATAATTCTTTAGCATCATATGCCTGTCTTCTTTTTCAATTCTTAAAGCCTTTTATTTTAGTCTTTTTTGCATTGGCTGAAAATGCAATATATTATTGAAAAGAAGCAGTTACAGCAGGCTCTAAGGATGTTTCTGATTCCTTATTCTTGATTTTAAAGGAAATAATTTTAAGTTTTGCCATAGAGTGTGATGTTTGCTGTTAAGAGTTTTTTTCCCCTATAAATACCTTTTATTGGGCTATTTAGTTACCCCTTCAGTCCTAGCTTGCTTAGAGATGTTCAGAAAAAAAACTATGAATGACTTTGGATGTATATATGCTCTTTATTTACCTGCTAATATGATTAAAATGTCTTATTTACTCTGTAAATTTGTTTTTTGGGGCATATAATTTGGTGTAATAACATACAGTTTTCTGATATCTAAACATTCTTGCATTTTGGAGACAAACAGTTGTTGATAAAATTTTTAAATACATATAGCTCAAAATGTATAATTTTGCATCTTTTGACATAAGGGGGGGTTAGTCTTTAATTTTCCTATATTATCATTATTTTTGAGGTTATGCTAATTTACTTAGAGATAACCTCAAATTTACAGAAAAGTTGCAAGCCCAGTGCAAAATAATTTGTTCCCTGAACTATTTAGTTATGTTTCTTTAGTCTCCTTCCTATTGCCAGTAGTTCCTAAGTCTTTCCTTGACTATTATGACCTTCACTTGAAGAATACGGGCCTGTTTTCTGTAGAACATCCTTCAGCTGGGGTTTGTCTGCTGTTTCTTCATGATTGGATTTGAATTATGCATCTTTGGGAAGAATATCACAGAAGCAATGCTGTGTTATTTTTGGATCCTATCAGGTGGCACAAAATTTCAATTTGTCCTGTTATTTTGAAACCTTGATCACTTTGGTTAAGGTGGATTTCTGTCATGTGCCTCCACTGCAGAGTTTTCTCCTTTAAGGTAAACAAATAACTTGTGTGGAGACACTTTGAGACTTTGTATAGACCCATGGGTCTCTTATTATCATTAACTTATTATCTAATCTTTTATTATCATTACATATTTCAATACTCAAATTGTCCCTGATTTGGCCAGTGGGAGCCCCTTAAAGCTGGCTTTTGCATCTTTAACATGCCCCAACATCATTTATTGAGCATTTCCTTGCTTGTTGGCACAAAAAGAGAGGGAGTTCTTTTTTTTTTTGAGACGGAGTCTCGCTCTGTCGCCCAGGCTGTAGTGGATTGGTGCAATCTCAGCTCACTGCAATCTCCGCCTCCTGGGTTCAAGCGATTCTCCTGCCTCAGCCTCCCGAGTAGCTGGGACTACAGGCACCCGCCACCATGCCCAGCTAATTTTTTGTGTTTTTAGTAGAGACGGGGATTTCACCGTGTTAGCCAGGATGGTCTCAATCTCCTGACCTCGTGATCCACTTCGGCCTCCCAAAGTGCTGGGATTGTAGGCGTGAGCCACCGCGCCCACCCAGGAGTTCAGACTTTAACTCTCCCTGCCCTAGGCCTGGAATTAATCCTTTTCCTAAAGAGCTCCGGTTTCTTTTGGTGGAGAATGGAATTCAGAAACAAGGTTGCTAGGTTTGCTCATGCCTATGGGAAATATCATTGCTTCCAGCCCTCTAGGTGATGAAGTTATAGGATATTTATCTATCAGTCATCTACACAGCACTGAAGACTATGAGATTACACTGATACTGCCATTTGCAATACAGCACCGCTGTGTGTATTCTGGTTTGAGAAACTTAGCACCTATTATCTTTACCATATTTACTTATTTGATTAATTCCTCTTATAAATAACCAATCCACTATCCTCTCTGCCACACCATCCACATGGGTGCGCTTAGCTTCCCACGTGGGCTCCAATGTCCCACATAACTGGCTTTTCTGTGCAGTCACCCTCCACCCATTGCTAGAGCTCTAACCCCACTCAGGTGACCTTGGCCTCTCCCAGGACATGGAACTTGTTCTGTCCCACTTAACAGCTATTGCACTGAATTGTTCAGGAAATAGAAAACCTTTTGGTCTTATAAATGCATTGGGAAGCTTGCCTTTTGCCCTGTTATCAGAAGATTAGATGTTTTCGAAAGTTTGGAACAAATCTACATGTGAAAGGCTGTGGGCCTGGTGTTTTTTGTGGGTAGATTTTTACTGATATTTTTCTCAAGATTATGTTCAGGTTTTCTCTTCTTTTGAAATTGGTTTTGGTCACTTGTATTTTCTAGAAGATGTTTTCATATATTTTCTGATATAATTAGTAGAAAGCATTTCTTAGTATTGTCCTTTGATTTAAAAATAATTCTTTTACATCTTTTTTAGAGAAAAAACTCTCAAACTTCGTTTTTCCTCTGCTCTCACACCACAACAATCATCAACACAGAAGAAGACTTCTGTGATCAAATGTGTAGGGGGTTTCCCCTACGGAGGAAGCAGCAGATACCAGCTGGGTGTCCTCCAATTCAGTTCCAACACTATCTACCTGGAGATAGTGTCAGATCCCACAGGATGAGGGCTTAGTCCCCAAGACTGCCCACTCTCAGGACACTAGTCACAAGTCCAGGCCTCTGGAACTTTTGACCAATGGTCTTCAAGTTGGGGTTCTGATGATGTCCTCTTTGGGTTCAAATAATTTGCAAGAGCAGTCCACACAACTCAGGGAAACACTTACGTTTACTGGTTTATTATAAAGGGTATTGCAAAAGACACAGATGAAGAGATGCATAGGGCAAGGTATGGGGAAGGTGTGTGGAGCTTCCATGCCTTCCCTGGGCACGCCACCCTACCGGAACCACCGCATGTTGAGCAGTCTGGAAGCTCTCTGAACCCTGTCCTTTTGGGTTTTTATGGAAGCTTCATTACATAGGCATGATTGACAACTGTGCAGAAATGTGATTGGACAAAAACGCACACGAGCTAAAGCCAGCAAGGCCTGTCTGCTCAGAGTTTTCTTGGCCTCTCTGTGTAGCATTCCTTCCTCTAGGGTTTGGGGCAGGACTCTTTTCTGAAATGAGGGTCTTTTGACCCACAATCAGAGGCCTGACTGGGGCAGATGAAAGAAAGACAGGAGAAGGTCAGAGAGAGAGATTCTGTTGCCTGAGGCCTAAAGAACCCCAACAGTATAACGAAGATTATGGGAGTTAGGAAACAGGAACCATGGAAGGAAACCAATATGTATATATCATAACACCATGCATCTTTACTTATAGATTCTCTTTCTTTTTGTACTCCCAGAATTATTTTTTGCCTTCGCCCTTTTTTTTTTTTTTTCTGGAGCCATTTGTGCTGGGAGTTTATTTATTTTATCAGTATTTTCAAGAAACTTTTGTTGTATTGATCTTTTTTATTGTTTCCCTTTTTGATTTAATTACTTTATGTTTCCTTTCTTTTTACTTTCCTTGGGTTTACTTAGTGGTTCTTTTTTTTTTTATTTCTGGAGTAGATACTTAGTCAATTGATTTTCATTTCTAATTCATTTAAGGCAATATATTTATCTTTACAATATTGCTCATATTTGATAAATTCTCAGATGTATTTTTGTTATATTCAATGCTAAATATTTCCTAATATCTGTTTTGATTTGTCTTTGATTCTAATTGCAAGTGAGTGATCTTTTTAAATTTTCCAATATTTGGATTTGAACTATGCTTTTTGTTGTTGGTCTTTGATTTTTTAAAAAATTGCTTTGAGTGAGATAAAATGTTGCGTATAAAATCAGTTTTTAAAATATTTTAACATGGTCTTTGGCCTAATATGTGGTTAGCTTTTGGTATGTTCCAAGTGTCCTTTAAAAAAGAAGTGAATTCAGTATGTTTTCTTTTTGTCTTTTCCTTTTTAGAGATAGAAGTTTGCTTGTTGCCCAGGCTAGAGTGCAGTAGAAGCAGGCTCAAGTGAGCCTCCTGCTACAGCCTCCTAATTAGCTCAGACTACAGTCAAGCGCCACCATGCCTGGCTAATTTTTAAAAAACTTTTTAGAGATAGGATCTTGCTTGTTGCCCAGGCTAGAATGCAGTGGCACAATCATAGCTCACGGCAGCCTCCAACTCTTGGGCTCAAGCGATCCTCCTTCCTCAGCCTCCTGATCAGCTGGGATTACAGGCGAGCACCACCATGCCTAGCTAATTTTTAAAACTATTTTTTTAGAGATGGGATCTTGCCATGTATCTCAGGCTGGTCTTGAGCTCCTTACCACAAGCAGTCCTCCCCCGCTAGCCTCCCAAGCAGCTGTGTACGTGTTTTTGATATGTTCACAGTATGTTTATTACCTAAAGCTTGTTAATTGTGTTGTTCAAATATTATATAGTCTATTTTTATTGCGTAATCTATTTCTAAGCAATGGGAAAGATCTCTCATTATGATTTTGTTAAGTCTTGTTTTTTATTTTATATATTTTCAGGCTGTATTTGTAAAGGCGAAACAGGTTTAGCATCATTATCTCCTCCTGGAGAATTGTTGCTTTTAGACTCTCTTTATTCCTAATAATGCTTTTTAGTATTATATTAACATATTTCCAGTTTCCTTCCTGCCTTATTTTAAAAGTATTCTCTTAAAATGTCTTTTCATCTGTTTTTAAATTTTTTATTTTAGAAAATTTCAAACGTGAAAGTAGAAAGATGAGGTACAAGATTCAATATGTGGATAATCTTATTTCGTCTGTATCCCCACCCAGTTCAACTACTTTGTATTCCTCCCTAGTCCAGATTACTTAGAAACAAATGCCATATATGATTTTACCTGTAAATATTTTGGCACGTGTCTCTGAAAGATAAGAATTCTCAAATTGGGTCAAATGGTTTTTCTGTGTTGAGATGATGATGTGCTTTTTTTTCTTCTTCAATGTATTGATGTTGTGTATTACATTGATCGACTTTCTTGCATTCCTGAAGTAAATCCCACTTGGTCACGGAGTAGAATCCAATTTCCTTTTGTTTCCTTCCAGTTTTCTTTCTGTTACTGATTTTTAACTTCACTTTATTTTGGTCAGAGTAGGTACTTTGTATGATTTAATCTTCTGAAATGTATTGAGGATTTTCTGTGTATATTCATAAGTGATGTTAGTCTATGGTTTACTTTTCTTGTAGTGTCTTTGTCTGACTTCGGTACCAGGGTAATCCTGCCTCATGAAATGAGTTAGGAAGTGCTCCCTCTCCTTCAGTTTTTGAGAGAGTTTGCATAAGACTGGTGTTAATTCCTTAGATGTTTGAGAGTATTCACCAGAGACCCCAAATAGGCCCAGACGTTTCTTTGTTGGGAGGATTTTTGATTCCTGATTCAGTCTCCTTCCTTGTTATACAGATATTGAGAATTTCTATTTTGTCTTGAATCACTTTTGTTAATTCATGTGTTTCTGCCAGAGATACACAAAGCTGGACACCAGTTAAAACGGAAAGGGCAGATTTTAATGAGTAATAAACTGTTACACTATGGAAAAGAGCCCGGTGTTAACTGAACTCAACTTCAATTTGTACAGAGGTTTCTGGGCTTTTGTTTTGTTTTGATTTTTTAATAATTGCATTTTTTTCTTCATATATATATATATGTAAATGGGATTTCACCATGTTGCTCAGGCTGGTATCTAACTCCTGGGCTCAAGTGATCTGCCTGCCTTGGCCTCCTGAAGTGCTGGGATTGTAGGTGTGAGCCACTGTGCCAGGCTTCACTAGGTGTTTTAAAGGAAGAATGAAGAATCAGGAGGGAGGGTGAGCAGGGTGTAGGGGGTGGTTAGTAAAGTCAAGGAAGTGAAAAATTACCAAAAGTGGAAAGTAGGGATTGGCCTGTGTGAAACCCATCTGGGATTGTTAGCTAGTGCTTATCAAAGTTAGGCTCCTACCCTCCCACAGATGCTGGGACACAGGGTGTCTTCAAGTGTCGGCTGGAACTAACAGTAAACTCTTTTGGCAGCCTTGAATTTTCTCAGGCAGGTACTTTAGGGGGAGCTAGAGCCATCCTAGGGATGTGGCCTTGAGCTGTTAGAATCTATGTTAATATTTTGTTCAAGTGCTAGAGATTGGTCAAGAAGGAAATATTTGAGAATTGGACATTTTGAATATTGTAATGTGGTGACTCTGAAATCAGATTATCTTCCCTCCTTAATGATGCCTGATAACTGCTTTTTGAGAGCTGTAGCCATCCATTTCTTTAGTGACTTTTCCAAACTAATTTTGAGCAGATTTTATTCCTCATTGTGTGTGATCACTAAAGTCTCTATTCCATTATATCCATGGTCAGCCAAAGACCTGATGGAGATTTCCTTGAATGCCAACCTCTTTCTTTATCAGATTATCCCTCTGGATGCTACAAGTGTTCAGCCAGCTTCCAGAGTTATGAAATAGTTGATTCAAAGTTCTTGCCCACTCAGAAAAGTTGTTTCATTGGCAGGACCAATTTCTGGAACAATGGAATATTATTCGAATAGCCTTGAAAAGGAAGGAAATTCTGACACATGCTACAATATGGATGAACCTTGAAGACATTATGCTATAAGTGAAATCAGCCAGTCACCAAAGGAAGAGTACTGTATGATTTCCCGTATGTAACATATCTAGAGTAATCAAATTTCAAGGGACAGAAAGTAGAATGGTGGTGATTGCTAGGGGCTAGGAGGAGGGAGGATAAGGAATGATTGTTTAATGGGTATGGAGTTTCAGTTTGAGAAGACAAAACATTCTCTGGAAATGGATAGTGATGATCATTCCACAACAGTGTGAACATACTTAATGTCATTAAACTGCACACATAAAAATGGGAATAAAGGTAAACTTCATGTTATGAATATTTTACCACAGTTTAAAAAACAAATTAGAAAATGCAAGTACGTTTTTATTATGGATATTTTACCACAATTAAAAAAAAACAATAAACAGGCAAAAAGATCTTATTGTCTCTTACCTCCTTGACTTTCGTAGCATCTGTGTTGTTCAGCACTTACTAAGTCTCAGGGTAGTCTCTTGTTGGCTTCTGTGTAGGTTTGCTTTCGTGATGTTTTCAGCAACTATTTTTTGACCTCAATTTCAAAGCTGTGCAGGCCAGTTTATTTACATATCATTTGAATGATATGGGACTGCCGTAACTTCTAATATGAAAAATTTAAGTTGGCCCTTTCTTTTTTCTTTCTTTCTTTTTTTTTTTTTTTTTTTTTGAGACTGAGCCTTGCTCTGTCACCCAGGCTAGAGTGCAGTGGTGCAATCTCGGCTCCCTGCAACCTCCATCTCCCGAGTTCAAGCGATTCTTCTGCCTCAGCCTCCTGAGTAGCTGGGATTACAGGCGCGTGCCAGCACGCCCGGCTAATTTTTTTGTATTTTTAGTAGAGACAGGGGTTTCACCGTGTTAGCCAGGATGGTCTCGATCTCCTGACCTCATGATTCACCCGCCTCAGCCTCCCAAAGTGCTGGGATTACAGGTGTGAGCCACCGCGCCCAGCAAAGTTGGCCCTTTCTATGTGACCTAACTTTCCCAAGGGATGCTGTCAGACTCTGCAGTTATTAAAACCATTGCTGAGATACTGCTAACATTATGAACTTGAAATAGTTCCTAAATGAACAAAATATCCTCTTATGAATTCTGTCTCCCATGTACATTTTTAAGGAAAATAAATTTAACTACAGCTGAGGGGTATACATTATAGTTACGGTAGAGAATGGTAATACCAGTTATTTTCCTAAATTTAATTTAGCTTACATTTTTAAGGTATTAACAGAAAAAGTAAGATCTTATCCTTCTCATACATTGTTAGTGGGAATGAAAAATAGTACCAGTCGTATGATGAGGAATGTGGTAATGTCTAGCACATTAAACAAACATTTATCCGTTGATCCAGCAATGCCACTTCTAAGAATATATCCCAAAGCCATGCTGGGAAACCTATAAAAAGATATATGAACAAGGCAGTTCGTTGCAACACTACTTATAATAAATAGCAAAGGACTAAAAATAACCCAAATGTTCATCAGTAGGGATCTGGCTTAATAAATTGTGATTTGGCCTGGCGCGGTGGCTCACGCCTGTAATCCCAGCACTTTGGGAGGCCGAGGCGGGTGGACCACCTGAGGTCAGGTGTTCCAGACCAGCCTGACCAACATGGAGAAACCCCGTCTCTACTAAAAATACAAAATTACCCCGGTGTGGTGGCGCATGCCTGTAATCCCAGCTACTTGAGAGGCTGAGGCAGGAGAATCGCTTGAACCTGGGAGGTGGAGACTGCGGTGAGTCGAGATCGCTGCATTGCACTCCAGCCTGCACAACAAGAGTGAAACTCCATCTCAAGATAAATAAATAAATAAATAAATAAATAAATAAATAAATAAATAATAAAAAAATAAACTGTGATTCATCTGTGCCATGAAGTATTAGGCAGTTGTAGAAGGGAATAGGGTTATTTGTGTGTTCTTATTTCGAGTGATCTTCACCATATTAAGTGCAAAAAAAGTAAGTAAAGAAAATGTGTGTATTATGCTACTATTATATACTTTTACTAAAAAATGATGGGAGGATAAAATATAAAATTAAAAAATAAATGCTTGCCTATTAATAAATGGGAGGAAATAGAGTGGAGGAACAGAATAAATGCCAGACTTATGTGAAACTTCATTTATGGACCTGACTTTGGAATCATTTTATGTAATTAGAAATGAAACTCAGTTTTAGAAACAATTCTTAAACAAGAAAAAATGAAATAAAAGGAATGAACCTGGGTTCCTGATCAGTAGCGTAACCACATATAAAGGAACCATGTGAGTTTAAAACACCATAATTTGACTATTTCTGGTAGAATGTAATGTAAGAATAAAAAGAAATATAAATGTTAAACTATTTTCAGTCATTTTTTTCGGCAGTTGTATTGGTGTTATTTTGAGACTGTTGTGTGGATATTGTGAAATTAAATCCAACAGATTAATTATGTTGAGAAATAGTTTTTGGCATGGTTGAAAGGAGATACAGATGTAAAATTAATATGGTTACATAAAAACCTTATAGTTTTGTTTGCGGTTTTTTTGTTATGTATGACTATATTTATTTTAAATTTTAGATTCAGGAGGTACATGTGCAGGTTTGTTACCTGGGTGTGTTGCATGGTGCTGAAGTTTAGGCTTCTCATAATCCCATCACCCAGTTAGTGAGCACAGTACCCCAATAGGTGGTTTTTCAGCTCTTCCCCCCAACCTCCGGTTGGAGTCCTCAGTGCCTGTTGTCCCCATCTTTGTGTCTGTGTGTACCCAAAGTTTAGCTCCTACCCTATAAGTGAGAATATATAGTATTTGGTTTTGTTTGTGTTAATTCATATAATATGGACTCCAGCTACATCCATGTTACTACAAAGAACATGATTGTGTTCCTTTTTTTTTTTTTTTTTTGAGACGGACTCTCGCTCTGTCGCTCAGGCTGGAGTGCAGTAGCGTGATCTTGGCTCACTGCAAGCTCCGCCTCCCGGGTTCATGCTATTCTCCTGCCTCAGCATCCCGAGTAGCTGGTACTACAGGCGCCCACCACCATGCCTGGCTAACTTTTTGTATTTTTAGTAGAGACAGGGTTTCACCGTGTTAGCCAGGATGGTCTCAATCTCCTGACCTTTTGATCCGCCCGCCTCGACCCCCCAAAGTGCTGGGATTACAGGCATGAGCCACCGCGCCTGGCCATGATTGTGTTCTTTTTTATGGTTGCGTAGTATTCCATGGTGTATATGTACCATGGAATTTTCCTTATCCAAGCCACTATTGATGGGCACCTGGGTTGGTTCTATGACTTTGCTATTGTGAATAATGCTGTGGTGAACATATGGGTGAAGGTGGGGTTTTTTATTTTTTGGCAAAACAATGTATTTTCCTTTGGGTATATACCTAGTAATGGGATTGCTGGGTCGAATGGTCGTTCTGCTTTTAGTTATTTGAGAAATCTCCACATTGCTTTCCACAGTGGCTGAACTAATTTACATTTCCACCAACAGTGTATAAGTGTTCCCTTTTCTCCACATCCTTGCTAACATGTTATTTTTTACTTTTTAGTAATAGCCTGGTGTGAGATGGTATCTCATTGTGAAAACTTAGTAGTGTTGAATTTAAATCAGAAACATAATTGTGAACTCATGATATGTCTGACAACTGAAAACAATGAAGCTCCAAGTAGCAAACAGCACCTGTAGCACAAAAATTATGGTATCTGAATACCATTCTCATTGAATGGAACCTGGACTTACTGGAGAAATGGCTGATTATAGGTCTCTTGGGTAGAAAACTGTAAGATGATCCTGTACTATCTTCTCATACAGAAAGCCAGATAGCTGTCAAGGTCTACTGGAGTTGTGTTGAAAGGACCCAGGTGTCAACTTGAGTGGACTCTGTCTAATGATGCAGATGATTAAAACTATCAAATGTGTTTAAGTTCTTGGCTCATAATGACTCAAACTCACTCCCCTCTCCACCAAACAGACAAAATACTATTTCATGATATTGTTAATTTTGGAGGATGCTAGGGAACCAGGTTTTTGTTTGTTGGTTTGTTTGTTTGTTTGTTTTGACGGAGTCTCGCTTTGTTACCCAGGCTGGAGATCTCGGCTCACTGCAACCTCCACCTCCTGGGTTCAAGCAATTCTCCTGCCTCAGGCTCCTGAGTAGCTGGGATTACAGGCGCGCAGCACCATGCCCGGCTAATTTTTATATTTTTAGTAGAGATGGGCTTTCACCATGTTGGTCAGGCTGGTCTCGAACTCCTGATCTCATGATCCACCCACCTTGGCCTCCCAAAGTGCTGGGATTACAGGCATGAGCCACTGCGCCTGGCCGGGAATCAGCTTTTTAAAAAAATAGACATGTGTCAAAGACTATGTCTAACTCATTATTTAATGAGGAAATCAGTAAGATGTTACAAGCAGTTCAAAGGTTAATTCAAACACTGCACACATATAAGCAATCAGGAATGCTGAAATAAATTTACAAATAAATGTAAAAGTGGCCAATATCAGTGGGGCAATAATCAGTTACGTTCTACTGGACAAAATTCCTTTACATTTGTATCGTCAAGAATCATTTGCACTACTATCAGTTTTATACAACTATCAGTTGATAAACTATCAGTTTTATCAGTTTTATGCAGAGTTTTGAAATAGCATAAAGACATTGAAAGGCAGAAATAACCCTGAAGTGTGCATTAGACAGAATATCCAGTGAATTTTTTTTTTTTTTTTTTTTTTTTTTTTTGCTCTTTAACAAGTTTTAATGCCAGTCTCCCCGCCTCTTGATCAGATTAATCTTAAAGGTTATTCTCCATCACAAAAAGGGTCTTTCTTCATTAGATTTGGCCTAATTATTTACATAGGTGCAGAAAGAGTGCTAATTAAGCATACAGACTTCCTTGAGTTCATTTTGCAAAATTTAAAATTATTTTAAAGCCTGGAAAATGAACAGAAAGAGTCAAGTATATATCCTGCTTTTCATATATGAACTATACCTCAGGGTAACAAAACAGTTGATGAGGAAAAGTCTGTGTCTCTATATGTATTCTTATTCATAAAGAAAAAATGACAGAGTGAGACTAGCACTATTTTGGAAACCCTAATAAATTAATGAGTCTGTCATCATTAAAAATGGCCGCTAACATCACAAAAAGAGAGACAATATTGGCCGGGCGTGGTGGCTCATGCCTGTAATCCCAGCACTTTGGGAGGCCAAGGAGGGCAGATCATGAGGTCAAGAGATCGAGACCGTCCTGGCCAACATGGTGAAACCCCGTCTCTACTAAAAATACAAAAATTAGCTGGGTGTGGTTGTGCGCACCTGTAGTCCCAGCTACTCAGGAGGCTGAGGCAAGATAATCGCTTGAACCCGGGAGGCAGAGGTTGCAATGAGCCGAGATTGTGCCACTGCACTCCAGCGACAGAGTGAGACTCCATCACAAAAAAAAAAAAAAGAGAGAGAGACAATATTTGCCTTTTATTGATCTGAATTTGGCCAAACCTCTGTATTTAATCACCAAATTACAAGAAATACAGAGGCTAGAGAAATGTTTAATGATAGAGGACTACAATCAGAAAGTTTAGACTGTAAGAAACTCTTTAGGACAAATGAACTGGTTTCTTCAGTAAATTTCACAGAGGAAAAAGTGGATGGGAAACCCATAGACTGTCTAAGATTCCTAACAGCCAGTTGTACCACATGGACCTGCTTTGTATCCTGTGTGGCCTGATTCAAAGTGTGAAAAAATTTAGACAATTAGGGAAATGTGAACTCAGTATCTGATGATATTAATGAATTTTTATTTATTATAGATATGATGACTATTTTGGCTATGTTTTCAGAAAGCTTCTCAATTCCTTTAGAAAGATTTAAGGGTAAAATTATATGATGCCTGGTATTGGTTGCACAATAATTCAGATGGTAGGGGCTGTAAATGAAACACAGTTGGCCGTAAGTGGATTAATTATTGATGTTGGGTGATGGACACATGTGCCTTCATTATGCTGTTTTCTTTGGTTTTGCATGTGTATGAAATTTTCTGTAATAAAAATTAAACCTAAAGGCCTTCTAATAAATATACTTCTTTCACTTGATTTCCTTTAATAATGTGTAACTTGTCACTGTTAAGAGTATATAATGCACAGTCTTTCAAGTTTAACTCCTTAAATATTTTATCATCATAGGTTTTAAACAAAATCATGGTAGCTTGCTATGGCTTCCTACAGATCTTACTTTTTCTATTTCAGATCATATGAATTTGGAAGTTTGAGAAATAACCTACCACTTTCCTTTAAAACACATACATGTTATTCATGTAATTATGTGATCAACTGTTGTATAATAAATGAAAGCTGTTGTAAAGCCATGTCATTTTTCCTTTGAGCCTCTCCAAGTGAATAATCAATTTTATGTTTGGTTTGTTTCCAGATAACCTTTTTCATGCTGCTTTCTGCAGTGTGTGTAATGCTGAATTTGGCTGGTTCAATTCTCTCTTGTCAGAATGCTCAGCTAGTCAACTCCCTAGAAGGCTGCCAGTTGGTAAGTAATGAAATGCAAACCCTTTCATAAAGGTCATAGGATTTGATTTTGTACAAGAGCAATTTTAAAAATAATTTTACTGTATTCTTAGGTTCTCATGTACACTTTCAATTCATTCTGATGTTTTCTAGTTTAGGGTATTTAGGTTAAGCTGATTTATTTCTATAAGTTAGATAACAATTCACTTACTGATTTATAAGTAGAACAATTAAAACTTTTTCTTCTTGTAAATCAGCTACTAGTAGTATATTTTTAAGGATCACAACGTAGTGCTATTTTGGAATAAATATCCTTAGTAACTATTATATTTTAGCATTTGTTGCATTGATTCTTATTTGTATTGAATTTTTAAAAATCAGTTTGCAAGTCAGTTTTAAGTGCTGATGTACATATTATGCTGGATGACGAATATATCAAAACAATATAGTTAGCATTTCTCAATTAAAAAGAATTTTCTTTCAGATCCAGGAAAATTGTAGACAGTGTGCTATGTACATTGTAGAACAGAGGTATTCAATCTTTTGGCTTCCTTGGGCCACGTTAGAAGAAGCATTGTCTTGGGCCACACATAAAATACACTAAAACTAGCGATAGCTGATGAGCTAAAAAAAAAAAAAAAAAAAGTCACAAAAAAAACTCATAATGTTTTAAGAAAGTTTACGAATTTGTGTTGGGCCACATTCAGAAAATTGTAGACAGTGTGCTGTGTACATTGTAGAACAGAGGTATTCAGTCTTTTGGCTTCCTCGGGCCACGTTAGAAGAATTGTCTTGGGCCACATATAAAATACACTAATATTAGCGACAGCTGATGAGCTAAAAAAAAATAAGTCACAAAAAATATCTCATAATGTTTTAAGGAAGTTTACGAATTTGTGTTGGGCCTCATTCGAAGCCGTCCTGGGCTGCATGCAGCGTGGTGGGTTGGACGAGCTTGTTGTAGAAGATCAACAACTTGTTTGTTGGATAGAACGATCATTTCAAAATAACTTAGCTCATGGTACTGTAATAGGTACATCTGGCTGTGACAGAAATTGCAGTGTGTTTGGTTGCATTCTGGTATGAATATACTTAAACTCCTGATAGGACTGTGGTTCCCTGGGTATGGGGACATGGGCCTTCGTTTCTTTGTCTTGGAAGCAATAGCAGGCTACCTTTCAGAGCCATGTCCCTCCACAGTTGCCCTCTGCCTGCTCTACCTGTGGCTATGATTCTGAGAAGTGATTGCTGAATTACCAGAAGCTTTTCTGCTGTGGGACCATGCCTGCTTGGCTTGGGACCATGTTGTTTGGATTCACAGGGGCAGCCACTGGAAAGCCTGCTGCTCTCTGCATTCTTATCTACGAAGGCCAGCAGGACCAGTGTCGCTGGCACAGTTTCGATGCTGAAGCTGCCCACTGAGTTACAAAAATGAATTGTTGGGGCTTCATCTTGTTATTGTCTGTTGAATGTGGCCTAGAGAACATTGATCAGATTTCATCCCTATATGATGTGCACAGAAGTATTCTCGGTATGGTGTAGACCCCCTTAAGATTGACAATTGACACAACCTGGATCCCCATCTCCATCTGAAAGGATAACTTGCCATCTTGTATTCATAACTTGGCCAGCCTTTTTATTCCTAAATACTAGGTGCTATGAGTATAGCAAAATCTGGTGACCTACAAGGAACTGGCCATTTTTTTCTTAGACTCTCATTTTCCAGTGCAGGGCTCTGTGTGGGGGAGACAGAGTGATTGGGTGAAGGGAAACTCAGTGTCTGGAGGTTCACACCAAAAAGAAAGCCCACACACATTGCCCAAGCTTGAAGGGCTGACCCCTCCTGGTCTTAATCTCAGACCGTTTTCCCACATCGCAGACTGCATGGAAGTATAGGAAAGGGAGATTTGGTCTCCTCTATTTCTTACCGCTTTCTATACCTCCACGGATACATAAAAAGAACATCATGTACCACAGATATGTACTCTCACATACATCTGTTTGGTTGATGGTACCACAGAATCATCAATATTTCCCTCACTTTAGAACTTGATCCTAGGTGTCCCTCTGCCTTGGCTCATACAAGGCCAGAAATCTCAGAGCTACAAACCAGTGTGTTCATTTGCTTGGGGGCAATGTGTGCAGCACAAACAGTACTGGATTTGGAGTCAGCAATCCAGGATCAAAGCCATGCTTCACCACCTCCTGGTTATGTGACTTAGGACAAGTCACTCACTGTTTCTCGGCCTTGCTTCCCTTTCCTATTGATATGGTTTGGATTTGTGTCCCTGCCCAAATCTCATGTTCAGTTGCAATCCCGAGCGTTGGAGGTGGAGACTGCTGGGAGGTGATTGGATCATGGGGGCAGATTCTCATGAGTGGTTAGCACCATTCCCTCGGTGCTGCCCTCATGATAGTGAGGGAGTGAGTTCTCACGAGAGCTGGTTGTTTAAAGTGTGTGGCACCTCCCTTCCTTGCTTTCTCTCTGGCTCCTGCTCTGGCCACGTGACTTTCTGGCTCCCCCTTCACTTTCCACCATGATTGTAAGTTTCCTGAAGCCTCCCCAGAAGTCAAGCAGATGCTGGCATCATGCTTCCTGTACAGCCTGCATGAGCCAGTTAAACCTCTTTATAAATTACCCAGTCTCAGATATTTCATTCTAGCAATGCAAGAATGGACTAATACACCTGTTCAGTGTGGACATGACCTACCCTGAGTTCTTCATAGAATATTGCAAAACCTATACAACACATAAAAGGTATGCTCCTTTCATATATAAAATTTCATATATAAAAATTATACATTTACTATAGAAATTCAAAAAACAAAATTTCATATATAAAAATTATACATTTACTATAGAAATTCAAAAAACAAAACACTTCACAGTCCTACCACCCAGTTGATTATGTCCTTCCAGTCTTTTCTGTGCATAATGTGTGTGTATATGGATGTATGGGTATGCATGCATGTATGTATACATATATATTTAATGTATTTAAATGTGCTATCCACTTCATGCTGCCTTGTGATTTCTTTTTTAACTGATCACATTGTTCCATGTTTTATTTATTTATTTTTTGAGATGAAGTCTTGCTCAGTCACCCAGGCTGGTGTGCAGTGGCACAATCTCAGCTCACTGCAACCTCTACCTCCTGGGTTCAAGCGATTCTTCTGCCTCAGCCTCCCAAGTAGCTGGGACTATAGGCATGGGCCACCACGCCCAGCTAACTTTTATACTGTAGTAGAGACAAGGTTTCACTATGTTGGCCAGACTGGTCTCGAACTCCTGACCTCAGGTGATCCGCCTGCCTTGGTGGGATTACAGGCATGAGCCACCACGCCCGGCCTGTTCCATGTTTTAAAATATTCTACAACTTTATTGGTAGTGACTACTCTATATGTATGAATGTAACATTGTTTATTTAACCATATCTCTGCTTTTTGCAATTAGAGAGATGGCCATTATTCTTATACAAATTGAATCCTTTTTACAGCTCCTAAAATTAGATATACATGATAAAAATGAATGTATCTTTAGAGTATTTGGTGCATATTGACATAGTGCCTTTTAGGGAAGTTTACCCATTTATATTCCCAATATATGATAATGCTCTTCCCCTACACCTTTGCCAGCACTGAAAGTTGTTATTCTTTTTAATCCATGCTAATTTGAAAGATATAAGATGATTTCATTGTTTAATTTGAATTTCTTTGAGTACTAGTAAGATTAAACTTTTTAGTCATTTATAATTGCATATACATAAGCTTATATGTATTTATACATATATGTGTAATTATGTCATATATTCATGTTTATGCACCATTTATATTTTATTTTCTTCTCTGTTTTGTCTGTATGTGTTCTGTACTCAGTTATAGATTTAAATATTTATCAATGATTTATAAGAGCTCTTTATATATTATAGTTTTGAATCCTTTGACTTATATTGGGCAAATATATTCCCTGGATTGTTATTTGCCTTTTAATTTTTGTCAGAAAAGTAGAAAACTTTTTAATTTTTATATATTCAAATTTACCAATGTTTCTCTTTGTAATCTTACCTTAGAATCATGCTTAAAAAGATTGTCTCCTTTCCAAGATTATGCTACCCCAATAACTTCCTGGTTATGGTGTGCTTTTTTTTAATATAGTTAACTCTTTAGTATTTTACAGTCTACTCGATGAATTGAACTTTTTCTCTCTAAACAGTTTAGTAGTTTACCTGAAACCATTTTCTGAATACTCTAGTATTTCCCTGCTGATTTGAAATGTCACCCAGATCATTAAAAATCATTTGCAGCAAGTTACAATTACTAAGAAAGCCACGGGCCATTTATTGTGAGGATAGTGGGGCCTATTGAATCATCAAGGAGGCTAGAGATCAGGCTTGAAAACTGGCTGGTTCTAAGGAAGCTTCTTCTGTTGGCTCAGAAATCTGACTGAGACTGGGGCCTACAGTGGGAACCCTGAACTTGCCAGGGTGCAGTTCTGCAGGAGTGGACAATTCCTATGGTTCTTTACCTCTGGGTCTGTTTGCATTAGAGTCAAAGAGCTGGGAGGGAGTGTTTAATTGGATACAGGAGGATGATAATTTGCTTACCTGTCCTACCAGACTGAATTCAGTCACACATGGGCTACTTTTTTTTTACAGACATACCGGAAACAAAGTTGGCTGCTATTAAGCAGGGTTGGGGGAGGGAAGCTGGACATGTATGCTGGGTGGTGAAGAAACAACCAATATCAACTCTGCCAGTGTTATCATTGCATGCACACATGCGCACACAGATAGTAGTGCCCATTTGTCTATTTCTGGACTTTTTATTCATATTCATTCAACATTCATATGTCTGTTTATTCATATTCCAGAGCAATACCACTTAAATTACCTTGACTTTATAATCTATTTTTATACATGGTAGGACAAGTTCTACCGCTTACCCCATCCCGGACTTTTAATCTATTTCTTTAAAATGTTCTTGCCTGGTTTTAAATGTTTAGTCTTCTAGATGCACTTTGATTTTCTTTTGCCAAGACTTGGAAAGAATGGATTTGAGATTTGAATTGGCATCATATTAAATTTGTAGATTACTTTGAGGGAAAATTAAAACATCTAAACAATACCATGTCTTTCCATTCCAGAACATACAGTGTATGCTTTGATTTATCCAAATTCTTTTCAACTTCTTCACTCCAGTTTTTGTTTTTCTTTAGGATACCTACTACATTTCCATATGTTTGTGTGGTGATTGTGTTTTTTTCTCTGCATAATTTAAGACTAGCTAGTGTTCTCTGCATAAAAAGGATATCTAAACTAAAGTCAATCTTTTATTCTGGGCTCCTAGCACCTCCCCTTCCTGCTACAGGGTTTTGCGTGTGTGTGTGTGTGTGTGTGTGTGTGTGTGTGTGTGTGTGCCTTTCCAGTCATCATCTGCACATATTTTTGTTTATGGATTTTTTTTTACACACGTGGGCTACTCAACATGGATTTTGTAGTCAACCATGTAGCCTGGGACATTTTCACATCAGCACTTGGAGGTCTTCTCTGCTGTTAAACAGGGAGTAGCGGATAATTCCACTGGATGGATGTGTGATAATTCATATAACCACCCCTTAATGAAGGATAAGTTAAAAGATGTTTCTAGTCTTTTGCTAAAATGAACATGCAAATAATTTTTTTTTTTTGAGATGGAGTTTTGCTCTTGTTGCCCAGGCTGGAGGAGTGCAATGGCGCAATCTCAGCTCACTGCAACCTCCACCTCCTGGGTTCAAGCGATTCTCCTGCCTCAGCCTCCTGAGTAGCTGGGATTACAGGCGCCCGCCACCATGCCCAGATACATTTTTTTGGTATTTTTTTGTAGAGATGGAGTTTCACTATGTTGGCCAGGCTGGTCTCAAACTCCTGACCTCAGGCGATCCACCTGCCTCAGCCTCCCAGAGTGCTGGTATTACAGGCATGAGCCACTGCGCCCAGCCTTTTTTTTTTTTTTTTTTTTGGAAACAGGGTTTCACTCTGTTGCTTAGGCTGGAGTGCAGTGGTGCCATCACGGCTCACTGCAGCCTCAACCTCCCTGGGCTCAGGTGATCCTCCCGTCACAGCCTCCCAATTAGCTGGGACTACAGGCATGTGCCACCACAACCAGCTAACTTTTTTTGTATTTTTTGTAGAGAGTTTCACCGTGTTGGCCAGGCTGGTCTCAAACTCCTGAACTCAAACTATCTACCTGCCTTGGCCTCCCAAAGTGCTGGGTTTACAGGCGTAAGCCACTGTGCCCGATTGAATAGTATTCTTTGTACATATTCATTACTCAACAGATACTGAGTGGCTATTGCTGCTGCTTGGGGAACTGGCCTAGGTGCTGGGGGTGTAGCAGTGAACAAGGAAGGAATGCAAACAGATCTAGAGAAAAAAATCACTAAGACCGTCCCTGCAGTCAGAGCATGAGTGCACTTTAAATTTAGAATCTTATTCCTAAATTGCTCTCCAAACACAAGGCACCCCTTCACACCTTTGCCAGCAGTCTGAGCCTGTGCCTGGTTACCCAGATCCAAACTTGTGTGTTGTCAGAATTGTTTTTGTCTTCACCAATCTGACAAAATTGTACAATTTTATTATGTAATTTTCATTTCTTTAATTAAAAGTGAAGTTGAGCATCTTTATATTTGTTTATAAGTTGCTTATATTTCTTTATCTGTTAACTGCCACTTCACGTTTGTTACCTATTTTACTGTTATATTGTTGTTTTTATAATTTACATATTATATATATTATATACATATATATACTTCCTTATGTTAAGGAAACTGGCTATTGTTATATTGGTTGCAAACATATATTTTTAATAGTTTGTTATGCATCTTTTGACTTTTTGAATGGCATTCTTTGTGTGGGTATTTTCTGTACTCACATTGGTTTTATTCATTTACGTATTTTAACCCTTTTGATTGCTGGGTTATGTGTTTTTCCTAGAAAAGCCTTTCCCACTCCAAGATTATAAATAATTTTCTACTATCCCCTCAGTATTTTCGGGTTTTATTTTTTAAATATTTATGTGTTTTATCGATCTAGGATTTATTTTGTTATAAATGTTACTACACTTTTATAGTTTTCTAAAATATACATATGAACTTTCCATGTTTCAAATTTAGTCCTAGGTATTGTAAATATTTTCTTGCTCTGGTGGATGCCTGTTTTAGTTATTATTTTATACTGAAGAGGCTACTCGCCGCATGTAAGACTTTTTGCAGTTTTTTATTACTTGCATTGAACTGTACAAGCAGTTGAATGTACACCTGAATCTTTGATCCCATAGTTTGTCAGAGGAAATGATTACATTTTCTTCTGCTTTCCAGTATCTGTACATCTTGTTTTGCTTTTCTGTGTAGTTGCTGTGGCTAAAACTGTTCAAATAACATTGGATAATGATGTTTTGTTAAAATAACATTAGATGATGGTATTTCATCATCCACCTCTTGCTCCTGAATTTAATGAGAAGCTCTTAGTGACCCACCACCAAGCATGCTGCTGAGAGATGGTTTCTATTAGCAAATCTCCCCATTTGCTGAGCTTCATAGGACACAGGACAGGAGACACAGCAGGGACAGCATCTTCACATCACTGGGAGGTCCCGCAGCTCCATTTCCCTCTCACCCACATGCGGTGTTCACTGCCTGCGTGGGGGAGACTCTCACTGAGAAGCCACAGTTCACTTTTCCATCAGTTGTTTTTATAACACTTTTGTCTTCACGGAGGCCCAAGGCCTGCAGGCCACCACGCTGCTTCCCTGATCCAGGCGTCCTTCCCAGCACATGAGATGACCACAGCCTTCCATATCCATCTCAACGCTGCAGTGTCCGAGAAAAGGAAGCAGTGACCTGAGAGGACAGAACTTTTGGGTCATTTTTCCTGGCGCACATGCGTCAGCCCAGACCCGATGTGACCCTTCACTCACAGTGAGGATTTACAGGGAAAAAGGTTGACTAACACTGGAATTTTTTAACACCCTTGTTTTATTCCTGGCTTTCACAGGATTGCTCCTAATGGGTTACCATGTAGAGTAATGTCTGCCATCAGCTTCTGAGAGATGCCTTTATTAATGGGAGGTATTCGCTTCCATCCTGGCTTTCTAAGATTTTTTTTAATCAAGATGCATGTAAATTTTATCACCATCCTTTTAACATCTCTGAAGATGATCATATGGCTTTCCTCCTTTAGTTTATTAATGTAGTGATTTGCATTAATGGATTTCCTAATGCAGAATCACTTTTGCATTGCAGAAATAGGCAATGGTCCTGGTGCTGAGAAGGTATACATTAGGCTGCATTCACTTTGTTAATATATTATTTAAGAGTTTTGCATCAACATTCAGAAATGAGATAACCTACAGTTTACCTTGAGGTGCCCTCCTTGTCCAGTTTCATCTTAGAATTATGCATACTTTAAAATGAAAGTGGAAGAATTTGATTTGACTTATGCTCTGAAACAGTTTATATAACCTGGGAATTATCTAGGTTTATTTTAATTTGGGGGAGGTAATTTGACTACTTTTAACGTATTTTCCCATGTTCATTATGTTATTCGTGTTTTCTTTCTTTTTGGGGATCATTTTTGTTAATGTCTTTCGAACATTGTATATTTCATCTGTTTTTTCCAATTTATTGTTATAAAGCTACAGATAATATTCTTTTACAGTTCAAAAATAAACATTTTAGCAAATCTTTAGAGATTCAAAGTAGATTAATAGTTCCCTAGAGCCGGGGGTCTCGGGAGGAAATGGGGAATTTGAGGGAAGGGTTGACTATGTATGTTTTTATTTTATTAACCCCTTCTACTTTCTTAATTCACATATTGTTAATTTTCCCCCTTTTATAGTTGAGTAACAGTAATAATACTGTATAGATTGGCATTGTTGATACACAGTGCTCTTGTGGACTTAGTTCCACTTGGTTTGTAATTTTCATTTTTGCTTTTCTCTTTAACCTAATCATCGCTCAGATTGATGTCCTTAACTTTTTAGGTAGTTAGACTTTTTGGTTTTTTGCTTTCCTTTTACTGTTAATTTCTAACGTCATTGCATGAGAACATGTGGCCCCTAATTTCTACTTTTTACAATCCACTAAAATTTTCTGTAACTTTGTATAGGAATAGTTTTTGGATGTATTTTGTGGGTTTTTGTTAAATACAACAAAACATGGATTCCCAGCTTGTTGTGATCAAAATGTATTCACATATTTGTGTGTCTGTGTGTGTGTGTTCATGGCGAGAGAGCTTCTTACAACATAAACTCAGCCACGTGCTTCCCACTGGACTCGGAGCGCTGTCCAGCATCCTCGCCGTGGCGTGTGAGTGCCTGCTTTCATCTGGCTCCTCCAGCTTCGCTAGCCTGCAGTGGTACTCCTGGGCACCACGTCCCTGCCTTGCCAGCTGTGCTAGAATCTCAGGGTCTTTCTACTTCAGGCTGCCCCTGCACGCTGCACCACAGCTGTTCTTCCTCCCAGCTGGTCTCTAGGTGGCTCCTTCTGGACCTCTAGATTCCAGAGTCGGTGGGACATCGATGCAAGGGCCTTCCCTCAGCCCTCGTCCAAGGGGCTCCCCAGCTCTGCGGTTCTCTGAGCATTCTGTCTCTTTTTCTCCAAGCCCTGACATTTCCCCATCATTCGCTACATGGCAAAGCAGCACAAGGGAGAAGGCCATGTCTGTGCTGCGCCTTGTCCCACATCCAGGGCCTGGCACCATTCCTGGAGGGGAGCATGTGAGTGAACCACTGAGTGCCTCCCAACTGTTCCTGTCTGAAGAGCCCCTTAGGAAATTAAAAAGGCATTTTGGGATTTCAAGCAAACATGCTGTTTCACTTAAATTAATTAGAAAAGAGCATTATTGATTTTCAAATGCCCCTTAAAATGCCTCATTATGTTTTAATTTGAGGCTCCATGCACATTAAAATATGACAGCAACAAAACTTTATTTAAAAAATGGATTTTTAAAAAATATACACGTTTTTTAATTTAAAAAATTCTTTTGGCCAGGTGCAGTGGCTCACGCCTGTAATCCCAGCACTTTGGGAGGCCAAGGCAGACAGATTACTTGAGGTCAAGAGTTCGAGACCAGCCTGGACAACCTGGTGAAATCCCATCTCTACCAAAAAATACAAAAATTAAGTGTGAATGGTGGCATGCACCTGTAATCCCAGCTACTTGAACCGGGGGCAGGGGGACGCAGGGGGTGCAGTGGAGGTTGCAGTGAGCCAAGATCGTGCCACTGCACTCCAGCCTGGGTGTCAAAGTGAGAACATGTCTTCAAATAAATAAATCATAAAAATACAAATAAAACAATTTTTTAGAGACAGGGTCCAGGGTCTCACCTATTGCCCAGGCTGGAGTGCAGTGGTGCAATCATAGCTCACTGTAGCTTCATACTCCTGGGCTCAAGTGATCCTCCCACCTCACTCTTCCAGGCAGCTGGCACTACAGGTATGCACCACCACACCCAGCTAATTTTTTAATTTTTTGTAAGGGTGGTGGTGGGGGGGGGTCTCACTGTATTGCATAGGCTAGTCTTGAACTCCTGGCCTCAACTGATCCTCCGGCCTTAGCCTCCCAAAGCACTGGGAAATAAACTGATTTTTAATGACTCAGTTATTTCAATTCATTCTGCAGAAGTTTGGGATTTCCCATCATACTTTTCTTACTGTATTTTTAAATGAAAGCATAACAGAGGATGCTTTTGAAATGCAATTTAATGTAATATAATGCATTATATGGCTTGATGAATATTTGGTTTTAAATGAATAGAACTATTTTCCCTTTCTTTTTAAATATGAAATGAAATAGTAATAGATTCTCATTGTAAAAGATGCAAGAAGTACACAAACTGGAGCAAAACAAAGTCTCCCTCCTCTCTCTGCCTCCTACTCCCTACCACACAGGCAATTGCTTTATGATGTATCCATTTTTGTGTATGCACATATATATTTATGTACATGTATATGTACACAGTCATCCAACTGTATAGTTTTATTTTTAAGCAAATATGCTTATACTGTATGCATTTGTCTGCAATGTTTTCCCTACTCAAAGTTCCATTTCATACATTGCTGTATATCTAGGGGGCTGCTTCATCTTTGAAAGGCAGCAGAGAGTACTTTACCCCTGCTGAGAAGCGGTTAGCCCATCCCCTCTGTTTTGCTATCGCAGGCCTGACCTCAGTGAATATACGTTCTTTTTCTTCTGTAAATTTAGATATAGTCAGGCACTAATTTCATTATAAAGAAAACAAACAAAATCTTCATTATGATAGCATTGAATGAATTAAAATATTTTTCCTACTTAGCATTGTCACAGAAACTAGAAATTTAGGTGGAAAATTACATAAAAGATACGTATTTAACACATTTTAGTATATGTTTGGACATAAGCTTAAAATGTGCTCTTTGATATTTTTATACAAACCTAATACTGACTGCATGATGATCATGATGATGATGATGATATGATGGTCGCTAACTTTCCTGAGCCCTTGCTGTGTGCAGGGCACTGCTTGAGCACATTCTGTACGTTCATTCATTTACTTCTGACAACTATGCATGGGAGACAGGTAGGGAATCTGAGACCTTGGGAGTTAGCTGGCATCAGATTCCAACCTGTGCTGTTAGCCGTTCACAAATCATTATATTTTGGCTTGACAGTGCATCTTAGTCTGTTGTGTGCTGCTATAGCAGAATACCACAGACTGGGTAATTTATTTCTCACATTTTGGGAGGCTGGGAAGTCCAAGATTGAGGGGCCAGCATCTAGCCTGGGCCTTTTTGCTGCAATATCCCATGGCAGAAGGTGAAAGGGCAAGAGAGGGCCAAAGAAAGAGCAAGATATTGAACTCACAGCCTCAAGCCCTTTTATAATCAGCATTAATCCATTCCTGATGGTGGAGCCCTGCTGACCAAAGCACCTCCCATAGGCCCCCGCCTCCCAACGCTGTTGCATTGAGGATTAAGTTTTCCTTTTCTTTCTTTCTTTTTTTTTTTTTTTCTGAGACGGAGTCTCGCTCTGTCGCTCAGGCTGGAGTGAATGGTGCAATCTCTGCTCACTGCAACCTCCGCCTCCCGGGTTCAAGCGATTCTCCTGCCTCGGCCTCCTGAGTATCTGGGATTACAGGCATGTGCCTCCACGCCCAGCTAATTTTTTGTATTTTTAGTAGAGACAGGGTTTCTACATGTTGGTCAGGCTGGTCTCGAACTCCCGACCTCAGGTGATCCGCCCGCCTCGGCCTCCCAAAGTGTTGGGATTACAGGCGTGAGCCACCATGTCCAGCCAAACATTAAGTTTTCAACACATGCTTTTTGGGGAGCTTATTCAAACCATAGCACATAGGACTTTTACTCTAGAATTATACTGACAATTAAAAGAGGAGAGCATGAGAAACACCCGACAGCGGAGGGAAGGAATATATCTTATTTATTTTGGGGAAAAGTCATTCTTTGAATAATGAGAGAAACTGTCCCATACAGATAATTTTAAAGAATCTAAACCAGAGGTTGTGTGTCACAACAAAGAGATGCAAAACTAGTGTGTAGTTTTGTACGAAGTGTGAGCTCTTCCTTGCTGGCCACGTCAAGCATGTAAACGGGAAAAGTATTGTTTCCTGTAAGTAAACAATAAAATGATTTCTGTTGTGCTTACCCATTATTACACCAGTGTTTTTCTGACCCTAAGTCCTTTTTAATTAGATTCAACACACTGCAGGGACAACATGACATATCCTTGTCAGCTGTTTATCCTTGAAAGTCTGGTTAGCCCTGATCCCAGCTGTGCCTGTGATCTGCATACTAATCAAATGCCTCTCTCGACTTGCTCCAGGCTTTCTGGATACACATATTTACCTATGTCCCCCCCAAATTAAAGAGGGGTGTCCCTGGGAGATCTGACACCTGGCTGAGGGCTTTGATGGAAACTGATTGCTGCCTTCTTTTTCCTTGTCTGTTTGTGTTTCTGATTGGTGAACTTGACCTCAGCCTCTTCCCTGGTGTGTGCCTCAAGTATGATGCGTGGTTTCTGGGAGGTGAAGGCCAGAATGTCGCCCTTTTCCTAAAAGTAATTAGCAAAGGACTTTTTATACAACCCGGGGAACAGGTGTTAAAAAGAAATACAAGCATTTGGTGGCAAGGGAAGGAGGCATGATGAGCTTGGTTTTTGTAATTTTCACCTTATCCTTATTTCCACGTCTACCTGAGGGATGTGGAAAGGATTATGGTTTCCTCCCTTCATGTGGCATAAACATCTCCTGAAGCAGGGGTGTGCTGGAGCTGCCTTGTATTGGCTTGAGAGAGTGGCTTATTAAAATATTAGATTTTTTTCAAAAAACAAAACAATTTTATATCTCTTTATTGACATGTAAGTCATTGATGTGGTTTGGATATATGTCCCCACCCGAATCTCATATTCAATTGTAATCCCCAGTGTTGGAGATGGGGCCTGGTGGGAGGTGATTGGATCATGGGGTGGTTTCTCATGGTTTAACACCATGCTTCTTGGAGCTGTCATCATGATAGTGAATTCTCATGAGATCTAGTTGTTTAAAAGTGTGTAGCACCTCGCTCCTCTCTGTCTGGCTCCTGCTCTGGCCATGTAAGACGTGCCTGCTTCCCTTCACCTTCTGCCATGATTGGAAGCTCCCTGAGGCCTCCCCGGCAGCAGATGCTGCCATGCTTCTTGTATAGCCTGTGGAACTGTGAGCCAATTAAACCTCTTTTTTTTTTTCTGAGATGGAGTCTCACTCTGTCACCCAGGCTGGACTGCAGTGGCATGATCTTGGCTCATTGCAACCTCCGCCTTCCAGGTTCAAGCGATTCTCCTGCCTCAGCCTCCCGAGTAGCTGGGACTACAGGCACGTCCCACCAAGCTGAATAATTTTTTGTATTTTTTTTTAGTAGAGATGGGATTTCACTGTGTTAGCCAGGATGGTCTCAATCTTCTGACCTTGTGATCTGCCCACCTCGGCCTCCCAAAGTGCTGGGATTACAGGCGTGAGCTACCGCGCCTAGCTCCAGACTAATACACTCATGTATCATATAATTCACCCATTTAAGGTATAATATTCAGTGGTTTCTAATATATCCACAGATGTATGTAAACATCATTGAAGTCAATTTCACCTTAAAAAGCAACCCTGTACCTTTAGCTCTCACTCTCCTTCCTTGCCCCCATCCCTGGGCTACCACTAGTCTACTTTCTGTCTTTATAAATTTCCCTGTTCTGGACTTTCATATGAATGGAATCACATAATATGTAGTCTTTTATGACTGGCTTCTTTCTTAGCATAATGTTTTCAAGGTTCATACATATTGCAGCATGTATCAGTACTTCATTCTTTTTTATGTCTGAATAATATTCCATAGTGTGGATTAAGCACATTTTGTTTATCCGCTCATCCATCAGTGGACATTTGGGTTGTTTCCACCTTTTGGCTATTATGAACAGTGCTGCTATAAACATTTATATACAAGTTTTTATGTGCATATATTTTCATTTCTCTTGGGTATATCACTTTTAATGGCAAAAACCACAATTGCTTTTGCGTCAACCTAATACCTCGGAATAGAATTGCCAGGTTACTTGGTAACTCTAGTTGAATCATTTAAGAAAGTGCCAGACCATTTTACGGAGCAGCTGCACCATTGTACATTTCCAGCAGCAACGCGTGAGGGTTCCAGTTTCTCTACATCCTTGCCAACGTTTCTTTTCTGACTTTGTTTTAAGCCATCCTAGTGGGTACAAAGTAGTATCTCATGATGGTTTTGAATTGCATTTCCCTGATTACTAATGATTCCAAGCATCTTTTCATGTGCTCATCAATCATAGGCAAAACAGTGAACCTCAACCTAAACCTCATCCCTTTTATAAAAACCAACCTAATGGGATTAAATATAAAATGCAAAACTACAAAACTTTTAGAAAAAACATAGGAGAAAAAATGTTGGTATCTAGTGCTAGGCAAAGAATTCTGAGACTTGACTCCAAAATCATCACCTATAAAAGGAAAATGTTAAGAAAAATTAAAAACCAGGTCTCCGAAAATCCACCTGAAGAGGTTGAAAAGACAAGCTACAGACAGGGAGAAAATATTAGTGAGCCACATGTATGCCAAAGGACTAGTATCTAAAATATATGAAGAACTTTCAAAATTCAACAGTGAAAAACAAGCCAATTAGAAAATGGGCAAAACACATTTCATTTTGTCAAAAGCTTCTTCCTTGTCAATTAATATAATCATGTAATTTTTCTTCTTTGGCTTGTTGATCTGGTGGATTTCATTGATTTTCAAATGTTAATCAGTTTTATATACCTAAAACAAATATCACTTGGCCATGGCATGTAGTAATCTTTACACATTGTTGGATTTGGTTTGTACATATTTTATTGTGGATTTTTTGCTCTAAGTTCACGAGAGGTATTGGTTTATGGTTGTTTTTCTTTTCTTTTTTCCTCCCTTCTTTCCTTCCTTCCTTCCTTCTTTTTTTTATTTCAACTATCTTTGTCTGGTTTCAGTATCAGAGTAATACTAGCTTCAGAAAATGTGTTGTGAAGTCTTCACTTCTAGTTTCTGGAAGGGATTATGTAGAATTGATGTTAATTATTCTTTAGGCATTTGGTAGAATTCTCCAGTGAAACTATCTAGGCCTGGAGGTTTTATTTTGGAGAATTTTAATGCTATGAATTCAATTTCTCTTTTTTTATTTTAAATTTTTGAGACAGGATCTTGCTCTGTCACCCAGAGTAGAGTGCAGTGGCACAATCATAGCTCAATGCAACCTTGAACTCCTGAGCTCAAGCAATCCTCCTGCCTCAGCCTCCTGAGTAGGTAGGACTACAGGTGCATGCCATAATGCCTGGCTACTTTTTTTTTTTATGTTTTATAGAGAGAAGTCTCACTATGTTGCCCAGGCTGGTCTTGAACTCCTGGAATCCAGCGATCCTCCCATCTCAGCCTCCAAAAGTGCTAGGATTACAGGAATGAGCCATTGTGCCTGGCTTCCCAATTTCCTTAATGGTTACAGGGCTATTCAAATTATCTGTTTCATATTATGTGAATTATGGTAGTTTGTGTTTTTCAAGGAATTGATGCATTTTATCTAAGTTGTGAAATTTACTTGTGAAGAGTTGTTCATATTACTCCTTTATTATCCTTTGGATGTCTGCAGGGTCTGTAGTTATATTTTTGTTTCATTCCAGATATTGATAATTTTTGTTTTCTAGCATTTTTCTTGCTAAACTTCTGTCAGTGTTGTTGATCTTATTAAAGTACCAACTCCTGTTAAAAGTTTTCATATCAATTGTTTTTCTGTTTTTTATTTCATTGATTTGTACTTTTGTCTTTATGATTTCTTTTCTTCTGTTTGCTTTGGGTTTTTTTTTGTTTTGTTTTGTTTTTTTTGAGATGGAGTCTCACTCTGTCGCCCAGGCTGGAGTGCAGTGGCTCAATCTCGGCTCACTGCAACCTCTGCCTCACGGGTTCAAGCAGTTTTTTGCCTCAGCCTCCCAAGTAGCTGGTATTACAGGCACCCGCCACCATGCCCAGCTAATGTTTGTATTTTTGGTAGAGACAGGGTTTCACCATCTTGGCCATGCTGGTCTTGAATTCCTGACCTCGTGATCCACCCACCTTGGCCTCCCAAAGTGCTGGGTTTACAGGCGTGAGCTAACACGCCCAGCCGCTCTTCTTTATCTAGTTTCCTGAGGTAGGAATTAGCTTACTGTTTTAAGAGCTTTCCTTGTTTCTTATGTAAGCATCTAGTGCTATAAATTTCCCTCTCAGTATTGCTTTAGCTGCACTCCACATATTTTGATATGTTTTGTGTCCATTCAGTTCTCTTGATTTTTTCTTTGAGGCTTTCTCTTTGATCCATGAATTATTTAGAACTGTGGTGTTTAATTTTCACATGTTTAGAGACTCTCTTTAAGGTAGCAAAGAAAAGCTAAGGTGTGGCCAGGACTTTCATGTTAAGGACAAGCAAGATGAAAAGACAATAGAAGGCAACCACGCAGATATCTTACAGCAAAAAAAGGTAAAAGAAGGAGTATACAAAATATCACAACCTGTAAACAGGACCAATCATTATTAAGTGCTTTTGGAAAACAGAAGCTTTCCTTATTTTTTTAAATGTTCTATAATGATATCAAGACTATAGAACTATCTGTTTTATGACACTTTGAAAAGATTCAGGTAGGGTCTCCCCTCCCACCTCGCTCAGGCAGAGCCATGTCTCGGGGTGGCTCCTGCCCACATCTGTTGTGGGACATGAGGAAAAGGTCCCTCGGGCTGGAGGACCTGTCCTGGCTGTGGGGCCACTACCTGGGAAGAAGAGAATTTATCTAAAGATTGAAACTTCAAGCAACCCTAAATGTGCATGATGGCTGTGTTAATACAATCTGTTGGAATGACACTGGAGAATATATTTTATCTGGCTCAGATGACACCAAATTAGTAATTAGTAATCCCTACAGCAGAAAGGTTTTGACAACAATTCGTTCGGGGCACCAAGCAAACATATCTAATGCAAAGTTCTTACCTTGCACAAATGATAAACAGATTGTATCCTGCTCTGGAGATGGAGTAATATTTTATACCAATGTTGAGCAAGATGCAGAAACCAACAGACAATGCCAATTTACTTGCCACAATGGAACTACTTATGAGATTATGACTGTACCCAATGACCCTTACACTTTTCTCTCTTGTGGTGAAGATAGAACTGGTAGGTGGTTTGATACACGCATCAAAACTAGCTGCACAAAAGAAGATTGTGAAGATGATATTTTAATTAGCTGTCGACGTGCTGCCACATCTGTTGCTATTTGCCCACCAATACCATATTACCTTGCCGTTGGTTGTTCTTATAGCTCAGTACAAATATATGATAGGCGAATGCTGGGCACAAGAGCTACAGGGAATTATGCAGGTCGAGGGACTACTGGAATGGTTGCCCATTTTATTGCTTCCCATCTTAATAATAAGTCCTGCAGAGTGACATTTCTGTGTTACAGTGAAGATGGTCAAGAGATTCTCATTAGTTACTCTTCAGATTACATATATCTTTTTGACCCGAAAGATGATACAGCACGAGAACTTAAAACTCCTTCTGCGGAAGAGAGAAGAGAAGAGTTACGACAACCACCAGTTAAGCGTTTGAGCCTTCGTGGTGATTGGTCAGATACTGGACCCAGATCAAGGCCTGAGAGTGAACGAGAATGACATGGAGAGCAGAGTCCCAATGTGTCATTGATGCAGAGAATGTCTGATATGTTATCAAGACGGTTCGAAGAAGCAAGTGAGGTTGCACAAAGCAATAGAGGATGAGGAAGATCTTGACCCAGAGGTGGAACAAGTCAATCAGATATTTCAACTCTTCCTATGGTCCCATCAAGTCCTGATTTGGAAGTGAGTGAAACTGCAATGGAAGTAGATACTCCAGCTGAACAGTTTCTTCAGCCATCTACATCCTCTACAATGTCAGCTCAGGCTCATTTGACATCATCTCCCACAGAAAGCCCTCATTCTACTCCTTTTTAATCTTCGCCAGACAGTGAACAAAGGCAGTCTGTTGAGGCATCTGGACACCACACACATCATCAGACTGATTCACCTTCTTCTGTGGTTAACAAACAGCTCAGATCCATGTAACTTGATGAGCAACAGAGTGCGTGCAACAGGAGATGCGCTATGCCCATCCATCCATAGCTTTATTACAGTGCATAAACTAAGCTCTCGCACACCTTTCATAGCATTTCATTTTGATTATGGTCTTATAGTCAGTATTTTGTGGACTAAATTACAGTAGGTGGTATTGTATACAAAAGGTCTGTTTGGCCTATACAAATTATTTTCTATGTAAGCTAATTTCTACCTTTGACCCTTGATGCCAACTTTGAACTCTCTCAGTATAACAAAATTATAATGGATATAAGCTATATCCATTTTTTAAATCCTAGATATCTGTCATAAAATCATGCAGAATTGTGAGTGTGAGGTTAACACTACCTTGTTGTTTATGTAGGATAAGTTATTTAAACACAGTAATATTCTGTATCACTAGATTGCTTTAGTAATGATACTTGGTTTTATGTCTCACTTATCTGGTAGCCAAATTCCTGATAGCTTTAACTAAAGAATACAGTTACAAACCCGGAGGTAAGCTCAAAAGCTATCAATCAGAAGCTCCCACTTCCACTTGCACTTTTCAATGTGGGAAAGTTATAGAGTCAATCTCCAAGCCTTGAATAGAGCCTGATGAAATAAACAGATTACTTGTTTATCAAGCTTTATTACTAGCAGATCAAATACAGCACAGAGAAGGATTAGCAGAGGAAGACATTCTGACATGAAGGGACATCTGAAAAGGTTGGAGATAGGAAGACTATTCAAAAACTAAAAAGGCTATTTAGGGTTAGCACAAATGGTTTACTATCTCACCTCAGAATTTAATGAAGTATTTTAAATATATTGTGACAAAGTATGATAAGTAATCTTAGTTAAGTCTTTAAGAATAACTTAACATGATATTCACTTCCTCTATTTAAAAAAGCAGATAGCTGGACGTGGTGGCACACCGCCTGTAATCCCAGCTACTTGGGAAGCTGGGGCAGGAGGATCGCTTGAGCCCAGAAGTTTGAGACCAGCCTGGTCAATATAGCGAGACCCTGTCTCTTAAACAAACAAACAAACAAACAAACAATTTAATTAGGCGGGTGTGGTGGTGCATACCTGTAGTCCCAGCTACTAAGAAGGCTGAGGCAGGAGGATTGCTTGAGCCCAGGAGTTCAAGGCTCCAGTGAGCTATGATTGTACCACTGCACTCCAGTGTGGGTGACAGAGTGAGACCCCCCATCTCTTTAAAAAAAATGAGACCCCCCATCTCTTTAAAAAAAAAAAGAAGGCAGATGAATGCCTTTATATATTTTACAAATGTTCCTTTCAAAAACTTTTTTTTAAATTAGCACTAAAGCCATAATATTTGGTTGGCTGAAAGTTTACATGTTAGATGACTCATATGTCAATAGTAACGCAGAAATTAAATATTGCTGTAGTACTTATTTGGTGTGAAATAGATCGAATTTAAACTATAGTCTTAGAGAAATATTCAGAAACTAATTTTAAAATCAATTAGAAAACTTTCTTTGTACTTCTGATCTTAAATTATTCCTTATGGGGCCAGGAGCGGTGGCTCACACCTGTAATCCCAGCACTTTTGGAGACTGAGGCAGGCAGATCACCTGAGGTCAGGGGTTCGAGACCAGCCTGGACAACATGGCGAAACCCCATCTCTACTAGTAAACACAAAAATTAGCCAGACGTGGTGGCCCACGCCTGTAATCCCAGCTACTCAGGAGGCTGAAGCGGGAGAATCGCTTGAACCTGGGAGGCGGAGGTTACTGTGAGCCAAGATTGCGCCACTCACTCCGGCCTGGGCAGCAGAGTGAGACTCCGTCTCAAAAAAAAAAAAAAGAAAGAAAAGAAAAGAAAACTTATTCCTCATGGACCTGACATGAATTTCTGATCTTAAATTACTCTTTATGGACCTGAGATGACCTGTATTGCTATAAGGTTTTCCATTCTTGACAAAGAAAGAATGAACGAATTGGTAAATTAATTTGCAAACTAAGAAATTAAGCGTTTTATTTTATATGTTTATTATAGAGGTATTAACAATGAAGAATAATTAAGGCAAAACACAACTATAGCATACTATATTAGACTACTGTTTATAACTACTCTATAATTAAAGGGAATTTTTTCCTAAGGATATATGGATATAAATACTATATCACTATCAGAGATTTTATAGCCAGATTTATATTCTCATTAATCACATACAATAATTTTCATAGCATTACATTGAATATTATATTCAATTTAAGTTGATACTTAATTTACATATGATATGGGATATGAGAGGAAGAGAAAAATTATGATTAACTCTCAGATTTTTTACATCAGTGCCTGGGTAGGGTAAATGGTAAGGCCATTTACTAGGGAGTTGAGTAGCTTGGAAGTAGAAATCAAGTGGTTCTTTATCTTTTGACTATGTCAAGTATGATATGCATTTTAATCATGTAAGTAGAGATGCTGTGTAAGAGGTTAGTACTGAGTGGCTTTGGCAGAAGCTGCATCGTAGTAGACTATCAGAAATGTAGCTTTGTAATAAGATCTCTGAGCAGAAATGTTCTAATGGTGGAAAATGTATCTAATTAGATTAAATCCTGAGTTTTTACATACCTTTTTGTTCATCAGCATTATAACTTTTAAAGTACTAGGAACTTCACGTTGCAGGCTCACATTACCTAAAGATAACTTCTAAAAGTTAATAGAGACTGCCCACCACCATTTTTCTCTCCTAGACTAATGGAATAATCCCTTTACTAGTCTTCTCACATCCACTCAGGCTATAATCTATTCTCTACCAGCAGCCAGAGTGAAACTTTAAGATGTAAATATAACCATGTGATTCATCTGCCTAAAACTTTTTAATTGCTTCCCATAGCCTTTCAAAAGAACCCAAATCCATACCTTGGCTTACAAACCCTACATGACTTGGTTTCTATGTCAATAATCTTGTCTCAGGCCACTATCCCATCCTTCACTAAGCTCTTGCCAAATAGGCTTACCTTCATTTCTTTTAACACTCTAATCTCCTTTCCCTTTCAGATCCCTTGTACGTGCTGTTCCCTCTACCAAAACTACTTCTTTGTTGAGCGACTTCTACTCATTTTTTAAACTTACCGAGATATTATTCTCTCAAAAATAATATAACTTCACAATCTCTAGTAGGTCTCCTCTTTTTCTTCCTTTGTGACTTATTATTTTTCTTCATTGCATTTGTCAAATTTGTAATCATACATTTATTTAGGGGATTGTTTAATATCTACCTTTCTGCATATTCTCTAAATATTTTCATTTACTATAATTTCCTCTCTGCCTAAAATCATACGTTATGTGGTAAATAATATTTGTTAAATGAGTGAGTAAATGAATTCTTTAAGCAACTAATTATTTAAGAGCTGTAGGGATTACTTCAGCTTGGGAGAAATGTGATCAGATTTACGTATTGGAAAGATCATTTTGGCAACATTATAAATGATTGATTGGAAGAAATAAGATTGGAAACGCCAAGAACATCTAAGAGGCCATTGCTATAGTCCACCTAAGAGATTATGAAGGATCCAACCTAAGGCAATAGTGGTGAGAAGTGGGAATGGACAGATTTTAAAAATAGTTGAAAGGTTGAATTCATGGGACTTTGAGACTAAGTTAGAAATGAATGAGAGTATGATATCCAGGTGTCTTGACAGGGTGATAATGAACCATCAGCCAAGGTAGAGATTTTAGGAGGAACAGCTGATTTGAGGGGAGAAGAAGGTATGTGAGATTTTTTTTTTAATGTTAAGTTTGAAGTGTCTTTGGATATCCACATGGAGAAATCTCACAGATGGTTGGATGGCTGTATGATGCTGGAAGTCACCAAAGTGGTCTGAGATAGAGATAAAGATAGTTTATAGATAGCAACTGAAACCATGGGAGTGGATGAGATTGTCTAGAAAAAGAGGATAAAATGAGAAGAGCAGAGTCTGCACTACAGGAGCAAGTAGAGAAAAGGATCTAGCTAATGAGACCAAACAGGAATGATAGAGAAGTATGCAGGGCAGAAAGAATGCCATATCCAAAGCCAGGAGAAAACAAGTACAAGAAGGGACAGGTTAGTAATGCCATGTGAAGCAATGATACCAACTCCCAAAAGGTCTGGGAAATCCTTTTTCACATTTGGCAACGTGATTGCTTTGACATTTTAGTTTCAGATATGATGTAGTGGAAGCAGAAACCAGATAGTAGTGGTTTGAGGAGAAAGGTTTGGGGAAAAAAAGGTAGAGACATTGGTATGTCTCTTTCCATAAGCTCAATTAAGAATTGAAAGATAGAGCAAAGATAATGTCAGGTATAGGGGGTGGTAGGTTCAAAACTGAGCATGTTTACAGTGTAAATAGAAAGATTGTGTGTTCAAGATGTAAGGAATAGTTGATGTCCCCAGATACGCTATTATTTCAAAATTTTAACCTTTACCAAGATTCTCATTCTCAGTTTTACCATGGAGAATGAAAAAAGTAGTACATTTAATAAGTTTCCTTTCTGAATATATCTCTAATGATTATTTAAGCATATTTTAAATTTCTTTTTCATACTTTTAACGAAACACTAAAGCTTTTTAAAAATTGATAGTTCAGTTTTATATTTATGTCACAAAATATTTCTTCACCATCTTCCAGGTGCCCAGGTGATTTTATATGTTGTTTAATTTAATTTTCCATAGCATTTTCATAGATTTCTTTATTCGGAAGTATTACCAAGGACAAAAATGTTCCTAATAAAAATTTTTTAATTTAAAAAAGAAAAGAAAAGATTCACCAATTAAACTGTCAGACTGATGATAGCTAAGGATATAGTTATTTGGCAATTTTTGCATTTTTTTACATTTGTGATCTATTTGGGCTTTGAATCATCATTTAAGTCATGAGCATAAAATAGTTCATAGTATTATTTAGTAAATATTTTACAATATTTTTGTACATTTCTAATATGTTAAGTTCCTCTGTGTGCAAGGTCTGTTATCTCACTGATAATTTGTACCTTTTGACTTTTTTTCCTTTTTTGATTGGGCTTCTAAATTAATAATTAAACAGTATATTATTCTACTTATGAAAGTGAGAGTCCTTTTTCTTTTTGGTTATGGTAAAATATACACAGTATAAAGTTTACTAAATTAACCATGTTAAGTGTGCAATTCAGTGGCATTAAGTACATTCACATTGTGTGAAACCATGACCAACATCCATTTCCAGAACTTTTTCATCATCCCTAATAGAAACTTTATACCCATCAAACAATAACTTTTCATTTCTCTGCTTCCCCAGCCCCTGATAACCAATATTCTACTTTCTGTCTCTATGAATTTATCCCATTCTAGGTCACTCATGTAAGTGGAAGCATACAGTATTTTGTTTTGTTTTGTTTTTGTTTTTGTTTTTGTTTGAGACGGAGTCTTGCTGTGTTGCCCAGGCTAGAGTGCAGTGGCGTGATCTTGGCTCACTGCAACCTCCACCTCTCTAGTTCAAGCGATTCTCCTGCCTCAGCCTCCTGAGTAGCTGGGATTACAGGCGCCCGCCACCATGCCCAGCTAATTTTTGTATTTTTAGTAGAGACGGGGTTTCACAATGTTGGCCAGGCTGGTCTCAAACTGATCCACCCGCCTCAGCCTCCCAAAGTGTTGGGATTACAGGTGTGAGCCACCATGCCCGGCACAGTGTTTGTCCTTTTGTGTCTGGCATCTTTCACTTAGCATCATGTTTTCAAGTTTCTTTTTTTTTTCTCATCGGCAAGTTTTGTCTACTTATGTTTATGAGAGATGTTTAGTCTCAATCCTGTTGACTTCTGTTATATGTGGTGTGATTAAAATTCTCATATCTTGGCTCAGAACTGCAGAAATGTGTTCTTCATTTTCTGTAACTGATTTCTACTTGGCATGTAGAAGTGAGTTACTTCTGTGGCCACTGATTTAGAAAAATTGAATTCAACTCTTACCACTGCAGAGTGGTTCCCCCTTTACCAGTTTAAAACAGTCTCCCCAGGATTAACTTTGTCTCTTTCCAGAAGGTATTCAGCCCCTCCTATCCTCTTTCCTTCCGTCTTCTCCTTCTCTCCCTGGTGGCGGCTGGGTGTGGGGGAAGCAGATTTAGCCTCATGACAGCAGGAGGGGTGGGCATCCCTGTTCTGTGCTTTGTCCTCCCAGCCCTTTCTGGCCTGCAGCGACCACCCAGCTGATGAGCCTGATGACCCTTATGGACTGTGGGTGTAGGTGTGAGGGTGACATCGCAGACCCTTGCACCCTAAATATGCAGGCCGCTCCTCCGCTTTTCCTGCCTTGCTCACCGCCCCCTGTAAACTCCAGGCGCCTTTAAGACCAGCCTGCAAACACAGGGCACAGATCCCCAGATGCTCAAAAACGTGTTTCAGATTTCTGGGACCCGATCACCTTTGTTTGCTATTCTCAGCCTGGTGGCAGAGCCATGAGGGTTCTGGGTGCCTGAGAAGGGCCCCTGGCTGAATTCCATTTTAATGAACTATATTCCAGTCCTATCTCCCTCTTCCTGCCTGTTCTCTGTATTACTGTCCCTTTCTCTTTGGAAAATCTGTTTCTTGGGCCACATCCCATGTCATTCCCCCTCCAGCCAGTCCTCCAAGCCGCTATCCCCAGAGTTCTTCCTCCTCTGAGTGTCCAGCACGGGGCTGTGGCAGTAACTCGGGAAATGTCTGCCGAAGGGTGATCTGAGCAGGATATTCACAGCAGACGCTGCTCTCTCTGTGTGTGACAACCTAGTTCAGTTAGCTGACATCATCTGGTTAAGCGTTTCATGATTCTGTTTGTTACTATTTTTAAAAGGCAATTATTATTTGAATGAGCCAATTATGTATTGTTGCTGAATCTGTCAGGACCACAGGTTAAGACAGTCAGTGGCACATTTTGGAGGAGGACCTTAATTTTGAGACTATCTCATTTTTTCCAAAGCCTGTTTGAATTTCTTCTTGAGGGGGTAGCCACCTCTATTACCAGCACTCTAATCTCAGAATTGAAAGCCTCAGTCTCCAAGCCAACACCAATTATGTCGCCAGGGTCCTCGGAAGAGCCCCATAGTAACCAGGGCAACCCTGATTTAGCTTCCTCATCCTGAGTAATAAATTACAGGAGAACATAGCCTTAGGCTGGGGCTGCTGGACTGTCTGGCTTGAAGTCTTCATCTCTGTTCCCATTGTTGCCCAAAGGCACAGCCTTTATTGTACTAATCACAGGTCAGGGATAGTTTTGGCCTCTCTTGGCTTCATGAGAAATTTAGCATTTGACAGCTATTTGTGCGTTGTCATGATGGCCCAGAATTTTTCCGTTTGTAGGAACATCATTCTGTTTTCATTCTTCTTCATGTGAATTTGCTATTATTATAGATAAAGAGATTCCATGCAAAAGCTGCAATTTGAAAGTTGATTCCAAACCCCCAAAGTTTCCTAGCAAAGTAAACTTTCCTAGCAAAGTAAACATTCCCAGCAAAATAAAAATTGGTATGTTTTAAGGTAACAGTGGTTCCATAGAAATATCTATCTGTCCATGGTGTACATTCAGTCATTCTTTGATTCAGTGGATTAATACATTTTACAGAGGGAGCGCCCCGTGTCCGGCATGTTCTGAGTGCTAGGAACACGGCAGTGTCAAGACAAGTCCTGGAGACAAGCCAAATCCTGGCTCCGCTCCCTTCTGGTGAGCAGCTCGGGCTCCAAAGAAAGACGTGGGGGGCTGTGGTGGACAGTGTCAGACAACAGGAAGTGCTCCAAGGAAAGACACGGGGAGCTGCGGTGGACAGTTTCAGACAACAGGAAGTCCTCCGAGGAAAGACGTGGGGAGGTGTGGTGGACGTGGCCAATACCTCTCTGAGCACCTGGCCTGCAAGCCGAGGCCTAAAGGATGCAGGGAAGTGGTTGGGGACAAGGCCCGGAGGCTCATTTCAGTTTGGAGAACAGGAAGGTGGGGGTGAGGCGCAGGGGCTGACGTGCTCAGAACTTGCAGCTTCAGCCCTTGCCATGTGTCCCCCGGTTCCGTGGGCGTTGTTCTCACCGCATGCTCGACCGTGATACTACTTCTCTCCACTGACTTTGCACCTGCCAGGCAGGGAGAGCAATGCACTGGCCTCTGGTAGTTTTTTTCTGTGATTTCATGACTGGGGCACTTGGTGAGCCTCAGGTCTCCAGCCACCTGTTAGGGGATGCTTTTGTCATCCCTGTAGATAGGTCCTGGTAAGCTGCGGGTGAAAGTGATTCCCTGCCCGATTCCCACAGTTCCCCACCAAAATGCAACAAGATCTTCAAGGTTCATCATCTGTCACAGCTATATGGACTCGGGTGGATCATCTAATCATCTAGCATTTCTTGGGAGATCCCCGAAAGTCAGTGTGTATAGTTTTTGTTTTCTCTTGGGCGGGACTTCTCCTGCTTCTGAGAGGTGACAGCATGCTGGCAGCCCTCACAGCCCTCTCTGGCTCTGGGCGCCTCCTCGGCCTTGGTGCCCACTCTGGCTGTGCTTGAGGAGCCCTTCAGCCCGCTGCTGCACTGTGGGAGCCCCTTTCTGGGCTGGCCAAGGCTGGAGCCTGTTCCCTTAGCTTGCAGGGAGGTGTGGAGGGAGAGGCGTGAGCAGGAACCGGGGCTGTGCCTGGTGCTTGCGGGCCAGCGTGAGTTCTGGGTGGGCATGGGCTCAGCGGCCCCGCACTCAGAGCGGCCGGCCAGCCCGCCGGCCCGGGCAGTGAGGGGCTTAGCATGTGGGCCAGTAGCTGCTGTGCTCAGTTTCTCACCAGGCCTTAGCTGCCTTCCCGCGGGGCAGGGCTCCGGACCTGCAGCCCGCCATGCCTGAGCCTCCCCAACTTCCGTGGGCTCCTGTGCTGCGGGAGCCTCCCCAGTGTGCACCGCCCCCTGCTCCACGGTGCCCAGTCCCATGGACCACCCAAGGGCTAAGGAGTGTGGGTGCCCAGCAGGGGACTGGCAGGCAGCTCCACCTGCGGCCCGGTGCCGGATCCACTGGGTGAAGCCAGCTGGGCTCCTGAGTCTGGTGGGGACTTGGAGAACCTTTATGTCTAGCTAAGGGATTGTAAATACACCAATCAACACCCTGTGTCTAGCTCAGGGTTTGTAAATACACCAGTGGACACTCTGTATCTAGCTAATCTAGTGAGGAGGTGGAGAACTTTTGTGTCTAGCTCAGGGATTGTAAATGCACCAATCAGCATCCTGTCAAAGCGGACCAATCAGCTCTCTGTAAAACAGACCAATCGGCTCTCTGTAAAATGGACCAATCAGCAGGATGTGGGTGGGGCCAAATAAGACTAAAAGCGGGCTGCCCGAGCCAGCAGTGGCAACCCGGCGCAGTTCCCTTCCACAAGTGTGGAAGCTTTGTTCTTTCAATGTTTGCAATAAGTTGCTGCTGCTCACTCTTTGGGTCCAAACTGCCTTTATCACCTGTAACACTCACTGCGAAGGTCTGCAGCTTCACTCCTGAAGCCAGTGAGACCACGAACCCACCGGGAGGAACGAACAACTCCAGACGCGCCGATTTGAGAGCTGTAACACTCACCACGAAGGTCTGTAGCTTCACTGCTGAGCCAGCGAGACCACGAACCCACCAGAAGGAAGAAACTGTGAACGCATCCGAACACCAGAAGGAACAAAGTCTGGACACGGTGTCTTTAAGAACTGTAACACTCAGTGTGAGGGTCCACGGCTTCGTTCTGGAAGTCAGTGCGACCAAGAACCCATCAATTCTGGACACACTTCTGAGTACAGAGGTGGAGCTATCTGTGTTCACAGGCAGAGCTGGGCGCGAGCTGGGGGCGGGCAAGCTTCAGACTTTACTTCATGTGCACTGGGACGTCTGTCAGTCCTCTGTCAGCTGAGCCCTCTCCAGAGAGTGCCTGCTTTTCGTCTGCTGGGATACCTGCAGTGTAGAAGGATGAGGCCTTCCTGTTGCAGGGACTGGGGAAAGGGCTGCAGGCGCAGGGGCTCCAGAACCAGCCTCTCTGGCTACCTTTCCATTCCCTCCACCCCCACCCTGGCCAGGAGCGCCACTACAGGAGTTCTACTGGGCCCGCATTGTGTTTAGCAGGGCTTTAGTGTCTGCAAGAAGTGTGGTCTCCAGTGGGAAAAAAGACCATCCGAACTGTTTCTCGGATTTATAGCTCATTTTTAGGGGGTATTAGTGGCTAAACTGATATCCAGTTACACGTAGCTGAGTCAACCCATGTATGTGTGTCTGTGTCCACTGGACTCCCCGCTAGCATGTCTACGAAGGAACAGGCTCACAGGTGCAGATATGACAGCAGAAGAGGTGTCCCCACATGGAAGATAGAGAGCCATTGGAGCTGGGCACCTTTCTTTGCAGAGAGGAAGAAACAGAATCCCAGAGGCTGCCGGGAGCCAAGCCAGACAAACTCTCTCCAGCCCAGAACCAGGAGGACTTGTCTGGAGGGAGCGGCTGCCACCCACGGCCTAGTGAACCTGGAACTCGAAACTTTTCAAGAGAAGCTAAGAATTGCGATTTTTTAATGTGGTGTTCCCCAACTATACCCTCAAATACTATATGATCTCCCCCAAGAATAAAAGAAAGTAAACTTTAAAAGTCACTGTCCATTGGCCGTCAGGTGACCAGTCAGCAGCAGCCCTGCCCAGCTTCTTTGTTTGATTTGTTCTTGTCATTGAAGTTGAGCAACGGAGAGTAATTTGTTAAGGACTGACCAGGTGTCCAGTGCTGTATTCATGTTTTCAGTTTTGCCTGGAAACACACGACACTGCTATGAGCAGTTTTCTCCTGTATAGCTCTGAAAGTCATGAGATTGTATCACATGCTATTCTGCTGGATTAGAGACCAGACAAAAACTTAAACTCATAAAAACGTTATTCTTTATTGCTTTGTATTTATGGTATGTTCTAGGAAAGGACAAATACCAACTGGCAGGCATTTTTGTCTGTAAATAGAGTAATTCCTAGTGGGGTGAGCGTGAGGGAGCTGGTGGCCCTGCAGGGCCCCCTCGGAAGCTGGAATGTCTGGAGACTGAAGCAGGCCCCTGAACCTCTCCTGAACATCTCATTCTGCACTTCTCACAGCACATTCTCCTGAGCATGAGTGACGGGAGATGCAAATGGGTGTTATTTTAAATGTAAGAAGGAAGAGGAGGAGGAAAACGTGGTCCACTCAGCATGCTCAGCCTCTCTTCTTGGAGGGTGACAGTGTTACCGAAAAGGGGTCCCAATCCAGACCCCAAGAGAGGGCTATTGGATCTTGCGCAAGAAAGAATTAGAGGCGAGCCCATAGAGTAAAGTGAAAGTTTATTAAGTAAAGGAATAAAGAATGGCTCTCCATAGGCAGAGCAGCCCTAAGGGATGCTGGTTGCCCATTTTCATGGTAATTTCGTGATGATATGCTAAACAAGGGGAGGATTATTCATGCCTTTTCTTTTTGACCATATAGGGTAACTTCCTGACATTGTCATGGGATTTGTAAACTCATGGCGCTGATGGGAGTGTAGCAGTGAGGATGACCCAGAGATCACTCTTGTCACCATCTTGGTTTTGATGGGATTTGGCCAGCTTCTTTACTGCAAACTGTTTTATCAGCAAGGTCTTTATGACCTGTATCTTGTGCTGACCTCCTACCTCATTAGAATGCCTAACCATCTGGGAATGCAGCCCAGTAGGTCTCAGCCTTATTTTACCCAGCCCCTATCCAAGATGGAGTTACTCTGGTTCAAACACCTCTGACAACAACACACACTGAAATGTTACAAGTTGGAGAAGTCATGCAGGAGAGCTCCTAATTTAATGTTTTTGAAACACTGTTTTCCCAAGTTAACTTGACAGAACCTCATGTCGATTCTTTCCAATCTTTTGTTATTCCAAGCACTGCTGCTGCGAACATTCTTGCTTGGGTCTCTGTGGTGGAAAATCGTGCAGTGTTCCTTATTTTCCTGTTACCCAGCACGATTCTCTTTAGCCCTTTCTCCCTTTCTGTCAGCAAAGTGGAGCTCTACTTTGATGACCGTGCTAATTAATGAAATTTCTGAGTCGGGCCTAAAAGTGCAAGTCTACATTATTAACAGAAGAGCCTCAGAAGGAGACGAAGGCAAGACAGGGAGGAGGAATCTCTAACTTATTCCATGTCTCTCGTGTGATAAGAGTGCCTCAGGAGTGCCAGTCTTATTTTCCTGTTCAAGAGGAGGCTTGTGTGAACGTTACTAACTCAGCAAGCTAAGCTGTCCTTGAAAGTGTCGGTCGTGGTGGCTCACACTTGTAATCCCAGCACTTTGAGAGGCCGAGGTGGGCAGATCATGAGGTCAGGAGTTCGAGACCAGCCTGGCCAACACAGTGAAACCCTGTCTCTACTAAAAATACAAAAATTAGCTGGGCGTGGTGGTGGGCACCTATAATCCCAGCTACTTGGGAGGCTGAGGCAGGAGAATCACTTGAACCCAGGAGGCAGAGGTTGCAGTGAGCCAAGATTGTGCCACTGCACTGCAGCCTGGGCGACAGAGCTAGACTCCGTCTCAAAAAAAAAAAAAAAGTGTCATTTGCATTAAAAGGTGGTGTAAAAATTCCCAGGGCTGTAGGAACGGTTGCTGTGTCCTAGGAAGACATGCTTTCAAAGAGAACTCCAGATTCTGGCTTGGTGCTCTCACTTGACAATTTCCTTCTTGGCAGGAGTTCCAACTGGCATCGCAGATTCCCACAGTCCTCAGATTTATTCTCATCCTGTCTCTCTCTCCCTCTTCACGATGGCACACATGAAATGAAAAATTAAAAGCCTGTGACTCAGATCTACTATTTCACAAATAATTTGAACATCTGTTGCAGAGCAAGAGATGAATTAGCAAACGGAATATGACGAAATGAAGACCAAAATAAAGGTGAAATATCTGATGCTAGAAATGAAAAGCAGGTAGTTTTTTTTTTTCCCTAAAAGGTCAACGAATGTTATAAGACTTAATTGTATAATTTATATAATAAAGGTTCTATTTTCTGGAATTAAATAACTTTTTCCTAAATGTTTTGTGTATACACGTTCATGCACCAAAGAAAACCCTAGATTCTCATCAGATTTGAGATTTTAAAGGAGTTCTAAATTCCTTTAGATATATATTTTTCGATGTAAGTTTCCCACCGTTCCTGTGGAGCAGGTAGAAACGCAATTAGCAGATAAAGCACAATTAGAAACAAAGAATGCGGCAGCTCCTCTCCTTCCTCAGCCACATGAGTGCATTTCCTGTGCCACGTGGCTGTGTTCTAATGGGCTTTAATTGCATGAAAAGTGAAAAATCACAAATACTGATCGGTCATAAAGGCCAGGCTTCTTTGCATAAAATATAATAATAAATGCAATGCAGAGCCAAAAATAACGTGCGTTTAAAGGTAAAAATTTAAATTCTAATGAGCTTGGACAGAATCATAACAGACCTAATAGGAACCTTTCTGATCCTGGTTTCTCTGAATTCACATGCGCTAAATGAAAACTAGTAGGCCAGGCTTTGCGTAGGCCAAGTCCCTGAAGGTTCTAGGCTGGGCACTGGAGCCAGCCCACGCAGACCCCTGAGCCAGCCCAGCGGGTCTCCCCAGCCCACAGCCTCAAATAAGCCCTAGAAATCAGGCAGGTGGCCAGGGCTGCTGCCATTAAGCACAGCGACTTCTGGCCTACTGTCTCGCCTCTCTACTTAAAGCTTTAATTTCCAATTTTCTTTTTTATTTTTATTTTTTATTTTTCCATAAGTTATTGGCGAACAGGTGGTATTTGGTTGCATGCGTAGGATCTTTAGTGGTGACTTGTGAGATTTTGGTGCACCCATCACCAGAGCAGCATAACTGCATCCTATTTGTAGTCCTTTATCCCTCACCCCCTTCCTACTTTTCCCCTCAAGTACCCACAGTCCATTGTATTACTCTTACACCTTTGCATCCTCATAGCTTAGCTCCCACATATTAGTGAGAACATACGATGTTTGGTTTTCCATTCTTGATTTACTTCACTTAGAATAGTAGTCTCCAATCTCATCCAGGTCACTGCAAATGCCATTAATTCATTCCTTTTTATGGCTGAGTAGTATTCCATCATATATATATATATATATATATATATATATATATATATATATATATATATTTATGCACCACAGTTCCTTTGTACACTCATTGACTGATGGGCATTTGGATTGTTTCCACAGTTTTGCAATTGCGAACTGTGCTGCTATAAACATGCGTGTGAAGTATCCTTTTCATATAATCACTTCTTTTCCTCTGCATAGATAACCAGTAGTGGGATTGCTGGATCAAATGGTAGTTCTATTTTACTTCTTTAAGGAAGCTCCACACTGTTTTCCATAGTGATTGCATTAGTTTACATTCCCACCAGCAGCATAGAAGTGTTCCCTGTTTACTGCATCCACGGCAACATCTACTATTTTTTGATTTTTTGATTTTTTGATTATGGCCATTCTTGCAGGAGTAAGATGGTATTGCATTATGGTTTTGATTTGCCTTTTCCTGATGACTAATGATGTTGAGCATTTTTTCATATGTTTCTTGGCCATTTGTATATCTTCTTTTGAGAATTCTCTATTCATGTCCTTAGCCCACTTTTTGATGGGATTGTTTGTTTTTTTTTTCTTACTGATTTGTTTGAGTTCATTGTAGATTCTGGAAATTAGTTCTTTGTCAGATGTATAGATTGTGAAGATGTTCTGCCACCCTGTGGGTTGTCTGTTTACTCTGATAACTGTTCCTTTGGCCATGCAAAAGCTCTTTAGTTGAAGTCCCGACTATCTTTGTTTTTATTGCATTTGTTTTTGGGTTCCTGGTCATGAAATCCTTGCCTAAGCCAACATCTAGAAGGGTTTCTCCAAAGTTATCTTCTATAATTTTTATAGTTTCAGGTCTTAGATTTAAGTCTTTAATCCATCTTGAGTTGACTTTTGTGTAAGTTGAGAGATGAGGATCCAGTTTCATTCTCCTACATGTGGCTAGCCAGTTATCCCAACACCATTTATTGAAGAGGGTGTCCTTTCCCCACTTTATGTTTTTGTTTGCTTTGTCGAAGATCAGTTGGCTGTAAATATTTGGGCTTATTTCTGGGTTCTCTATTCTATTCCATTGGTCTGTGTGCCTATTTTTATACCAGTATTATGCTGTTTTGGTGACTGTGGCTTTATAGTATAGTTTGAAAACAGGTAATGTGATGACTCCAGATTTGTTCTTTTTGCTTAGTCTTGCTTTGGCTACCTGGGCTCTTTTTTGGTTTTGTATGAATTTTAGAATTGTTTTTTCTAATCCTATGAAGAATGGTGGTGGTATTTTGATGGGGATTGCATTGAATTTGTAGATTGCTTTTGGCCGTATGATCGTTTTCACAATATTGATTCTACCCATCCATGAGCGTGGGGTATGAAGACAAAGGGCATATACTCTTAGGAGTTCTAGGGCCCTGCCCACCGTAGGTTCCTCTCCACACCCACCACAGCCAATGCTTTCTGGAAAGTGCCACCTCCCGTCAGGAGGCCAACCAGCACAAAAATAGAGCATTAAACCACCAAAGCTAAGAACCCTCACATAGTCCATTGCACCCCGCTGCCACCTCTACCGGAACAGGCACTGATATCCACGCTGAGAGACCCATTGACGGTTCACATCACAGGACTCTGTGCAGACCACCCTGAGTACCAGCCTGGAGCCTGATAGAACTTGCTGGGTGGCCAGACCCAGAAGACAGACAACAATCACTGCAGTTCCGCTCATAGGAAGCCACATCCATAGGCAAAGAGGGAGATTACCACACCAAGGGAACACCCCATGGGAAAAAAAGAATCTGAACAACAGCCTTCAGCCCTAGACCTTCCCTCTGACAGAGCCTACCCAAATGAGAAGGAATCAGAAAACCAACCCTGGTAATATGACAAAACTTTAACACCCCCAAAAAATCACACTAGTTTACCAACAATGGATCCAAACCAAGAAGTCCCTGATCTACCTGAAAAAGAATTCAGGAGGTTAGTTATTAAACAAATCAGGGAGGCACCAGAGAAAGGCAAAGCCCAATGCAAGGAAATCCAAAAATGATACAAGAAGTGAAGGGAGAAATATTCATGGAAATAGACAGCATAAGGAAAAAACAATAAAAAATTCAGGAAACACTGGACACACTTATAGAAATGCAAAGTGCTCTGGAAAGTCTCAGGAATAGAATTCAACAAGTAGAAGAAAGAAATTCAGAGCTTGAAGACAAGGTCTTCAAATTAACCCAATCCAACAAAGATAAAGAAAAAAGAAAAAATATGAACGAAGCCTCCAAGAAGTCTGGGACTATGTTAAATTGTAATGCCCAACCTCGTTTTTACTAACCATGTTTTTAGACTCTCCCTTTTTCCTTTAATCACCTAGCCTTGTTTCCATCTGAATGGACTCTTCCTTAGCTAAGAGAACCAGACAGATTCTATCTTGGCTCTTTCACTGGCAGCCCCTTCCTCAAGGACTTAACTTCTGCAAGCTGACTCCCAGCACATCCAAGAATGCAATTAACTGATAAGATACTGTGGCAAGCTGTATCCACAATTCCTAGGAATTCCTCTGATTGATAACGCCCCAAGCCCCGGGCCTATCACCTTGTAATTGTCTTAAAGCCCCTGCACCTAGAACTGTTTACTTGCCTGTAACCATTTATCCTTTTAACTTTTGCCTACTTTACTTCTGTAAAATTGTTTTAACTAGACCCCCCCTTCCTAAACCAAGATATAAAAGTTAAATCGAGCCCCTTCTTTGGGGCTGAGAGAATTTTGGAGCGTCAATCCCTCTCTTGGCCGCCGGCTTAAATAAAGGACTCTTAATTTGTCTCAAAGTGTGGTGTTTTTCTTTTCTTTTCTTTTCTTTTTTTTAAACAATGGTTCACAGTATTAAGCCATTTTTATTATGGATGATTTTAATTTACATCTTTTTACTTTTGTATGTTTTATAAAATGTCTACATTGAGTATTTGTTACTTTTATAATCAGGAAAAAACAAATATTGCTAATGAGTCAATAGGAAGAAGAAAGCTACAGAATGTTTAGAAACATAAGTTCATTTTTAAATGTTTGCAAACCATGGAACTCGCTCGGGTGTAACAAAATGACCAACCCTAAGAATGATCAGTGTCCCTGAGAAAGAAGAGAATTCTAAAAGCTTGGAAAACATATTTGGGGGAGTAATAGAGAAAATTTTCCCCAGCCTTGCTAGAGACCTAGATATCCAAGTACAAGAAACACAAAGAACACCTGGGAAATCCATCACAAAAAGATCATCACCTAGGTACATTGTCATCAGGTTATCCAAAGTTAGACAAAGGAAAGAATCTTAAGAGCTGTGACACAGAAGCACTAGGTAACCTATAAATGAAAACCTATCAGATTAACAGCAGATTTCTCAGCAGAAACCCTACAAGCTAAAACGGATCAGGGCCCTATCTTCAGCCTCTTGAAACAAAACAATTATCAGCCAAGAATTTTGTATCCAGTGAAACTAAGCAGCATATATGAAGGAAAGATACCATCTTTTTCAGACAAACAAATGCTGAGAGAATTCGCCACTGCCAAGCCACCATTACAAGAACTGCTAAAAGGAGCTCTAAATCTTGAAACAAATCTTGGAAACACATCAAAACAGAACCTCTTTAAAGCATAAATCACACAGGACCTATAAAACAAAAATACAAGTTAAAAAGCAAAAACAAAAAAACCAAAGTACTCAGGCAACAAATAGCACAATGAATGCAATGGTACCTCACATCTCAATACTAACATTGAATGTAAATAGCCTAAATGCTCCCCTTAAAAGATACAGAACCACAGAATAGATAAGAACTCACCAACCCACTGCTGCCCTCAGGAAACTCAGAACTCCATGCTTCAGGAGCATCAGAACTCAACAACCATCTGCTGCCTTCAGGAGACTCACCCAACACATAAGGACTCACATAAACTTAAAGAGGTGGAAAAAGGCATTTCACGCAAATTGACACCAAAAGGGAGCAGGGGTAGCTATTCTTATATCAGACAAAACAAACTTTAAAGCAGCAGCAGTTAAAAGAGACAAAGTGGGACATTTGTATAATGGTGTGTTAGTCTAGGTTCTCTAGAGGGACAGAACTAATGGAATATATATATATATATATATTATATATATTTGAGTTTATTATTAATTCACATTATTACAAGGTCTCACAATAGGCTGTCTGCAGGCTGAGGAGCAAGGAGAGCCAGTCCAAGTTCCAAAACTGAAGAACTTGGAGTCCAATGTTTGAGGGCAGGAAGCATCCAGCATGGGAGAAAGATGTAGGCTGGGAGGCTAGGCCAGTCTCTCCTTTTCACATTTTTCTGCCTGCTTATAGTCTTATCTGCACTAGCAGCTGATTAGAGTGTTCCCACCCAGGTTGAGGGTGGGTCTGCCTTTCCCAGCCCACTGACTCAAATGCTAATCTCCTTTGGCAACACCCTCACAGACACACTCAGGATCAATACTTTGTATCCTTCAATTCAATCAAGTTGACACTTGGTATTAATCATCACAAATGATAAAAGGCCTTGTCCAACCGGAAAATATCACAGTCCTAAACATATATGCACCTAACACTGGAGCTCCAAAATTCATAAAACAATTACTAACAGACCAAAGAAATGAGATAGACAGCAACACAGTAATCGTGAGGGACTTCAGTACTCTACTGACAGCACAAGACAAGGTCATCAAGACAAAAAGTCAGCAAAGAAACAATGGATTTGAACTATACCTTGGAACAAATGGACTTAACAAATATATGCAGAACATTTCATCCAAGAACCACAGAATACACATTCTATTCAACAGCAAGTGGAACTTTCTCCAAGATAGCCCGATAGGCCATAAAACGAGCCTCAATAAATTTAAGAAAATTAAAATTGTATCAAGCACTTAGACCACAGTACAATAAAACTGGAAATCAACTCCAAAAGGAACCTTCAAAACCATGCAAATACATGGAAATTAAATAACTTGCTCCTTTTTTTTTTACATTTTTTTTTTTTATTATTATACTTTAAGTTCTAGGGTACATGTGCACAACGTGCTGGTTTGTTACATATGTATACATGTGCCATGTTGGTGTGCTGCACCCATTAACTCGTCATTTACATTAGGTATATCTCCTAATGCTATCCCTCCCACCTCCTCCCACCCCACAACAGGCCCTGGTGTGTGATATTCCCCTTCCTGTGTCCAAGTGTTCTCATTGTTCAGTTCCTACCTATATGTGAGAACATGCGGTGTTTGTTTTTTTGTCCTTGCGATAGTTTGCTGAGATGATGGTTTCCAGCTTCATCCATGTCCCTACAAAGGACATGAATTCATCCTTTTTTATGGCTGCATAGTATTGCATGGTGTATATGTGCCACATTTTCTTAATCCAGTCTGTCATTGTTGGACATTGGGGTTGGTTCCAAGCCTTTGCTATTGTGAATAGTGCCGCAGTAAACATATGTGTGCATGTGTCTTTATAGCAGCATGATTTATAATCCTTTGGGTATATACCCAGTAATGGGATGGCTGGGTCAAATGGTATTTCTAGTTCTAGATCCTTGAGGAATTGCCACACTGTCTTCCACAATGGTTGAACTGGTTTACAGTCCCACCAACAGTGTAAAAGTGTTCCTATTTCTCCACATCCTCTCCAGCACCTATTGTTTCCTGAATTTTTAATGATCGCCATTCTAACTGGCATGAGATGGTATCTCATTGTGGTTTTGATTTGCATTTCTCTGATGGCCAGTGATGTTGAGCATTTTTTCATGTGTCTGTTGGCTGCATAAATGTCTTCTTTTGAGAAGTGTCTGTTCATATCCTCACCCACTTTTAGATAGGGTTGTTTTTTTCTTGTAAATTTGTTGGAGTTCTTTGTAGATTCTGGATATTAGCCCTTTGTCAGATGAGTAGATTGCAAAAATTTTCTCCCATTCTGTAGGTTGCCTGTTCACTCTGATGGTAGTTTCTTTTGCTGTGATAGTATATCTAGAAAACCCCATCATCTCAGCCCAAAATCTCCTTAAGCTGATAAGCAAATTCAGCAAAGTCTCAGGATACAAAATCAATGTGCAAAAATACAAGCATTCTTATACACCAATAACAGACAAGCAGAGAGCCAAATCATGAGTGAACTCCCATTCACAATTGCTTCAAAGAGAATAAAATACCTAGGAATCCAACTTACAAGGGATGTGAAGGACCTCTTCAAGGACAACTACAAACCACTGCTCAAAGAAATAAAAGAGATACAAACAAATGGAAGAACATTCCATGCTCATGGATAAGAAGAATCAATATCGTGAAAATGGCCATACTGCCCAAGGTAATTTATAGATTCAATGCCATCCCCATCAAGCTACCAATGACTTTCTTCACAGAATTGGAAAAAACTACTTTAAAGTTCATATGGAACCAAAAAAGAGCCCGCATTGCCAAGTCAATCCTAAGCCAAAAGAACAAAGCTGGAGGCATCACGCTACCTGACTTCAAACTATACTACAAGGCTACAGTAACCAAAACAGCATGGTACTGGTACCAAAACAGAGATGTAGACCAACGGAACAGAACAGAGCCCTCAGAAATAATACCACACGTCTACAACCATCTGATCTTTGACAAACCTGACAAAAACAAGAAATGGGGAAAGGATTCCCTATTTAATAAATGGTGCAGGGTAAACTGGCTAGCCATATGTAGAAAGCTGAAACTGGATCCCTTCCTTACACCTTATACAAAATCTAATTCAAGATGGATTAAAGACTTAAATGTTAGACCTAAAACCATAAAAACCCTAGAAGAAAACCTAGACAATACTATTCAGGACATAGGCATGGGCCAGGACTTCACATCTAAAACACCAAAAGTAATGGCAACAGAAGCCAAAACTGACAAATGGGATCTAATTAAACTAAAGAGCTTCTGCACAGAATAACTTGCTCCTGAATGAGCATTGGGTCAAAAATGAAATCAAGATGGAAATTAAAAAATTCTTCGAACTGAAAGACAATAATGACACAAACTGTCAAAACCTCTGGGATACAGCAAAGGCGGTGCTAAGAGGCAAGTTCATAGCCCTAAACGCCTGCATCAAAAAGACTGAAAGAGCACAAACTGACACTCTAGGGTCACATCTCAAGGAACTAGAGAAACAAGAACCAGCAAAAGAAAGGAAATAACAAACCCAGAAAAAGAAAGGAAATAACCAAGATGAGAGCAGAACTAAATGAAATTGAAACAAAAAAATACAAAAGATAAATGAAACAAAAAGCCGGTTCTTTGAAAAGATAAGTAAAATTGATAGACCATTAGCAAGATTAACCAAGAAAACAAGAGAGAAAACCCAAATAAGCTCAATAAGAAATGAAACGGGGGAGGTATTACAACTGACACCACTGAAACACAAAAGATCATTCAAGGCTACTGTGAATAACTTTACACACATAAACTAGAAAACCTAGAAGAGACGGATAAATTCCTGGAAAAATACAACCCTCCTAGCGTAAGGCAGGAAGAATTAGATACCCTGAACAGAACAGTAACCAGCAGTAAGATTGAAATGACAATTTAAAAATTACCAACAAAAAAAAGTCCAGGACCAGACGGATTCACAGCAGAATTCTACCAGATATTCAAAAAGGAATTGGTACCAATCCTTTTGAAACTGTTCCACAAGATAGAGAAAGAAGAGACCCTCCCTAATTCATTCTGTGAAGCCAGCATCACCCTAATACCAAAACCAGGAAAGGACATAACCAAAAAAGAAAACTACAGACCTATATTCTTGATGAACATAGATGCTAAATCCTTAACAAAATATTAGCTAACCAAATCCAACAACATATCAAAAGATAATCCACCATGACCAAGTGGGTTTCATACCAGGGATGCAGAAATGGTTTAACATATGCAAGTCAATAAATGTGATACACCACATAAACAGAATTAAATACAAAAATCACATGATCATCTCAACAGATGCAGAAAAAGCATTCAACAAAATCCAGCATCCCTTTATGATTAAAACTCTCGGCAAAATCGGGATACAAAGGACATATCTCACTGTAATAAAAGCCATCTATGACAAACCCGCAGCCAATATAATACCGAATGGGGAAAAGTTGAAAGCATCCCCTCTGAGAACTGGAACAAGACAAGGATGCCCACTCTGACCACTCCTCTTCAACACACTACTGAAGTCCTAGCCAGGGCAATCAGACAAGGGAAAGTAATTTCCCATATTCTGAAAACGATTTGTCCTAAAGAATTCTGAAGTGAAGTGAGACATAGATCTGAAGTCACTGGAACAGGGGCTGGGTCATGCTGGGAGGGGCTTGTGGAGCAGCCTCAGGGCTGCAGGGCACACATCGAGTGTGTCTGAGAGGTGGTTGAGTGCACTCTGCCACACAGCACCACGGTCACAGAACACCATGACTCTCCACTGGCTTCATCGTAGAGGGGATGATGGGCAGATTTTCATCATTTTACTATAGGACAAATGAGGCCTCCCTCATTTATAGCAGTAGCAAAAACAAAATGCAGAAATCTTCGTAGTAAAAGACTGAAGAAATAATTTGATTTTTTACTCTTTCCATTATTATGTAGTAACCTGAATAACTGCATATTTTACAGACAATCCCCTTCTATTAATCATCTGATCCTAAGTGTTAGGAGTAACATGTGGTACCTGCACAGTTCATACCCATGGATTGCATTCTGGGACGTATCTTAATGCATTTGAAGCACAGGTGTCTATTGAAAATATACATAGGAAAGAGATGAATTGGGATAAGAGATAGTTAGAGAAGGCTGTATCATCTTTAAGTTGCAAGCCTATCTTAAAAGGTACCTGGGATTTGTTGTAGTCCATTACGGTGGGATGCCAGACACAGAGACCACTGCTTTGAAAGAAGAGTTTATTACTCGCAGTTTCCAAGAGGAAGGGCCATGCTACCCAGGCAAGACCACACAGAGAAGCTCAGAGGGATCTAGGGCAGCAGTCCCCAACCATATTGGCACCATGGACCAGTTTTGTGGAAGACAATTTTTCCATGAACTGGGGGAGGGTCCAGGTCAGGGATGGTTTCAGATGAAACTGTTCCACCTCAGATCATCAGGCATTAGATTCTTATAAGGAGCGTGCAACCTAGATCCCTTGCATGCACAGTTCACAATAGGAATCGCGCTCCTATGAGAATATAATGCTGCTGATGATCTGACAGGAGGCGGAGCTCAGGCAATAATGCTCACCCACTGCTTGCCTCCTGCTGTGAGACCCAGTTCCTAACAGGTCAAGGACCAGTACTGGTCTGTGGCCCAGGGCTTGGGGACCCCTGATCTAGGGGACAGCATGGGCCAGATCCTTTATTGTGGTTTTTGTGGGGAAGAATGTGCAGGCACGTTTGACCCAGGTGAGAATTGGCTGGTTTGACCTGTTGGCTGTAGGAGTAGCCCCCAGTTGTCTAGTACCTTACCTGGCCCTGGGATGATTTAGGGCAGGGGAAATAGTGGCTTAGTTGTGAGAGTTAAATGAAGGGTGTAGTTCGAGGTGTGGGCTGTGGATTGGTTGGTCTGCATAGGAAAAGTGGGCTTGCAGGTGAGTTTCTTATTATCTGAAGGAATTAGCTAGCCCTGGGAGGGCAGTCTCTCCTGGATTAGTAGACCCCAAGATGTCAAAGCATCTTAAAATGCAGAAAGTAAAAAGCATTATACAAAACCTTCTTGAAACCTTTACAATCCAGTTGAATTAACCCAGGTGACACTTTTGCATCCAACTTTTTACTTTTACATCCTTCCACTAATTTCAGAGTCAGTTGTGAGCAGCCACCCGATGCCAGGGAGCAGTTTGTGCTCTGAGGGGGTGACAGCTGGGTAGAGTGACCCTGCAGGGGTACCAGGGCACAGAGAGACTCACAGGAAGAGGGAAACTCAGTCCCCGAGAGCAGAGGGAGATGCTCAGGCTGAGTCTTGGAAGAAGCCCACCTTTTCCCTGTGTGAGACCCGCACTTTCCAGGCGGAGGAACCAAAATCAAAATGCAACTTTCTCTTTTGCTTCCACCATCCCTGGAAGGTCTCCTCATGACCATGGTCCTTCTCTCTCTGTGGGAAACTGAGGCAGGCCTTGAGGTCCACTCAGTCATAAGCAACAGACTCTCCCCTGGACTACTGTGTATTTTTTATTTGTTTTTGTTTTTGTTTTGAGACGGAGTCTCTCCCTGTTGCCCAGGCTGGAGTGCAGTGGGGTGATACCGGCCCACAGCAACCTCTCACTCCTGGGTTGAAGTGATATCCCTGCCTTAGCCTCCCAAGTAGCTGGGATTACAGGTGCCCACCACCACGCCCAGCTAATCTTTGTATTTTTAGTAGAGACGGGGTTTCACGATGTTAGCCAGGCTGGTCTCCAACTCCTGACCTCAGGCAGTCTGCCCACCTTGGCCTCCCAAAGTGCTGGGATTACAGGCATGAGCCACCACGACCAGACAGATTTGTGTATTTTTTAAAAATTAATCCTCTGTGTTAGCTCAGACATAGCCAGAGAAGAAAGCACACATTGTAAGTACTGAACCTAGTAACTCTTGACAGGTGAACAAACCCATGGAACCAACACTTAGATCAGAAGTAAAACATCTCCAGCATCCCCGGGAGCCCCGCCCCTCCTTCTCCCAGTCACTCATACCACACTCCTCATGGGCACCTGCTATCCTAACTTCTAATGTCACAAAAGAATTCTTCCTGGCTTTCAGCTTTATAAATAGAATCATATGTAATTGACCCTTTTATTTCTTGCTTTTTTCATTCAACATGTCGGTTAGATTCACTCATCTTGTTGCAAGTAGCTCTGGTTTCCAATTTTCCATTGTGTGAGTACCTCGCAGTTTTGTTTTCCCCACTCTCCTCCCAGTGTGAGGCTATTGTGGATACACAGGCATGGCTATTCTCGTGTATTGCTTTGGATGAACATCCATCTGTTGGTTACACCAGAGGGGAAGTCTGTAGGTTATAGGATGTAGGGTATACCTATAGGTATATAGGTATAGGTATGTTTAGCTTTGGTAGATACTGCCAAACTGTGTGTTTTCCGAAGTTGTTCGTATTAATTTTCACTCCCACCAGGGGTGTATGTGAGTTCTGTTTACTGAGGAATCTGATATCTGTGGTGTGCTGGCGCCTCCCTCAAACCTCAGCTGTCGCTTCCTGCAGAAGCACAGAGAGAATTGCTTCCCCTGCCACTGGGCAGAGGCTTGAGAGCACTCTGAGGCTGCCCTATTTGCCAGCATTTCTCGATCATTTCAAAGTAGATGACACATGTTTTTAAGGAGTCAGCTAATTCCCTCCTAGCAAGCATCAACATTTTACAATGTCTTTATGTATTTGGTCATAAACATTTTATTTTCTCCTATTTTTGGCCCTATCTACTTATAGGTAGGACAGGGATGGCAAGTAGGTTTCACGTTGTGTGCCAGCTTCCTCTGCCTGGCATTAAGTGCCCAGAACAGTGTGTTGAGTAGGATTCTAAGGCTGTTATCTGGACTCAGGGTGGGGGGAGGGGAGGGTGAAAGCAAAAGAGGGAAATGGTGGGATGTGTGGTCTGTGTTTGCCATCCCTGCTGTAGGGGACACAAAAGGCAGTCTCAGTTCTCAGAAGTCCCGGCATTTGTAAGCCCCCCAGGGGACAGGGGGGCTACAGGCTAGGAGGGGCCAGCGTGGGGGTTTGTGTCCCTAGCTTGGCAGGGAAGGTGGGGTGACCCCCACTGATGGCTGCATTCCCAACCTAGTGGGGAGGCTGGGGGGATCCCTCAGTGACACGCCCATCCACATGATTCCACGCCCATTGTGCAGAACAGGGAAACCCTCCAGTGATGAGCTGGCTTTGTCCCCAGGCCTGGCAGGGACTGGATTTAGCACCTCTCCAGGAACAAACAGGTGCCCAGTCCCTCGTGCTCTGGAGTAAGGAAGAGAGAGGTGAAGCCAGCTGGACTTCCTGGGTGGAGTGGGGACTTGGAGAACTTTTCTGACTTACCAGGGGATTGTAAAACGCACCAATCAGCACCCTATAGCTAGGTTTGTAAAATGCACCAATCAGCGCTCTGTAAAATGCACTAATCAGCGCTCTGTAAAATGCACCAATCAGCAGGATTCTAAAAGTAGCCAATCGTGGGGGAGGATTGAGAAAAGGGCATTCTGATAGGACAGAAACAGAACATGGGCGGGGACAAATAAGGGAATAAAAGCTGGCCACCCCCCCCGCCCCCCAACCGGCAGCGGCACACCGCTCGTAGGAGGTGGAAGATCTGTTCTCTTGCTCTTCGTAATAAACTTTGTTATCACTCACTCTTTGGGTTCGTGCAATCTTTAAGAGCTGTAACACTCGCTGGGAACGTCTGCGGCCTCATTCTTGAAGTCGGTGAGACCAGGAAGCCACGGGCGGGAACCAATTCTGGACACAATGCCAGTCCAAATGCTTCCACGCCTAGTGTGTAGCACAGGGGAAACACCCCAATAATGGGCCGGCTTTGTCCTCAGGTCTGGCAGGGACTGCATTCAGCATCTCTCCAGGAACAAAAAGGTGCCCAGTCCTTGATGCTCTGGAGTAAGGAAGAGCTGGAGGGGCTGGCTGAGGGCACTGCTGCAGGAGCTGCTTGGCGAGTAGCTTTGAGCCACTCGCGGGAAAGTGGCTCCGTGTCATCCAACCTACGGAGCATGTCTATGTTGGCCCTGAGTTTATGCCGGGGAGACAGTGGTGAAGGTAGTTTTGATTGGTCCCAAACTGTCGATGTTGGTGACACGTGTGTGAATATAAAACGTTTAGGCAGAACACGGAAGGGATTAAAACCAAACTAAATGAGTTAGTAATTACGTGTGGTGGTAATTTTTTTCTGAAACACCTTTATTGTGATATAATTCACGTATCATACAATTCACCCACTTAAAGTGTAAAATTCAGTGTTTTCTTAGTATATTTACCGTATGTGCGTCACCACCCCAGTCAATTTTAGAGCATTTTCATCACCTCAAAAAAACATACCATACCCTTTATGTCGCACCCCGGATTGGCCCCTGTCCCCGACTGAGTCCCAGACAACTGCTAAGCTGGTTTCTGTCCCTGTGGGTTTTTCTGTTCTGGATGTTGAATGGAATCATGCGGGGTGTGATCTGTGGTATCTGGCCTCTTTGACTTAGCATAATGTCATCAGGGTCCACCCATGTTGCACTGTGATTACTGGAGTTTTTGGGGTCTTACCAGTGCCTTTAAGTGCCTTGAGCATCACCAGCATAAGGGTTTTTGCTGTGGTCTGAATGTTTGTGTCCCCCACCCCCGAATTTCTATGTTGAAATTCTAACCTCCATGGTGATGGTATTAGGAGGTGGGGTCCTTGGGAGGTGATTAGGTCATGTGGGTGGAGCCCGCATGAGTGGGTTAGTGCCTTTATAATAGAAGTCCCAGAAAACTGCCTTGTCTCTTCTGCCAGGTGAGGACACAGTGATCCATCTGTGAACCAGGATGTCACCATACACCAAATCTGCTGGTGTTTTAATCCTGGGCTTCCCAGCCTCCAGAACTCTGAGAAATAAATTTCTACTGTTTATAAGCCACCCCGTCTGTGGTATTTGTTAATAGTAGTCCAGAGAAAGGCAGTTATGTCGTCCTGTGTCATTGGGGCTGGTGTTGTGGGGACCCTCTCCCACCACCAGCAGGGATGCTGCAGGACAGTGGCATTGCTCAGAAAGCAGGACAAGGACTGAGTGAGGCAAGTGAGATGCTTACCTCTGCAGCAAGACTTAAGGTGGCTCATTCTTGAGACAAAGGAAGCAAAAATTACTGGGTTAGGGAGAAATCAACAGGTTACTGACAGTTTTTGTGAAAGTGATGGAAACCTACAAGTATTCAAAAAGTTGAATTGACTTCTGTTCATCACAGAACACAATCAACAGAAGAGGCTCCGTGGGTGAAAATATTTACCAATTGTATAGTTGATAAGAGGTTACTATCCGGAATGTATAAAGAACTCCTACAGCTCAACAAGAACACAAACAACCCAATTTGAAAACAGGCAAAGGATTTGAATAGATATTTCTCCAAATAATATATACAAATGGCCAGTAAGCACATGAAAAGGTGCACAACATCACTAATGGTTAGGGAAATGCAACTCGAAACCAGAGTGAGATACCACCTGACACCCACTGCAATGACTATGATTTTTTGAAAACCCAGAAAATAAGTGTTGGTGAGGATGTAGAGAAGTTGGAAGCCTTGTACACTCTTGGTGGAACGTAAAATGGCACAGCTGCTGTGGAAAACATTATGACATTTTCTTAAATCATTAAACAGAGAATTGCCACATGATCCAGCAATTCCCCTTCTGGGAATTTACCCAAATAATTGAAAGCAGGGACTCAAATAGATATGTGCACACCCATGTTCATAGCAGCATTATTCACAGCAGCCAAGAGCTGAAAACATCCCAGGTGTCCATCTACAGATGAATTATCAAGAAAATATGGTAGATGCATCTGATAGAACATTCTTCAGCCTTAAAAAGGAAGGAAATCTCGACACGTGCTACCACATGGATGAACCTTGAAGACATGCTGAGTGAAATAGGCCAGCCACAAAAGGACAAATACTGCCTGATTCCACTTGCAGGAGGTACCTGGAGTAGTGAATCCACAGAGAGAGAAAGTAGAATGGGAGTTGTTGGGGGCCTGTGGGAGAGGGAATGGGGATTTGTTTAGTGGTGACAGAGTTTCAGTTTGGAAAGATGAAAAAGTTGTGGAGGTGGATGGTGGTGATGGTAGCACAACGAGGTGAATATGTTTAATGCCACTGAACTGTATGCCGACAAATGGTGAAGATGGTAAATTTTATGTTGTGTGTATTTTACCACAATTTAAAAATTAGGGTCTAGTTTTTGTAGCTTTGTTTGAACCTTTGGGAAGAAAACTTAGGGTCTAGTTTCTACAAATTTTTTCTTTAATGTAAATAATAGCAACATCAATAACACCGGCAAATAGCGTTGGCACTCTGCATTTTTACCTGTCTAATCTCATTTGATCCTCACTGGGGTCCGGGAACCTGAAGCCCAGAGAGGTCACATGGCTTGTCCTGGGTCACTCCATGGCAGTTAGGACTGTGAGTAGTCTGACTCTGTCACCCGTGCTGCGCCTCCTTCCTCCTCGAAACAGGCTCCTCACATCCAAGGATACTGGCCTTGGTGTGCCCACTGTAAGTTCTCGGGCTTGACACATGCCAGCCTCTTCCCAGCCCTCTGCCCTGCTCTGCCTACATGCTCAGCCTTCCCACACTGCCTTCCCTTTGAGAATATCTGAAGGTCACATACCCATCCCATTTGTACTTCTGTAAGAGAATCGTGGGGGCATCCCCCTCTTTTTGTTGTATAAGCCCTTTCTACTCCCAGACAGGCTGATAGACCATAAATAAGGGGGGCAGGCTAGCTGTTAAGTGCCCCAAAGAGATTTGTGAAAAATTACTGTGGCCTCATTTGCAAAGCTCTGCGGTGTCGTTCCCAATGACCCGAACACTGAGGGGTACTCTTAAAATAAATCTGTCAGCCGCCTGCACACCCAGATGTCGAGGTCAGGGAACTAACCAGGAGGTTTTCAGAATTTTCCTAAGAATTAATCACAAACTCAGTGAAATAACTGATGGAAAAGATTTATTTGGATGTCTATTCCCTGGGGTCATTGAAGGGTTATTTTATTTGATAAATCATGCTTTCCAGACAAGCTGATCTCCCCTCCCTTTCCCCGGATGATCCTTCAGACTGAGGAAAATGTCTTGCCATTTATGATAGCTACTTCAATCTTAATGCCTAGCCTAGAGATGTGATCATATGAGATAATTCCTTGAATGTTTTTGAGACGTGGGAGAGTGAACTGTTTCAGGAGAGCTGGACTCCTGTCCAGTTGATCACAGCAAAGGGAAACAGTTGAAGCCAAAGAGGATATAGATCAAAGGGTACAAAATTTCAGTTAGATTGGAGTAAGTTTTAGTGATCTATTTCACAAAATGATGACTAAAATAAATAATGCCTCGTATATTTCAAAATTGCTTAAGAGTAGATTTTAAATGTTTTCACCACAAAAAGATAAATATATCAGCCAACAAACATGAAAAAAAGCTCATCATCACTGATCATTAGAGAAATGCAAATCAAAAACCACAATGAGATACCATCTCATGCCAGTTAGAATGGCAATTATTAAAAAGGCAGGAAACAACAGATGCTGGTGAGGCTGTGGAGAAACAGGAACAATTTTGTTGTTGTTGTTGTTTTCAAGACAGAGTCTCGCTCTGTCACACAGGCTGGAGTGCAGTGGCGCGATCTCAGCTCACTGCAAGCTCTGCCTCCCGGGTTCACGCCATTCTCCTGCCTCAGCCTCCCCAGTAGCTGGAACTGCAGGCACCTGCCAAAACGCCTGGCTAATTTTTTGTATTTTTAGTAGAGACGGGGTTTCGCCATGTTAGCCAGGATGGTCTCGATCTCCTGTCCTCGTGATCCGCCTGCCTCGGCCTCCCAAAGTACCGGGATTATAGGCGTGAGCCACCGTGCCCGGCCTAGGAACGGTTTTATACTGTTGTGGGAGTGTAAATTAGTTCAACCATTGTGGAAGACAGTGTGGCAATTCCTCAAGGATCTAGAACCAGAAATACCATTTGACCCAGCAATCCCATTACTGGGTGTATACCCAAAGGATTATAAATCATTCTGCCACAAAGACACATGCACATGTATGTTTATTGCAGCACTATTTACAATAGCAAAGACTTGGAACCAACCCAAATGCCCATCAATGATAGACTGGATAAAGAAAATGTAGCACATATACACCATGGAATACTATGCAGCCATAAAAGAGAATAAGTTCATGCCTTTTGCAGGGATGTAGATGAAGCTGGAAGCCATCTTTCTCAGAAAACTAACACAGGAACAGAAAACCAAACACTGCATGTTCTCACTCATAAGTAGGAGTAGAACAGTGAGAACACATGGACACAGGGAGGGGAATATCACATACCAGGGCCTGTCAGGGGTTGGGGGCAAGGGGAGGGAGAACATTAGGACAAATACCTAATGCATGCAGGGCTTAAAACCTAGATGATGGGTTGACGGGTGCAGCAGACCACTATGGCACATATATACCTATGTAACAAACCTGTACATTCTGCACCTGTATCCCAGAACTTAAAGTAAAATAAAAAAAATTTTTAAAATGGGAGGTGATTTGTGAATTAGCTTGATTCAATCATTCTGCAATGTAAACATTACTAAGACATCACACTGTACCCCATAAATATGTAATATAGAATTATTTCTCAACTAAAAATAAAATTAAAAAAAGAAACTAGATAAAGAGCAGCATAATCAACCCAAAGCAAATAGGTGTCAGGAAATCATAAATGAAAGAGCAGAAATCAATGAAATGGACAACAGAAAACCAATGGAGAAAAACCAATGAAAAAGGAGCTGATACTTTGACAACATCAACAACATTGACAAAACTCTAGCAAGAAAAAAAGTTAGAAGACACAAATTCCCAATGTCTGGGAAGAAACCGGGATATAACTACAGACCCAGCAGACATCAAAAGGATAATAAGGGAATAATAGGAATGGCTTTACACAAATGAACTTCACAACTTAGATGAAATAGATCAATTTCTTGGAAAACACGAACTAACACAACTCGTACACTATGAAGTAGAGAATTTGAATAGCCCTATAATTATTAAGGAAATTGAATTTATAATTCTAAAACTTCCAAAAACAAAATCTCCAGGTCCAGATGGTTTCACTGGAGAATTCTATTAAGCATTTATAGAATTAATACCATTTCTACACAATTTCTCTGAAAAAATAGAAGGAACATTTCCAAATTGATTTTTGTGAAAGTAATATTGCCATGCTACCAAAATCCAGACAAAGACAGTATAGAAAAATAAAATTACAGGCCAATATCCCTTATTAATGTAATATAGATACAAAAATCCTTAACAAAATAATAACGAATAAAATTCAACATATCTGAAAGGAGTTATATACATCATTGCCAAGAGGGATTATTCCAGGGATTCAAAACTGGTTTGATATTCAAAAATCAGTCAATTTATTCTATCATATCAACAGGCTAAAGAAGAGAAACTGCATGGCTGTATCAATTGTTGGAGAAAAAGCATTTGACAAACTCAAGCACCTTTTCATAACTAAAAAGGAAACTTAGAAAAATAGGCATAGAGAACGTCCTCAACTTGAAAAAGAGCATCTACAAAAGACCTACAGCTAACACACTTAATGGAGACTGAATGCTTTTCCCCTAAGATCAGGAACAAGGCAAGCATGCTCATTCGTACCATTTTTTTCAATATAGAACATAATGCTGTAATTTCAAGCCAATGTAGTATGGCAAGAAAATAAAATAAAAGGCATAAAGATTAGAAAAGAACAAATATAACTAACTCTGTTTGTGGATGACATGAGTATCTATGTAGAAAATCCCAAAGAATCTTTAAAAAACAAACAGAACAAACAAGCCTCTTAGAATTAATAAGTGAGTTCAGCAAAGTTGTAGGATACAAGATAAACATACAAAATTCAATTGTATTTCTTGTGTATTAATAGTGAACTGTATAGTAACAGTAATACTGCATATTAATAGCATATGGACACTGAAATTAAAAATCGCTTAAAAAGATACATAAGTGTAAATCTAACAAAACATACACTGAAAACTGCGTTAACAATGAGGAAATAAATAAATTGGAAAATTCAATGTAGTAAATATGTCCATTTCCCCCCAGTTAATATGTGGGTTTGGGCTGGGCACAGTGGCTCACACCTGTAATCAATCCCAGCACTTCAGGAGGCCAAGGCAGGCAGATCACCTGAGGTCAGGAGTCCAAGACCAGCCTGGCCAATATGGCGAAACCCCATCTCTACTAAAAATACAAAAAAAATTAGCTGGGCCTGGTGGCGGGCACCTGTAATCCCAGCTACTCAGGAGGCTGAGGCAGGAGAATTGCTTGAATCCAGAAGGCAGAAGTTTCAGTGAGGTGAGATCACGCAATTGCACACCAGCCTGGGCAACAAGAGCAAAAATTCCATCTCAAAAAAAAAAAAGAAACTGGGTTTGATTCAATCCCTATCAAAATCCCAGCAACACTTTTTTTGGAGACAATGACAGTCTTATTCTAAAATGTATATGGAGACGAGGTGTGGTGGCTCACGCCTGTACACCCAGCACTTTGGAAGTCTGAGGTGAGAGGATCACTTGAGGCCAGGAATTCGAGACCAGCCTGGCCAACATGGCAAAACCTTGTCTCTACTAAAAATACAAAAATTAGCTAGGCATGGTGGCGTGCTCCTGTAATTCCAACTATCTGGGAGGCTGAGCCATGAGAATCGCTTGAACCCGGGAGGCGGAGGTTGCAGTGAGCTGAGATGGTGCCACTGCACTCCAGCCTGGGTGACAGAGCAAGACCTGTCTCAAAAAAAAAATGTATATGGAGAGACAAATAATTTTGAAAAATAAGAATTAAATGGGAGGAATTAATTTTTTGATTTCCAGACTTATAGCCACAGTAATCAAGACTTGGTGGTTGGTGGAAAGATAGATCAATGGAACAAAGAGAGAATCCAGATAGAGACACACAAATATGCCCGACTAATTTTTGACAAAAGTCAAAAGGAATTAAGCAAAGAAAAGATAGATTTTTCAACAAATGTTGGAACAATTGGACATCTATAGGCAAAAATAGTCAACCTCATCCCAAGTCTCATATCTTTCACTAAAAGTGACTGAAAATGGGTCATGCAATCAAATGTAAAAATAAAATTATAAAACATTTAGAAAAAACATAGGAGAAAGATCTAGGGCTAGGCAGAGTTCTTAGATCAACACCAAAAGTGTAGGAGCAAAAATATGTAAGTTGGCCTTCATCAAAATTTAAAACGTTTACTCAATGAATGATCCTTTTGAGAGGATAAAAAGATAAACTATAGACTGAGAAAATATTTACAAGCCGCATATATAACAAAACCATGTACTATATATGATTTGTCTTTTATGCTGAGTTAAAATTGTTTTATTATTTGTTTAGTGTCTCTGTTCCTAATTTACTCTCAAACTTCCCAGGAGAACTGAAAATCTCCTCTGAATACAGTCCTACCCATCAAGCGTTCTGTCAGCTTCATTTTCTTAGAGACGTTTCCATTGAGCCTGTTTCCTGCTTCAGTCTGAACAAGTCAGCCTATAGGCAGTCTATATATTTACCATGCTAGGACATCCTTTTCCCATTCTCTTAGAACTTCCTCTATCTCTTTTCTGTGTTAGATCCCATCTTCCCTTTTTTTCTTGGCTTAGTCCCTCATTTCAAGGAAGAAGTACCTCTTCCAGTACTTTCTTATCTAAAATTAAAAAGACTAAAACAAGCACAAGCCAGGATGTGGAGTAATGGGGACCCTCGAACAGTGCTGGTGAGTGTGTAAATTGGTACAGCCACTTTGGAAAGTGGCTTTGTATTCTCTGCTAAAGCTGAAAATCCCCAGGGACCCAGCAGCTCTGATCAATAGGTATTTTGTACCCAAAAGAAATATGCACATGTATGTACCAGCAGACTAGTACAGAATATCAAACAGCATTAATCTTATTGCAAAAAAATTAGCAACAATCCAAACGTCCCGTGACAAGAGAATAGATATATAAATGGCAGCATATTCACACAATGTAATATACAACAGTGAACATGATCAACTATATTTATATGCAGTAAGGTAGATGAATCTTGTAATTTTGAATGAAAGATGCCAAATACTAAAAATATTGTATGATTCTATTTGTATCAAGTTAGAAAACCAGGTGAAACTAAACTATAGTGGTAAATGTATAAAGGTGGAAGCCTAGAAGTGATTATTTAAAAAGTAAGGAATGTGGTGAGCTTTTGGTGCAGCAAGTGGGAGGAATGACAGGGAATGAGGCATGGAAGGCCTTTTAGGAACATGGCCATGGGCCGGTGGGTGCTTGCTTAATGATAAATCATTGAACTGAATATGTTTGCTTTGTGCACTTTTTGTGTATGTGTGTTAGGTTTCACAATATGAACGGTTAAGAAAATGAGGAAAGATGAAAACAAACCCACCCACCCCCAAATTAGATACTATTATATTAGTTACTGCATGGACAAAAATGTCTAAGTCCAACATTAGCAAGCATTGGTGAGGATGTGGATTAGCCTGAATTCACACCCTATTGGTGGGAGTATAATTTGTTTGAATTATTTGAAAAATGGTTTGATCTTACCTAGTAATGTTGTGTGTGCATGTACCATAGGGCAGAACAGTTCTGCAGGGGTGCTCCACGGGTTTCCTGCTGGGACTGGAGAGCTGGCAGCTCCCTGGAATCTGTTCTTTTCCTGCTGTATATTGGAAGTTCCAGGGAGAGGGTGCAGAAACATGAAGCCTGTGGAGGTCTTAAGTTCAGAAGCTGCAAGCTGACACCTCTACCCATATTCTCCTGCTGAAAGCCACTCGCAAAGCCCACCTGACATGGAGCAGGGGGTGGCAGGGGCTAAGTCTTAAGCTAAGCTGAGTTCCTCTGGTGAATATCAGCACATTTCTTGGCTCTGAGGATGCTCCATTACCCCTCCCCCAGTATTTAGGAGAGGCGGACATGTTGATACCTGGAGGTTTTATAAGTATGGCCTCAGTCTCAGCAATATTCATGCAATGAAAAATTATTTGTTATGGTTATAAATGGCCAATATTTGTCTGAAAAGTATTTGTACTTCGAGTTGGCTGCTGTAAACATATTATCTATTGGAAAGCAGGGCACTTCTTAGTCTAAGGAAAATAACTTGTTTCATGTTCAGTGTTATTTTGAATAAAATTGCATAGATTTTACTGATTTTTTTTTTTTTTTGAGATGGAGTCTTGCTCTGTCATCCAGGCTGGAGTGCAATGGCATGATCTCAGCTCACTGCAACCTCCGCATCCTGGGTTCAAGCGATTCTCCTGCCTCAGCCTCTTGAGTAGCTGGGATTACAGGTGCATAGCACCACGCCGAGCTAATTTTTGTATTTTTAGTAGAGACGGGGTTTCACTGTGTTGGTCAGACTGGTCTTGAACTCCTAACCTTGTGATCTGCCCGCCTCAGCCTCCCAAAGTGCTGGGATTACAGGTGTGAGCCACCGCGCCTGGCCTGATTTTCTTTTTTAGTAGTTTTACATCTAGGACTTTATTATTTTTTATTTACGTATTTTTGAGACAGAGTCTCAGTATGTTACCCAGCCAGGCTGGTCTCAAACTCCTAGGCTCAAGCAATCCTCCTGCCCTGGCCTGCCGAGTAGCTGCAAATGCAGGTGGTGTACCACCACACCTGGCTAGGACTTTACTTTTTTAAAGCTGCTTTTCTCCTAGGCACTGGTAACTCTGTTCTCTTCCCTCTCACTGAGACTCTCATACTCTCTCTTCGTCTAACACTGCTTTTTAAAATACTTGAAATGCATTTTTTTCTTCCATGGTTTTCCATTTTCCAAGCCGTTTTTATTCATTCAGCATTTATTGAACACCTACAACTTGTTGCCATTGTCAATACTGTGGTGATAAGATGCACCTGTAGCTGGATAAAGTCAGTCTTCAGTAGCAGTGAGGCAGGAAAACCAGACAAGGCCTCGAGGGTGGCGCTGGAGTTGGGTCTTGATGGATGAGCAGGAGTTTGATAGGCCATGAAGTGAGGCAGGAAATTTCTGACTGTGGAAGGAGAATGAGCCAAGGCACAGAGCTAGGATAGCACATCTCCGTGCATACATCAGCATGAGTGACTTTCAATCTATTTACCTTTATCTCATTTTGTAATCCACCTGCCATTTTCTCTAATGTATAGCTTAAGTTTCTTCAAATGTACTTTTGCTTTTTCTATACATTGCTGTTAAGATAGGAATTTGAAGTCCTCCTGATGGCCTGGGTCAATAGAAATTGTTTTTGCTGTACTACTTAAACACACTGAAACAGGCTCCTTTGAACTGAGCCATTTTCCTGTGTTCTGAACTGTGTCACTCACGCGTACCCTCGGGGGTCGAATGCCTGTTAACGGTGAGGTCTGTCTGTGTTCCTCTGTCTAGATTAAGTTTGACAGTGTGGAGGTGTGTGTCTGCTGTGAGCTGCAGCACCAGTCGTCCGGCTGCAGCAACCTCGGGGAGACGCTGAAGCTGAACCCGCTGCAGGAGAACTGCAACGCTGTGAGGCTGACCTTGAAGGTGACCCCGCTGGGCGCTGCTTGTGCATGCATTTCATTCCATGCCTTACAGACAGTTTAGGAAGCCTTATTAACATATAGATTCCTTTCAGCTCTTAACTTCCCGGGGTAGGTTCAGTGCAAGAGGGAATATCTTTCCAGAGAACATTTGAAAGGATTATATATTTTGATTTTGAAAGTGTTGCTTTCTGGATCTCACTTTGCATTTTTGCCATTTCATTGTCCTACCTCTGACATCTGCAAATTCGGATGCAAATGGTTGAAAGAGGTCTTTACAAATGATGATGGGATCATTCTACGGCTTTTCTGACATTTTTGGCTGTTATACCATCAGGGAACAAATGGGGATTTATTTTGCTTTTTAAAAGATATTTGGAGGAAAAAAATCAGACAGTCTCCCCTGGGAGTCTATTCTTATGTGTAGCATTTGATGTTTAAAAAAAAAGTGATTTGGAAAAATTGTTTATATTATTTTATTTTTTCTTCCGAGTGTTTTATTCTGAAAAGCAAAATTGGCTACTTAAAAATACATAAGAAGAGTGAACCCAATTCTTCTGTTTCCCCTGAATAAAACTGTGCCAAAACTTTTTAAAAAGATGTGGCACAAGCCGGGCGCAGTGGCTCACGCCTGTAATCCCAGCACTTTGGGAGGCTGAGGCAGCCGGACCACTTGAGGTCAGGAGTTCGAGACCAGTCTGGCCAACATGGTGAAACCCCCTCTCTACTAAAAATACAAAAATTAGCCAGGTGTGGTGGTGGGCGCCTGTAGTCCCAGCTACTTGGGAGGCTGAGGCAGGAGAATCATTGGAACCTGGGAGACAGAGGTTGCAGTGAGCCGAGATTGTGCCACTGCACTCCAGCCTGGTGACAGAGCAAGGCTTCATCTCAAAAGAAAAAAATGGATAAATAAATATAAAAAGATGTGGCACAGTCCAAGGAACTCTTAGTTGGTGGTAAAATTGTGTTTGCAGTATGGAGGGGGTTCTAGCATGTGTGTAGGGAATGCAGTATGCAGGGGATGGGAAACTGCAGAGAGCCACCTCGGATCTGGGGAGAGGAGGAAAGCGTTGACCTTGAGTGCTTGTGATTAGTCCTCCATGGGTGGTCTCCGGCTGGTAGACAAGCAAAGATGTACAGAGAGAGAGGATGCGGCTCATCTCCATGGTAGGACTACGCCTGGCTCACAGCGCCTGTCATGTTTTGCACGGAGGAATGGTCCAAGTTGGATGGTCCCAGCAGCTCACCAGAGTGACAGATGCAGCGGGGTTGGAGGAATCAAGAACTGCAGCACTCCAGGGCCCATCCCATCATGGGACCAGGTATTTCATGCTGCCCACATTACCTACGCCCACATTCTACCTCACTGCATCCTGGAGCCTGCCTGGGTCAGTGCCTGAGGTCTGCTGTGGCCTTTCACAGCCCTCCTGGGAGGGGACACGGGCAGCCGTTGCTCACTCTGCGATCTCATTCTGACAACTGCTAAGTCACTTCTTCAACCTGGGAATGTTTTCTTGAGTATGGGGATGCATTTGGGCCTCACGTTACCTCCCGTTCCTCAGTTGGCTGGTTGGGGTGTTCAACAGGCTCCTCTAAGGTCCTGGCGTCCCCCTTGAACGCCTTCACTCATGGGATGCAGGACCCGGTTTTCATGACTCTCCAGCCCCTGCAGCAGTGACTGTGGCTTGAAAGGTAATGCTGGTGAAAAAACAACACTGTCTCTAAGAATGCAGTCTCAGGTCTAGGGGGAGCTGGTGACCTTGCAGTCTCACTCTTATTCACTGTTCTGGTACATTGGTGAGAAAAGCCCTTGGTATGAGGTGGCAAAAACGGCATAGAGTAAAGGCCACTGAAGTCAAGAAGTTCCAGGGAAGGCTGGGAGCCTAGCTGAATGCATGGCACATCCCCATGGGTATTCAGATTGCCCAGGACACTGGTAAGAGTTGAAAGCAAAGGAAAGACTACACTATTTTAAACTCCCTCATGAATTTGTGTACAAAGCCTACTTAGAGATAGGAACTATCAAAACTGGTGGCAGGAGGCTCAAAGGAGGCAGGAGTTGTGATTAAGGTGTGAGGCCAATGGTCTGGAAGTGGCAGCAGTGGCTTAGGTGCTAGGAGAAGAGGCAGCCTGCCCCTGTCCCCCACCTGAGGGCCTATGCAAGGAGCAACAGCCTTGGCAGGGACTGACTTTCATCTGAGATCAAGAGGACCAGGGACTATTGGAAGCGAGTATCTGTTTATTGCTGTCGTCCAATTTTGTTGCTTTTCAGAATTGTCTTAGCTATCATTTCCTTTGTAATTCCATATAAATTTTAGAATCCACTTGTGCATTTTCTACTAGAATCCTGCTGGGATTTTAATTGAGATTGCATGGAGTCCACATGTCACTTTGAAGAGACTTGACATATTCATGATCTAGTTCTTCATTTATTTAAGTCATACTTCATTTCTTCAGTGTTTCTTTTTTTCATCAGTCTTGTGTAAATTTCAGTATATAGATCTTAACATATTTTGTAATAGTTATGCTTAAAGTATTCCACATTTATTGGTGCTATCCTAATGGTATTTTTTAATGGTCTCTTATTCACTGCTAGCACATAGAAATTTGATTTTTGTTACCAATCTTGTATCCTGTGGTCTTGACTAAACTCAGTTCTGGTAGCTCTTTTGCAGATTCTTTGGGTTTTCTTATGTAGACAGTCATGTGCTATGCAAAGAGAGGCAATTTTACGTCTTCCATTCTCCAGACAGAGCCAATAGGACAGATACAGATAGGTGAGAGGGAATTTATTGAAAGAATTGCTCACATTACCATGGAGACTAAGAAGTCCTATGACAGTCCCATCTGCAAGCTGGAGACCCTGGAAAGCTGGGAGTTTGGCTCAGTCGAAGTCAAAAGGCCTCAGAACCAGGGAAACCAATGGTGGAACTCTCAGTCCAAGGCCAAGAACCTGCGGGGAGTGGTTGCACCAGTGTGAGTCCCAGGGTCCAAAGGCCAGAGAGCCTGAAGTTCTGATGTCCAAGGGCAGGAAAGGGTGTCTCAGCTCCAGAAGAGCAAAAGAAAATAATTCGCTTTTCCTCTGCCTTTTTGTTCTATCCAGGTCCCCAGACGATCAGATGTTGCCCCCCAACATTGAGGGTGGATCTTCCCCACTCAGTTCACAGACTCACACACCAATCTCCTCTGGAAACACCCTCACAGACACACCCAGAAACAATGCTTTGCCAGTTCTCGAGTATCCTTCATCCAGTCAAGTTGACACCTAAAATAAATCAGCACACATTGCAATCTGGATGCCCCTTACTTCTTTTCCCTGTTTTATTACACTGACTAGACCGCCCCGTAGAGTGTTGAATAGATATGGTGAGAACAGATGTCCTTCTCTTGTTCCTGCTTTTAGGGATTAAGTATAATGTTAGCGCTAAGTTTTTCATAGATGTTTATTATCAGGTTGTAGAAGTACCCTCCTATTCCTAGTTTGCTGAGAGTGGTTTTTGTTTTGTTTTTAATACCACGAATGGCTGTTGAATTTTATCAGTCTTTTACTACGTCTGCTTAGATGTTGCTATACATTATCTTCTTCAGTCCACTCAAATGGTGAATAACACTGACTTTTGAGTGGTAAGCCAGCCTTGCATTCCCAAGATAAACCCCACTTGGTCATTTTTTCCTCAACTGTGTCCAGTCCACTGCCGACCCTGTCTATCAAAGGCATTCTTCATCTCTGTGCCTGTTTTTAATTCCTAGTATTTGCATTTGACTCTTCCTCATTGCTTCCACCTCTCTGCTACCTTACCTCAGTGATCTTCCATCTTGTCCACCTTTTCCACTAGAGCTGGTATCTGACTGCATACGCCCCAGGTAAGTGCTCATGTCTCTCCTTGGAGACTCTGTCTTTTCCTTAGAATTTGCTGTCCTGTGACCTCAGCTGTCTGATGGGTTCACCTTAAGTTGGGAATTTGCAGAACCCAATGTCTTCTTCTTGTTGTTGTAATGGTGGGGCAATGTTCTTTCCAGCTTTCTCCATCCTCAGCAGAATCTGGAATAATGTTCTGGAATAATGTTCTACATCATTTTTCCCCCTGGGTGCAGAATTCTTGAGGAAACTTTCTCTTAGGGGTTTATAGATGATATGTTATTCTCTTTTGCATTGAATATCTGTATAGGGAAAAATCTGAAAGTCAGCCAAATGCTTTCTCCCCTTTAGGTATGTGATGGTCATTAATGCTGTTTTAAAACATGTCTAGCTCTCCAACTTCCTTTTACATGGTAAGATTGTACTTCCCTGTCCCCTCATGATTGCTGGGGGCCATGTAAGCAAAGCTTATATGTACCACTTTCAAGTCAGAATGTTTAAATGTGGTTTGAGGTCTTCCAGAGCTCTCTTTCCCACTGGCACAGTAATTGGCAGAGTAGAGGTGATGGCAGTGCCATCAGCCTGGGTCACTACAATGAACAGAGCGTCCTGCACCCTACCCACATTGGAAATGTAGCATGAATGACTTAACAAACTCTTTTGAGACAGGGTCTCACTCTGTTGCCCAGGTTGAGTGCAGTGGCGTGATCACGGCTCACTGCAGCCTCAAACTCCCGGGCCCAAGAGATCCTCCCACCTTAGCCTCCCAAGTAGCTGGGACTGTAGGCATATGCCACCATGCCCAGCTAATTTTTTATTGTTTGTAGAGATAGGATCTCACTGGCCCAGGCTGGTCTCGAACTCCTGGGCTCAAGTGATCCTGCTGCCTTGACCTCCCAAAGTGCTGGGATTATGGGCATGAGCCACTGCCCCTATCCCTGTTCGGTTTTTGTAAAGCTTCTCTTCCTGGCTGTTTTCTGCAGCAGGCATTACCTTTTTCCTCTGCTTGCGATGTGATCTTGAGTCTTGGCAACTCCCTCCTCGGCTCCTTCTGTCTTTGTCTTTTTTTTCCATGAGCCCTTGTGTCTTCGTTTTTATCCCTGAGATTGCAGCAGCCTTCTCTCCTTGGTTACGGTTTGCACCCATGGATGTCTCTAGCTAGTTAATTACAGTGGAGTTTTCAGTGTATTTTATATCTTTTTCAGATCCCTTTTCTGAAGTATATGGATACTTCAAAGCACTAAGGCAGATTCCTAACCCTTAAATTCTATCTCAAGCCTTATGCTCTATTTAAATAGTTAGCATAATTAAGATTTTGTACTTCCTTCCCATAATTATAGATACTTCTTCCTCTGAGAGTCATGTGCCACATTATCTAGTTTTCTCATAATTAGTGGTGCAGTCATTTTTAATATAATCCTTACTCTTGAAAAGTCATCCAAGCCAAGCTGTGCCTGATGACTTTGACTGCAGTGAAAGGATCTTCTGCAGGGATCCGGTGTTGCTTTATTAAAACTCTTGGGCAGCAGAACAAATATGGGCCATTGGAAATGGAGCCACTCTGGGAAGAGGCTGCTCTACTCTTTTGCACGGATATCCAGGACAGCCCCTTCCTATCACCTGCAAAATGTTCTTGACGCTTAGCTAAAGAAGGAGCAAAGGAGAATGTTCCTTTGATTAATTTCCCTTTTGCTTGCTTCTTTTTGGTTGGCAATTAGAGCAGGTCCATTGATCTTTTCCATAGTCTAATTTGAGGCTCTGTTTATCTGATTAGTAACACTCCATGTCTGAATTTTCCATATTAAATTATGGATTATCTATACTTACTATGTAATGAACTCAATTTATGTGGGGGAAATCCTATATAATTGGCTTGGGAATCAAAGCACTTTGATTTTAGTTGTGTTTGAATTAACTGATACTGACTTAATGAGATTTGTCCAACTACTTGCTTCCTGTCAGGCACCCTCCCCTCCTTCCTCCCCTCCCATACCTGGAAGGCTGTACAGGCACAGCCCATCCTCAGGGAAAAAAGCAGAAACCAACTTTCTTCATGGCCGAGGAGGAATAAATTTGGAATCCAGAAGAGCATGCAGATGTTGCTTCACTCATCCCTCGGATTGTCTTTTGTTGGTTTGGAGGCCCCGAAACCCCTGGATCTCTGTTCTGCCCTTCCTGACTGGCCCTGCTCCTAGATTCTCTGTTTTTTTTTTTTAGCAGAGAACCCCTGGGGGCCAACAAGCCTCTCTCTTGAGGATATTGATGGTTTCTTACCTCCTTATGGGGCTGAGCGAGGAGCAGGGCAGAGGGCACAGAGGGGACCTGGAACTCCACCACACCACACAGGGATTCACAGAATTGTAGAGCCAGAGGGAGGGTGCATCCTGGGGTCCATTGACCGATGGTGCAGGTGTGAAGGCTGCAGCCCAGAGAGAGGGCAGGTGGCTCCTCCTGGGTTCCTGAGCAGGTCCTGGTGGAGGGCAGGGACCATCTGAGTGTCTCAGCCCTCCAGGACCCATGTCCCTGCTTCCCGATGACAGGGCCTGCCTCTGGGCATCTCATTATGAATAGTCAGGAAATAGGGTCTAAAAATTAGGATTTCAGTATCTGCCTTCTCAAAGCCTTTGACAGTGATGGACAAGTGCTACTGAAAAAGCAAGGCTACAGACCCCCGTTCCTGATGAAACAGTGTCTCGGCTTTTGTAACAAAAAATGACATAATAAATGCTTAAACAATAAAAAGATGTTTAGGTAGATTGATGGCCATTTTTGCCAAGTCAAACCCAGCGCAAGACTGTGACATATTTTTGGACCAGTATTCACAGTATTTTTTTTTAAGTTACAAAAATCAGAACTGTTAACTGGTGAAATATGCTTCGTAACATGTTGACACTGCATCTAGCCACCTTTAGTGCTTTGCTGTATTCAACAATGTCCTTATGCTTTTATTATAGTGACCTAATTCAAATCAAAGTTAAAGATCTTATTCTTCTTTCATGTACCTGGTTTAATTTACTGAGCCACAATAAACCAAATTACCCAGAGAAACCTTATCAATGGACAAGGAGATAAAAGTTTCCCAAGAAATCAATCAGTTATTGAGTTTATGTGCTTTCTTATCTTTGTCTCTAAGAAAGTTAAAAAAAAAAAAAAAGCAAGACAATTTCCAGCCTCCAGTGCTCTACTCTCACACACCACTCAGCACGAGACTTCTGACACCAGATGTATTCATTTCCCCCATACACCAAACCATTCTCCAGCAGACACCAGCTGGGTGTGCTCAGTTCAACTCAATTCTGACACTCTTTACCTGGAGACAGCGTTGGATCCCACATGTTAAGGGCTCAGCCCCACAAGACCACACTCACTTCTCATGCCAGTCACAAGCCCCAGGTTGTGACCTGTACTTCTGGCCAATGGGGTATAAACTGGGGCTTCCACAACCCCCTACTTGGGTTTGATTGAATTGCTAGAGTGGCTCACAGAACCCACGGAAAGGCTTTACTTCCATGCCCTTGTTGATTATAAAGGATATGAGGCAGGATGCAGGTGCACAGCCAGGTGGAGAGATGCATGTGGCGAGGTTGGGGGAGTCCTGAGCACAAGAGCCCCTGTCCCCGAGGAGCGAGGGTACGCCACCCTCCTGGCATGGGGATGTGTTCGCTGACGCAGAAGCTCTCTGAACCCCTCCGTTCAGGGACTTTTATTTAAGCTGCATCATGTAGGCAGGATCGATTTTTAACTCCGTTTCCAGCCTCTGTCCCTTCTCTGGAGAATGGGGAGTGGGGCTGAAAGCCCCAAGCTCGTCATCATGGCTTGGTCATTCTGGTGACCCAGCACCCATCTAGAATTCCATCAAGAGTCGCTTCATTAGAACAAAAGACACTCCTATCACCCAGGAAATTCCAAAGGATTTAGGAGCTGGGGTCAAACACCAAATACTAAAACAGAAGATTCTCTACTATGCAGCCATAAAAAAAGAATGAGTTCATGTCCTTTGCAGGGACATGGATGAAGCTGGAAACCATCATTCTCAGAAAACTAACACAGGAACAGAAAACCCAACACCATATGTTCTTACTCATAAGTGGGAGTTGAACAGTGAGAACACATGGACACAGAGGGGAACATCACACACCAGGACCTGTCAGGGGGTGGGGGCAAGGGGAGGGAGAGCATTAGGACAAATACCTAATGCATGCAGGGCTTAAAACCTAGATGATGTGTTGATGGGTGCAGCAAACCACCATGGCACATGTATACACATGTAACAAACCTGCATGTTCTGCACATGTATCCCAAAACTTAAAGTATAATTAAAAAAAGAAAGAAAAACTAACTATAAACAACAACAAAAAGATTACCTAGTGCCCCTGTCACTCAGGAAGTGACAAGGATTTTAGCAGCTCTTTAGCAGGGACTGAGGAGCAGAGACCAAAGACACATAATACATATCTTATTATTAATATTTCACACAGCCCCATGGTGAGTGCTGTCCAGCTTCAGCCAGACTCCACTGTGCGATACCGCCCCTCTCTCTATGCATGAGCCATGTCCACCTGTTCAGCCATCCCTGGACCAGTATGTGAGAGCTCCTTCTCATACTGCTTTTCTGTGGTGCCTCCCTGGCTAGCAGGCATCCCTGGATGAGCCCAAATATCTGCTATCTCTTTGTTTGCATCCTGAGCAACAAGACCAGTGGAGCATACCGCACAGCCTGTGGGTGAGCAGCTTATATGTCTGTGGTCACCAGCCTGACCTGGCCTCCTCACTGCCCGGCATTTCTCCTGTCTTTTTCTGGCTTACAGCGAGGGGCGTGGCACAAATTATACCCAGTAACTGTTTTTGAAATCAATAAGAGTTTTTAATTTATTCATTCAGAGAAAATTTTTGAGCACCTCTTCTGTGTCTGGGTTGGCCACTGGATGTACAGAGATAAGAGACACTGACTCTGCCCTCCAAGTCTACTGGGGGAAACAGACAAGAAAAACAGACAGTTGGCCAGGAGCAGTGGTTTCCATCTGTAATCCCAGCACTTTGGGAGGCTGAAGCGGGTGGATCACCTGAGGTCAAGAGTTCGAGACCAGCCTGGCCAAAATGATGAAACTTCATCTCTACTAAAAATACAAAAATTAGCCTGGCGTGGTGGCACACGCCTGTAATCCCAGCTACTCGGGAGGCTGAGGCAGGAGAATTGCTTGAACTCTGGAGGAGGAGGCTGAAGTGAGCAGAGATCGCACCACTGCACTCCAGCCTGGATGACAGAGTGAGACTCTGTCCCAAAAAGAAAAAAAAAGAAGAAAAGAAAGAAAGAAAAACAGACAGTGACAGTGTAATATGTTGTGTTTTCACTATGACAGGAAATTAAAATATTAACTTAGAAATTTTTTCAATCCTTCCCTCTGTCCTGAAAGAGAGCCATTATTTTGTTGAGTAGGATGACGGATGCAGTTTTCAGTGTGTATGGGTGATATACGGGTAGGTTAGCTATAGGAAAAGAACGGTAGCATCTAAGAAGCTGAGGAAGTGGGAATATATGAAAAAAATCTGGGATTCTATTGCTGAATGATACCAAACACAGCTCTAGGTATGTGGTAATGGGAACACAGATGGTTGGCCATGTATACACATACCTCACCTCTAATCCTAGCTGAAATGACAGAAAACCTACACAAAAATGGCTGAAGACCTGTACCCTTCCTTAATGGCCAATGCATCACTTGCATTTTTCTAGAATGTTCTAGAATTTTCTGCCAGACATATTGCATATAAGACCAGAACAAAGAAAGAGAAAGAACAACTTTCAACTCAGCTTTATGAGGCCTTCTGGGAGGTTACTGGAAGCCATACTAGGTCTCAAATATGCCCTCATTTTGAAGAACAAGGACTGATAGGTGTTTGATGGGTCAGATGTGGAATCACCTATGGTGCCGGTGGTAATTTATGGGGAGGGTGGGTTCTAAAGGCCTTTATAATTTTTATAAGTAGTGCTCCCACTGTTTGAAATGGATGGTGGACATTTTTAAGGTCTAATGCAATGTGCTGTGCAAACACAGCTTTAAGATACCACTCCTTCCCCTGCACACACAGCCTCCTTCCAGATTGCAGTCCCAGAGTTGAAATTCTGGAGCCACCACTAAGGGAGGTGCTGCCTTTGGAGTTTTTTGGCAGCTGTGATGTGGCAGGATTTAGGGCAGCTTCTTGGGAGACTCTGGGACCCAGATGGCTATGCCATACAGACTCCCTCCTTCCCCCAATGCAGGGACCCACAGTTCGGAGCACATTCAGATAAAAGGAACTACAGAGAGACAGTCCCTCCTTCCTTCCAGCTGTGTGGTCTCTGCCATGCCAGCACAGGCTGGGTGTCAGGATCTCAGGAGAGGGTTCTGTTTAGGGTTAGCACACACCACATGGTCGAAGATGGTCCAGCATAGATATTAGTAGACCCATTTTCACACTCTAAAGTACCCCAGTCACTCTAGTGTCCAAACAGAAAGTACGGGAGGAGCTCCACCGCCCCATTCGGGGGCCAAACACCAGACTGGAGAAAGTGCTGCAGATGGATGAGTAAACAAACGGGAGAGGACAGCATGGAGCCTACCTGGAGATCAGAGGTTATTTTTAAAGCATTTGGTAACTTCAGGGCTCTAAATGAGTATCAGAATGAGAGAGAGGAGAAGGCAATATTGAACCATATGAGATGTTCTAGAATAAAGAGACCGTGGTGGCTCACACCTGTAATCCCTGCATTTTGGGAGGCCGAGGTGGGCAGATCACCTGAGGTCAGGAGTTCGAGACCAGCCTGGCCAACACGGCAAAACCCTGTCTCTACTAAAAATACAAAAATTAGCCAGGTGTGGTGGCGGGCGCCTGTAATCCCAGCTACTCAGGAGGCTGAGGCAGGAGAATCGCTTGAACCTGGGAGGCAGAGGTTGCAGTGAGCTGAAATCACACCACTGCACTCCAGCCTGGGGAACAGAGCGAAACTCTGTCTCTAAATAAATAAAAAGGGACCATGGGAAGAAGGGGCCGTGGAAAAGAATACCTAAAAATGGCAGCAGGGCAAATGAAAGCACAGAATGTGTACTGTGTGAAAACTCATCAGACTCATGCTTCAAATGGGTGCCCTTCGTTGTGTGCCAGTTTTACCTCAGTGAAGCTGTTGGAAGTTTTCATGACAGGTAAGTGAGCAGGGGAAGAACAAAGGACAAAAGCAAAGGCAGGAAAGATAGGACTGGAATAATGCATGAATTCAGAGATGCATGGAGGGCATTGGGTGTGATTCCGAAACCGATAGGCACTGGTTCCAGGAAGCTGAGCAGGGAATCCTATAATCACAGGGGAGTGGAGCACAATTGTTCTGAGCAATTTGATATTCTGAGGTCGGGAGTTCAAGACCAGCCTGGCCAACATGCTGGGACAATATCTGGAAGGTATTATATTATTCTCATATTTTCTGTATGTTGAACTAGCTAATAACTTTTTTTTTTTTTTTGAGACAGAGTCTTGTTCTGTTGCCCAGGCTGGAGTGCAGTGGCATCATCTTGGCTTACTGCATGCAGCCTCAACCTCTCAGGCTCAAGTGATTCTCCTGCCTCAGCCTCCTGAGTAGCTGGAACTACGGCCACACACCACCACACCCATGGTCTCATACCGTTCAATACTGCCTTCTCCTCTCTCTCATTCTGATACTCATTTAGAGCCCTGAAATAACCAAATGCTTTAAAAATAACCTCTGATCTCCAGGTAGGCTCCATGTCCCATGGTCCCCAAAGTGAGAGGGGCCACAGGACAGGGCACTGGACAAAGGAGCAGAGCATCCATGGGAGACATAAAACCTACTAGTATTATTTTGCGCTGGTCCCGGGCTGGTTTCGCTGCATAGGCATCCTTTGGGAACTGGTTTATGCAGCCCTTTCAAATCCCATGAGCTGTCTTCTCCACCACCACCCCAACCGCAGTGAAGTCCATGAGGCGGACTTCATGATTTCCATGAGGAGATGGGAAAATGGAGGCCCCAGGATGTGCAGGGGCTGAGCTGCAGACTCAACTGGTGGTAGATCCAGATTTCCATCTTTAATGCCAGATCCATTGCTTCCTCCACTTCCAACCTGATCCGCTTAGTAGGAGACGGAGACTAGGTGGTGCCTGAAGAATCGCAGCAGAGCAGGGGACAGCCAATGGGTCATTTCCGTGCAAATGACCAGCGGTGCCCTCAGCAGGTCCTTGTTCTGTGCATCTCCTGGCACATCTGAAAGTTGAGCACTGCACCCTTAAAAAAGTTGTCAGTGGCTGGGTGCAGTGGCCCACACCTGTAATCCCAGCACTTTGGGAGGCCGAGGCCGGCGGATCGCTTGAGCTCAGGAGTTTCAGACGAGCCTGGCCAATATGGCAAAACCCCGTGTCTACTAAAAATACAAAAATTAGCTGGATGTGGTGGTGCGTGGCTGTAGTTCCAGCTACTCAGGAGGCTGAGGCAGGAGAATCACTTGAGCCTGAGAGGTTGAGGCTGCATGCAGTAAGCCAAGATGATGCCACTGCACTCCAGCCTGGGCAACAGAACAAGACTCTGTCTCAAAAAAAAAAGTTACTAGCTAGTTCAACGTGCAGAAAAGTATGAGAATAATATAATACCTTCCAGATTTATTCAATCTTACTATGTTTACAATATTTGCTTCTATTCTTTTTCTTTAAATAAGAAATATATTATCATACATTGTTGCAGACCCATCTGAGTCCCCTCCACTGCCACGGCTCTCTGTCCCTCCCTCTGTCTGAAATTAGAGATTGTCCAGAAGCAGCCACTATCCTGAGGCATCAGGGAATTTTTCATTCCCCTGCAGAGTTGTCTGCTTCACTGAAACTTTACATCAAAGTTGACGCATTTGGTACCGTAAGCCAGTTTCTATTCTCACCCCCATCAGGTTTGTGATACTGATCCATGTAGATAAGGGTTGCCTTAGTCATCTTCGTGGGGCTTCTGCATGGTCTTGCATTGAGCGAGTATTCCACAGGTTGCTTCTCCATCTCCTGTTCATGGACACTGGGTTGTTCCCAGTTTCTCATTATTCTAACAGTGCTAGAATGCGGAGTGATGTGCACTCGGCAGCGTGTGTGCACCTGCTGCATTTTCTCCAGCCTGCAGACTTGCTGGCTCACAGGGGAAGTGCATCTGCAGGACTTTAGTCACCGCACTCCACAGCGATGGCAGGGATCCCCGCTCTCCTGGCCAGTGGAAAAGGCAGCCTTGCTTCTCGATGTCCTCAGGCTTTCTGTGTGACTGATGGCTATTTGTTTTGATCTGCTAACTCCCTGGTTTTTTCTCTTTTCCTGCTGAGTTATTTGCTCTTTACTCTAAACGATTTCCCTTTGTCATAAAAGTCTTCTCACGATCAGTGACTCATCACTCAAAGTTGTTTTGGGCATCATTTGTGATAGAGAAGTTTTCAGTTTTAATGCAGGCAAATTCATTTCCTGGATGATGTGTCCTTTTAGTGTTGCATTTTAAGAACTATTTTTCCATCCCCAAGTGATAAAAATTTTCTGTATTTTCATGGAAGTTTTAAAACTTTGCCTCTCACACTGAGCTCAGTAATCCCCCTGGGGTTTAATTTTGTGTGTTGTGAGATACGGATCTAGTTGTATTTATTTTTGTGTATGGATAGTCATCAATTATTACAGCACCAATCTGTTTCTATATTTGAAGATGTCTATTTCTGAGGGCTCTTTTTTTTTATTGGTCTATGGCTTGTCTCTCTTGTTACCACATTACGGGAAATACTGGTTCTGTATTTGTCTTGTAGTTAATAGGGTAAATCCCCACTCTTCCCCTCTTTAGAACTGTCTTGGCCATTCTCATTCCTCCAAGAGAGATGGAGAGAGAGCTCTCTTCTCTCTCCCTTCTCTCTCTCTCTCTCTTTCTTTCTCATATATACACACACACCATCATTGTAACTGTATTGTATTTTTAGGTTAATCTGGGGAGAATTATCATTTTTGGTACAGCTTTTCATTTAGCCTTCTGTTTTTCAATAAAAATGTTACCATTTTTAATATACAGTCTCGATCAACTTACGTTAAATATATATTCCTAGGTGTCATATCATTTTGTCCTTATTGGAAAAGTAGGGAGTTTAAAATTTTTTTAGTTTGGCCGGGCGCAGTGGCCATGCCTGTAATCCCAGCACTTTCGGAGGCCGAGGCAGGCGGATCACGAGGTCAGGAGATCGAGACCATCCTGGCTAACACGGTGAAACCCCCGTCTCTACTAAAAATACAAAAAATTAGCCGGGTGCGGTGGCGGGCGCCTGTAGTCCCAGATACTTGGGAGGCTGAGGCAGGAGAATGGCATGAACCCAGGAGGCGGAGCTTGCAGTGAGCTGAGATAGCGCCACTGCAGTCTGGCCTGGGTGAAAAAGTGAGACTCCATCTCAAAAAAAAAAAAAAATTCTTTTTTTTACTTTAAATTTTTTATTCTCTAACAGTTTGCCTGTAGATTGTTTAGGACTTTTTATTTAGAGGGTTCCATCATCTGGGAATAACGACAGTTTTGTTTCTTCTTTTCCAGTCTTCACATTGATTCTTAATTTTTCCCATCTTCCTGCACTGGTTAGGACTTTCAACACAATGGAATGGAAGTTGAGCCAGTAGCCATCCTTGTCTTGTTCCCGATTTTAAAGGAAAGAGTTTAATAATTAAGAATAATGTTTGCTGAAAATTTCTAATACTAAATATTATTTGCCAGATGAAGGGAATCCCATTTTGTTACCAGTCTGCTAAGAGTTTGCCATGAGTTTTAAATTTTAGCAAATGCTGCATCTATTGAGATAAGTATATATGCATGTGTGTATTTGTATGTGTATATGTGTGTGTATATATGTATATACACATTCATACACATATAACTGTATTCTGTTAATATAGTGAATATACATGAAACTACATGAATATATATTCATGTAGAATGGATTTCTAATGTGGAACCGTTCTTGCATTTCTGGGATAAAACTTAGGCACAATATTTTCATATAATTATGAAAATCTACTTTGCTTTTCTTTTATTAAAGATTTTTCATCATTATTCATAAATTATATGAATCAAGCTTTCCCTTGTTCATACTGCAATTGCCTAATTTTATTTTATTTTTTAGTTTACACTAGCCTAGAAAGATGAGCTGGGAGGTGTTCCCCTCTTTTTCCCTCTGAAAACAAAGTTTGCAGAAGATTAAACTTACCTATTTCTTGAATTGAATGTTTGGTAAAAGTTACAAAATCACCAGGGCTTGGTAATTTCTTTTGCAGTCAGTAGATAGTTAAGTACTGATTCAGTGGATTATAGGTTACTTGGATTTCCTCCTTCTTCTTGAGACTATGTTAGAATGTTTTGCTTTTCTGGAATAAATTGTCCATTTTGTTTAGGTTTTCAAATTCATGTATATGCTATGCCTAGTTATGTCTTTTTTAATTTTTAATATTTTAATTTATTCCTTTTCTTTCTTTGTTAATCAGCCTCTGCCAGAGACTTGCCTATTTTTGTCAGTTTTTTTTCAAAGAACCAGCTTAATATTTATTGATCTTGTCATTGCTTTGTTTCTTATTTCATTAGTTTCTGCTCTCTTCTCCATTTTTTCCTTCCTTCCAAATTCCTTTTTCTTTTTCTCACTTCTCTCGATGTATGCTGTTACTAAATTCAGTCTTTCTTCCTCATATAAGCAGGCAAACTGCATACGCTAAGTTTTGATGTCTAGTAACTTTTTTATTCAGTTCTGAGACTTCTTTAATTTTCCTTATGATTTATTTTTCAGTCCCTGGGTTATTTAGCAGTATTTTTTAAATTTTGCAGATATATGGAGGGTTTTTCCGTTACTTTTTTATTTTTATTTTATTTTATTTTGTTTATTTATTTATTTTTGAGACGGAGTCTTGCTCTGTCACCCAGGCTGGAATGCAGTGGCGTGATCTCGGCTCACTGCAACCTCCGTCTCCTGGGTTCAAGCGATTCTCCTACCTCAGCCTCCCGAGTAGCTGGGATCACAGCCGTGTGCCACCACACCCAGCTAATTTTTGTATTTTAGTAGAGACAGGGTTTCACCATGTTGGTCAGGCTGGTCTTGAACTCCTGACCTCAGGTGATCCGCCTGCCTCGACTCCCAAAGTGCTGGGATTACAGGCGTGAGCCAGTGCGCCTGGCCTACTTTTTATTATTTATAGCAAATTTAATTGTACTGTAGTCAGGTAACCTGATTACAATGTGTCTAATAACAAGTCTTTGGTGTTAGTTGAGATTTTGCTTTGTGCACGACTTTGTGGTGAATTTTTGTAGTAAGTCATACATATCTTTTTGAGGACAGGTAAATGTATATATGGTACATGTCCATTAGATCTGGCACGTTCAGCTCTTCTATGTCCTTACTAACTAGTTGTCTGCTGGACACATTGAGACAAATGTGTTCCTCCACTCCTATGGTGGGTTTGTCCATGTGTCCTCCTGTTCTTGGTTTCCGTCTTTCTCTCTGGTCATTCTCATCATGATCGTCTCTGTAGACTCTTCTTCCTGCTCCTGATTCTGGGTCCTTATCCAAACTCCCTTCTCTCTGTATTGAGCACACCATCCTTGGGCAAATTCATCTGCTTCCATAGCATCAGTCCCATCTCTGCACTGGCCACTCCCAAGTTTAAGACTCCAGCCCTGGCTGGGCGCGGTGGCTCACGCCTGTAATCGCAGCGCTTTGGGAGGCCGAGGTGGGCAGCTCACGAGATCAGGAGATCGAGACCATCCTGGCTAACACGGTGAAACCCCGTCTGTACTAAAAATACAAAAAAAAAAATTAGCCGGGCGTGATGGCGGGCGCCTGTAGTCCCAGCTACTCGGGAGGCTGAGGCAGGAGAATGGCGTGAACCCGGGAGGCGGAGCTTGCAGTGAGCTGAGATCGCACCACTGCACTCCAGCCTGGGCAACAGAGCGAGACTCCGTCTCAAAAAAAAAAAAAAAAGACGACTCCGGCCCTGATCCACGCAGTTACTGTGGAACACCACGCAGACTCCGATGACTCAAACTAAGCTCATCCTCAGTATCCCTTTAGCTCCTGGCAATTCCATGCCCCTTCAGCCATCCCACTCAGAGAATGGCTTCCCATTGCTCAGACCATGGAATGGCTCTTTCCTCTCCTTTGCTCCCAAGTGCCATTATTCACTAAGTCTTCCTAAATATCTATCATATTCATCCTCTTCTCTTGCAGAAAAAAAGGAATTTGCATTGTGCATTTGCACATGGCTCCTATACTCACCACATTTAGTGTTCTTGCACTGTCCAGGAGGAAAATGAAATTGAGCGGAGAGCAGTTCCAAACCAGCAAGAATATTCATACTATTTACTTAGAGACTGGTTAGACCAAAGTAAAGCCATTACCATCCTAGCCTGAAGAGTATTTATTACAAAGTTTGTGGGTAAATTCAATGTCCTAATGGCAAATTTAGCCTGTTATTTCGAGAGAAGAATGGTTCCCATAAACATATAACAAATACAACATCCTGCAGAAAACCTGCCTGTAGGCCACATAAATAGTTCAGTTCTGCAAAGATGATAGCAAAACCTTTCTAGTTTATAGCTCAGTATCACCAGACTGCTTCTTGCCCTTCTCAAGACACAAGATAGGAAGTCTCAAATACAAGATGATCTGATACTGATTAAGTATAGATTTAATTTCAACAAGACCTTTCCCTTTTAAAAAATGTTCTTAGTTCTCTGTGTCCCTCTGGTCATTTGCATTGTCAAGCAAAACTAATCTTGTCTTAGATAAGGAGAAGATTTATTCAAAAAGACTCTTGCAACTAACAGGGGAGAATCCTTGGAACTCAAGAACTGTAAACATCTCAAAATCAATCAGAAAAGGGCTTTTCTTTTATAGGGCAGGGAGGTCAGCAAATCTTAGCAGAAACTTAAGGGGAAGTTGGGTGAGCAAAGGAAGATGACCAGGATATGTGTCTCACTGTGGGACGAGCTGATTACTGGCCCATTCTCCTTTCTAGCGCTCGCCCAGGCCCCAGGGACAAGCAGAATTCAGGGGACTGCAGAGAGGAGAACAGTCTGACTAGCAATTAGTCCAGACAAAAAACAAAAAACAGAGAGAAGGTAAGAAAGGTGCATTGTGAAAACGGAGAGATGCATTGTGAACACTTGGGCAGGATATAAATATTCTTTAGTTCTGTCTTCTCTAATTCATTGAGATGGTAACCGGTTCTTTTTCCTTTTCTTTCTTTCTTTCTTTTTTTTTTTTTTTTTAAGACAGGTTCTTGCTCTGTTGCCCAGGCTGGAGTGCGGTGGTACAATCACAGCTCACGGCAGCCTTGACCTCCCAGGCTCCAGCCATCCTCCTGCCTCAGTCTCTGGAGTAGCTGGGACCATAGACACGTACCACCATATGCAGCTAATTTTATTTTTATATTTGTAGAAACAGGCATGACTATGTTGCCCAGGCTGGTCCCCAACTCCTGGACTCAAGTGATCCTCCTGCCTCAACCTCCCTAAGTGTTGGGATTACAGGCACGTTACATTCTTAAAGAAACTGTGTTAACAAAGTTCATTTCTCCTTGAGTATTTTTAGGCACTTTAATTTTGTCACCACCCGGGTGTCCCTGCAGCACATCCACCCTTCTCCCTGTATCCCTCCCGCCCTGCCTCCCCTCGCCCACCCTCTTCCACTAAGCTCCCTTCACAGTGCTTTCTGCCCCTGCCCATCCCTACCCTCCACCTCTGCACTCAGCCTTCCCTCTCCCAGTAACACTGTCCCCACCAACCTCCGCCACCCTTGACTTGCCTCACTGCCCGGTGCCGCCTGGATGTCCCTTCCTCTGGCCCCTGAGAGTGCTCCCTATGCACCTTTCCCAGGCAGCTCTGCCGTGGCTTGATGCATCAGCCTCACGAGTCCAGATGCTGGCCAGGGCACCCCTGTGTCCCTCTAGACTGAGTTTCGTGGGTGCAGACCCCGCGTCTATCTTCCTCTTTTCATCTCTGTGCTTGCTGCGTTGTGGGCTCGATCTGTGTGCACTGGAGGAAGGAAAGGAAGCAAGGAGGGCAGGAAGAAGATACATATTGAGCAAAGAATATATTCCTGAAAACTGATAGTCACACCTGTGAGAGCGCAAAATAAAGCAAGAAAACAACCACCAATATATTTTCTGACTTTGATTCATAGATGCATTTATGTTCTATTCCAGAAAGCATGTGCAGTCTTGCTGTTCAGTGTATTTTAAAATAGAAGCCCTGTCCTTCCCGTGGATGAGGATCCTGCCATACAGTTGCTTTTTTGCCAGCCATCACATGTGTACTCACATGACAGAGTCCCATACACGAGAGCGGGACCCCTCGGATCACTCCCTGCCATCCTCCCCCAGCCGCTCCCAGAGGGAATCCATTGGCTCAGCTTCTGCTTCTCTTTCCAACCTTGTCGATGTTATCACCACCACCCCTAGCTGCTCAGCTCCCAGGTGGAGAGCTGGGCGTCCCTCCAACTCTTCCTTCTCCCACCCTTGGCTCTACCTCTTGAAAGTCCTGGGCCCTGCAGTATCAGAGCTGCAGGCAACGTGGAGACACTGAATTGGGGTGTTTGGGGTAGCAGGGAAGAGAGGGCAGTGGCCAGATGCATTACAGAAATAGATCATCCAGCAGCAGCAGGGGACAGGACTGAGAGCCAGGCCCAGAGAGGGCACAGACACCAACCTGGGCAGAGATAATGGGACCAAAACTGCAGAGGCACATCAGAGTAGGAGGAGAAGGGCATTAACTTGGTAAATATTTGGAAGATGAAATTAGCAAAGCCTGGCGACCTGGAGGGAAGGAGGGAAAGAGATCTAACCCCTCCTGGGGCCCGGCCTCAGCCTTCAGGTGCACGGTGCTGCCCCGTCCAACAGGGTCTGCGGGCCATGGGCTTGGCAAGGACCTCAGCATGAAGTGGGGCCCGTGGCTCCTGCCCTGCATGTGCCACACTTCCTGGGGGCTTCTCTGGCAAAGGGTCCTGTGACTTCCTCCATTTTATCCTTTGTCTGGTGAGCTGAGGAGGGATGCTTCTCTGCTCTTCCACCCTCTTCTCTCCTCTGGCCTCTTCCCACTTCCAACTACTGACCTCCCCTCTCTTAAAATTATTGTCACCATCCAGGAGAGCCTGCCCCTCATGGCCCCCAAACTGACTGTTCTGGAGGCCCACCCAGCTGCACACACTGAGAACTACCAGCTGCATTAATCAGGAAAGGTGGGGGCTCCTCCCACACTCCAGGCAAATGAATGTGCCCCCCCACCACTCATCCCCTATGTGCCACGGCTCTCAGGACATTTAAGGAGAATTGTCTAGCCTATGAAGCCTGAGGAAAAGAGGTCTGTATCTTTAAGGAAGAGTTAGAATATCAGTTAAATGCAGATTAGAGACATTACTTCTGGTTATGAACATTAACCAAGTACTCAAGAGGCGAAAGGCTAATAAGATCGTTGAAATTACTTCTGCATGTCAGCCAGTATTTCCTACCAGTGTCTCTTCATTCTTTTTAGCTTCGTCCTTAATCTGCCTGGGCTTTAATCAAACTACTTTCACTCACACTTTACCTTGATGGGAGTAAAAGAAGTAGTCATGAGAGAGGACGATCAAGACCCAGAAAGTAGAGCAATGAAAGATGGACAGTCTGGGTACAGTGGCTCACGCCTGTTATCCCAGCACTTTGGGAGGCCAAGGCGGGTGGATCACGAGGTCAGGGGTTCGAGACCAGCCTGACCAACATGGTGAAACCCCGTCTCTACTAAAAATACAAAAGAAATTAGCCGGGCATGGTGGCGGGCACCTGTAATCTCAGCTACTCAGCAGGCTGAGGCAGGAGAATCACTTGAACCTGGGAGGTGGAGGTTGCTGTGAGCCGAGATCGTGCCACTGCACTCCAGCCTGGGTGACAGAGTGAGACTCCGTCTCAAAAAGGAAGAAAAAGAGAGATGGACAAACATCAGCGTTCCTGTCCCATCAGTTGAACACAAGGAGCACCCTGGAGAATCAGTTCAGACTGCAAAACGCATTCTTGGATGTTCTTGGATGGGCGTCTCATAATCTTTAGGGCTCTTTTCCTTAAGCATTCATGCATGAGGCCTGAAAGTCCTCTGCTGAATTTGTCTGCAGGAGCCTGTGTTTTCAATCCGATCAGACACTCAGATGATTAATCGTGTATGATAGTCATAGCTAATGTTGATTGAGCCTTGCTGTGTGCTAAGCGTTACCGGCAGCACATTTGTGAAACTAATCTTACCCTTACAAGAACCCGGTGAGGTACACGTATCATTTATTCTCATTTTACAGGTGAGGATACTGAGGCACAGTGAAATTTAGTAACTCCCCAAGGTCATGCAGATTGTAAAGGTGGAGCCAGAATCCCAGGCCGGCAGTCTGGCTTTGGAGCCCTGGCTCTCACCGCCATATGCAGTGATACATACACCAGGCTGCTACCCGGGACACTAGCTTAGCTTCAGGACTGTGGACCTGAATGCTCAGAACAAGCTGAGGCCCAGCGAGAAACTGATTACTGTCTGAACTACCAAAAATCACAACATGTTTACTCTCATATATATTCAGTGTCTTTGTAAAAGGTTCTTTGAAAATTGATAAACCACAAATTCATGCATTACCTATGTGCTTATACTCTGAGCAGAATATTTTGTGATGCATAAGTTTTCTATACCAAGCAGGCCAAGTCAAAGGTTTTAGTGTGTTATGAATTCTACCTATGAAATAGATACCTTAGGCAGGGAAAAGTTCTTGTTTTACAAAGCAGTGGCAGTGGCAAAGCTTTATAGTTCCCAGTATGAGGTGTTTCTAGTTTTCTTTTTTTTTTTTGTTGTTTTGTTTTGTTTTGTTTAGTTGGAGTCTCACTCTGTCGCCCAGGCTAGAGCGCAGTGGCGCGATCTCAGCTCACTGCAAGACCCCGCCTCCCAGGTTCAGGCCATTCTCCTGCCTCAGCCTCCCAAGTAGCTGGGAATACAGGCGCCCGCCACCATGCCCGGCTAATTTTTTTGTATTTTTAGTAGAGACGAGGTTTCACCGTGTTAGCCAGGATGGTCTCAATCTCCTGATCTCATGATCTGCCCGCCTCGGCCTCCCAAAGTGCTGGGATTACAGGCGTGAGCCACCGTGCCTGGCCGTGTTTCTAGTTTTCACAGACTCCTGGGACAAGGCAGTTTGTCTCTTCCTTGTCAGCTGAATAAAATGTCATTGAGGTCTCCCTGCATTTCCACTCCATTGTCATGCAAGGAATGAGTTGTCGTTCTGATACATGGAGAAAAAAATGACATGACATCTGCCATGAAAGAAACCTTGATGTACAAGGGATGCAGTGACCCAGGGGGTCTCCCATCAAGGGAAGAGACATGTCCCCAAAATCAAGAGTAATACCTGGAAACAAGTCACATCTGTAGATGGCTTTTACTTAGGAATTTGCAATCATAACAAGTACTCTTTGGAGTTTTTTCCACCTACGATTAAGATTGTGTTATATTTCCTTTAAAATGATGCTTAAAATAGAGCCTGCTATTTCCCCGACTCTTCAATATTCCCCAGTCATCTAAATGAAAGAGTGGGATTTTTTGGCTTTTTTTTTTTTTTTGGCTATCCAGATATTAGTTTTCACTTACAGATAGTTACAATCAATTGCTTATATAATTGCTAATAAAAAGATTATAAGACATATTATAAAGCAATTAAAATTTAGTTACCCTTCAAATATGACTTAGATATAGGTAATTATTACATCTGTTAAATGCCTGAAAATGCTTCATAATGTTTATAGATGAATAACTTACTTATTTTAGTCATTTTGGTCCTCTGGGGTGACTGAAATCAAACCAAATATGATAACCAATCAGAAGATGAATGGTGCCCCAACCCTCCGAGGTGCTGGTGACCATCTCCCCCCGATTCAGAACCTTCCAGTAATGAGATCACTTGCTATCACGGGTGGCTCTGCACACCCTGGCGGAATCCTCCCAGGAGGGCTTCCCTTTACCAAGTGCCCCGGGGTTCACCTACTTGAGTTTAAAGTCTAAGCCAGTCATCCCCTCACAGATGAGATCAAGGCTCAGAGCGATGAGGAAACCCTCAAAGCCACATCCCCAGAAATAAGAGAGCTGAGGCTTCCGTCCAGGGGATCTTTTGTGGGGTGTGAGCCAGAAGTGACCAAAAGAAGATCTGAGAACTTTCTCAGAGGGAAGGCTTCAGTGCCGTCTTCTATCATAGTCACGTAGAAGCAGAGGGGCTAGGCAGCGGCCCCATGGTGAGTTGGCTCCCCAATCACCCAGGTTGGCTTAGAAAGCAGGCCCAGCTTACAGCACCCTCCTGTGCACCCTGCCCCGCCCATTCCTGCAGTGGACTGTCCTGGGAGTGGACACGTGCCCAGGCTGGTTCAGTGAGCCCCTTCCCTGGGCGGGGGACTGGGAAGCGGAGAGAGCTAGACCAGTGTGGAACTATGGTAGCACGATGTGTACTTGGGGGCTGGTCTGCAGAGAAAATGGGAGACAGCCTCCGTGGAAATGAGGCAGAAATAGGCTGCAGAGGGTGCCAGCCAGGGACGGGGGAAGGCGCGGAGATTTTATCACTGGTGGGCCTCCCGCCACAGACTGTAACCTGGGAGGGACAGGAGCCGACTTAGGCTAAAACAGGTGTCCTGACAGGGAAGAGTAGACCTGAGGTACTGGGAGGCCACCTCAGAGTCCAGGTGAGAGGGGGAGGTTCAGCCAGGGCAGGTGGAGCTGGAGCCCAGGGAGGATTGCAGGTGAGGTTGGTAGCCGGGTCAACACGCCAGGGAGAATTTGGATGTGGGGTGTGTGGGATGATCAAGGATGAGGCAGAGATGTTGGCTCCACCAACCACATCCGTGGCATTTCCCTTTAACAAGAATCAAGGGCATTATGAAGGGCAAGGGACCCTGTGTTCCTATTGTCCTCTCTGTCATCCCTCCCTCTCCCTTCTCCCCCAGGCCTCTCATCACCCCGGGCTCTACTTATTGCACTCCAGCAATGGGCACCTGCTGAAATTTTTCTCTGTCCATCCCCACTGGCCTGCTCCAAGTCAGACATCATTCCCCCTCCCCAGGAGTTTGGAGCCCCGTACAATTACTGGGCAAGACACTAGAAGACACTCTTCCCTTCCTGTCTGACACTTCCAACCATCTAGGACTCCTGCTCCTTGGAATTGAATGAGAGAAGTGCTGATTGGATACTGGATTAATATGGTGGTTAGCAAGATAAATTACTCAATAAATTACTGTCCTTCACAATCAAAGTTAAATCAGTACATCACGATGGAACTGGAATTGGCTTTTTTGATCCTATTCCTGAAGTCCAGTTGGTCCCTGGCCTTAAGACTGTGTGGATTTTGGAGGGCCCACTAATGGATTCTTCAGTGATGAGATTTTCTTTCAAGCAGGCTCAAATCTAGTTGGCTTCCAATTCCTAAGCAAAAGAGGTGCATTACGGGCTGTTTCATGAGTGAAAACACTCTAATACTCTTTGTTTCTTTGGGGAATTATTTTGCCATGGGAGATGAAGCACAGTAATTGAAGTCAATTAAGGTTAAAAGAAATGTGCCCCACAGCACTGCAAGAGGAGCTGTTTGGACACCTCTGTCAGTATTGGTTTCTAGACCTTACCGTTCAGGATTATAGATGACAGTAGTGTTTTAACTCATGAAAAAAGATTCTAGGTGGCTTTTTGATAGCACATCACATAGTGGCTAAAGCTGCAAAGTTGCTGATCTTTTTCTTTTTTCTTTTTTCATGTATGGTTTTCCTTGCCAATTATTCCACATGAAAACCAGGAAAACAGCTCGTGGATCATTGTTATTAACCAGTGACTGATTTAGTTGGAGTACTTGAGACCTTTTATGAGTACCTAATCGCCTTTACATGAAATTGCTAATCGGGTATTGCTAATATAAATACAATATTTTCATTGTGTCAAAATTAGAAACTTGAAGGAAAAAAACTATACCTTAAAAAAAAATACCTTACTTGGGTTTTCTTGCTGGGGGCAGGAGGGAGACAGGACCTCCTGCAGCTGTAGACACTGCAGCTGTGCCTGAGTTGGGATCATCTTGCCTGTTACATCCTGGAATGCACAGGGGTGAACAGACAGTAGAGTGTCCAGGATGTGAGTGAGGGTGGCTCTGTCACAGGTGTTGTTTATGAGTGAACCTGCATTCCTCGAAATATGAAATGTTGAACTGCTCAGGACAGCTGGACCTGCAGTCAGAGGACTAATGGTGTTTCGGATGGTTTAATGATAGAAGATAGAAAAGCCCACTGTCTTAATCAGTTCAGGCTGTGCTGTGGTTTGAATAGTCCCCCAAAAGTTCATATGTTGGAAACATAATCCTCAATGCCACAGTCAGTGTTGGAGGTCGAATTTAATAATAGGTGATTGGGTCGTGAGAGTGGAGCACTCATGTATGGATTGTCATTAGCATGGGAGAGGTTAGTTATGGTGAGAGTGGGTTGTTATAAAGGAAATCTGGCTTCTCTCTCTGTCTCACACACTCACTTCAGCTTTCTGCCTTTCACCTTCCACCACAGGAGGACCCCCACCAGATGCTGGCCCCATGCTCTAGGACTTCCCAGCCTCCAGAACTGTGGGCCAAATAGACTTACATTCTTTGTAAATTACCCAGTCTGTTATTCCGTTACAGCAGCAGAAAATAGACTAAGACAGGTTGCTGTAACAGAATGCTTTAGATGGGGTGGTATAAACAGCAGACATTTATTTCTCACAGTCAGGAGGCTAGAAGTCTGAGATCAAAGTGCCAGCATGGTCGAGTTCTGGCAAGCGCCCTCTTCCTGTTTTACAAAGGCAAGCCTTGTCACTGTGTCCTCACATGGTGTGGGGCAGCAGGGGTGGGAGAGAGAAGGGAGATGAGGAATTTAAAATGATCCTGTCACAGACTATGCACACACACACACTCACACACACACACACACAGTCTTGTTGTGGTCTTTGTTGGAATTCCATTGGATTTATAAGTTGATTTGGAAAGAATTAATGTATTTATAGTATTGAATCTTCCTATTCATGACTACAAGATCTCATTATTTATTTGTTCTCAACACATTTTTCCACCTTTTTCTATATTTATTCTTGGCTACTTTACATTTTTTGCTATTGTAAATCGTATCTTTAAAAAACTTATACTTGCTGTTTGTTGCTAGTGAATGAATTTTGCATATTGATTTTTTTTTTTTTTTTTTTTTTTTTGAGATGGAGTCTCGCTCTGTCACCCAGGCTGGAGTGCAGTGGCACGATCTCAGCTCACTGCAAGCTCCACCTCCCGGGTTCACGCCATTCTTCTGCCTCAGCCTCCTGAGTAGCTGGGACTACAAGCACCCGCCACCACGCCTGGCTAATTTTTTTTATTTTTAGTAGAGATGGGGGTTTCACCATGTTAGCCAGGATGGTCTCAATCTTCTGACCTCATGATCCCCCTGCCTCGGCCCTCCAAAGTGCTGGGATTACAGGCATGAGCCACCGCACCCGGCCTGCATATTGATTTTATATGCAGCAACATTGCACAACTATTATATTTAGTTCTAAATATTTGGAAATGTTATTGAGTTTTCTGTATGAATAATTGTATCATCTTGGACAGTTTTTCTTCCTTCCCAGTTTGAACACACTTTACTTCTTTTGCCTGTCTTCTTCCAATGACTGGGACCTGTGTAGAACAGAAGTGATATTGGCAGCAATCCCCATCTCCTTCCAGATGTTTGCTGTAGGGTTTCTTGAGTTTAGGGAGCTCCTGTCTATTTCAAGTTTATTAGAGGCTTTTACACTAGTGTTGAAATACCAACTGCTATTTTGCATCTATTGAGATTGTCATATAGTTTTTCTCATTTAATGTAGTGAATTCCATTAATAAATTACATTATGTTAAAACATCCTTGTAATATAGGAATAAACCACATTTGGTCATAATATGTTTTTTAAAATGCTACTGTATTTAATTTTTCAATATTTTATTTAGGACTTTTGCATCTAGGTTCACGAGGAAGAATTTTCCTCTCTTCTTTTCACATCTAGATCTGTCTTACTTGTTTTTTAAAGACAGCCAATTATCCCAACACAAGTAATGTGGTGTACTTCTTTTATTATAATAGGATCTCTATTCTGTCCCTTATTGATGCCACCCTATACTATTATTGTAGATTTAGGGTACATTTTGATGTGTGCAAAGCCTTTTTTTTCCCAAAATGTTCTTGACAATGCTTGTTTATTTTCTTCATTCCCATAAATTTAGGTTAAAGCCAAATATTTAAAAATGGTGTTTTGTTCAACATTGTTTTAAAGCTAGAGGCTCATTAGGATCACAGTGAGTCTTCAGAAATCCAGAATTTATAGGAAAGATTTCTGTATGTATATATGCATGTATGTGTATAATCTATCTCATATATACACACACAAAGATACAAAAGTGTGTATACACACAGAAACTTTTTTTGCCTCATTACTTTGCCTTGAATATCAGAAAAATGGCAAATAGTTTTCTTCTTAAAACTTCGTAGAACTGTAAGAAAATAATTAGTCTACGATTATTTACACAGATGATCATGTAGGCAATTTACAGCCATCCACTAAAGAGTAAAAGCTATTGTTTCAGATGACAAAAGCCAGGTTTTCAATTATCAAATAGGGTGCAGTTCTGAACCCTTGCGGAGAGTGTGTGAACTCCCTCCTGGGTCCTTGCCCAGAGTTAAAAGTGCCATTGAGCAAACAGCAGGCACCATGTGGGGAGCAATCCTGCCTTCTTAGAGCAGCACATGTGTTACTGGTGGTGCCTGAGTGGCCAAAGCAAGGCCAAAATCCATCGACATTTTTAGGGATTGTAAATGGATGTTTGCCTCTTGAAATTATAGCTTCACAGATTTCTCTATGAATCACTTACCTTCTCCATATGACAGCCTAATTTTAGCTCCTTTTGTAGGATCAGTATTTAAGCCCGCCACAAAGACCTCTGTAGACTATAACTGCTTTCTACAGAGACAAATTAAACAGTCCTAGATCTGCCCCAGGATGTGTCTCATCACTCTAGAAATTTCGTGGAAAATTTAAATTACAGATTTTACACACACACGCTGATTGTGCTACCAACAAGAGTCTTTGTACAGAGTCTTTCTCTGCATTACTTTCTTTCTTTATTGGGTTTGTAACTATGTGTAGTAGGTTTTTTTAAATTCTTTTTTTCCATAAGTTATTGGGGTACAGGTGGTATTTGGTTACATGAGTAAGTTCTTTAGTGGTGATTTGTGAGATTTTGGTGCACTCAACACCCGAGCAGTATACACTGCACCCTATTTGTAGTCTTTTATCCCTTTCCCGCCTCCCACTATTCTCCCCATTGTATCATTCTTATGCTTTTGTATCATTCTTATGCCCTTGCATCCTCATAGCTTAGCTCCCACATATCAATGAGAACGTACGATGTTTGGTTTTCCATTCCTGAGTTACTTCACTTAGAATAAGAGTCTCCAATCTTATCCAGGTCACTGCAAATGCTGTTACTTCATTCCTTTTTATGGCTAAGTAGTATTCCATCATATATATATACCACCGTTCCTTTATCCACTCATTGATTGATGGGCATTTGGGTTGGTTCCACAATTTTGCAAGTGTGAATTGAATTGTGTTGCTATAAACATGCGTGTGCAAGTATCTTCCTCATATAATGAATTCTTTTCCTCTGGGTAGATACCCAGTAGTGGGATTACTGGATCAAATGGTAGCTCTACTTTTAGTTCTTTAAGGAGTCTCCACACTGTTTTCCATAGTGGCTGCACGAGTTTACATTCCCACCAGCAGTGTAGAAGTGCTCCCTGTTCACCACATCCATGTCAACATCTACTGTTTGTTGATTTTTTGATTATGGCCATTCTTGCAGGAGTAACGTGGTATCACACTGTGGTTTTGATTTGCATTTCCCTGATCATTAGTGATGTTGAGCATTTTTTCATATGTTTGTTGGCCATTTGTATATCTTCTTTTGAGAATTGTCTGTTCATGTCAGCCCACTCTTTGATGGGATTCTTTGTTTTTTTCTTATTGATTTGTTTCAGTTTGTTGTAGATTCTGGATATTAGTCCTTTGTCAGATGTATAGATTGTGAAGATTTTCTCCCACTCTGTGGATTGTCTGTTTACTCTACTGACTGTTTCTTTTGCCATGCAAAACCTCTTTAGTTTAATTTGATCCCAGCTATTGATCTTTGTTTTTATTGTATTTGCTTTTGGGTTCTCGGTCATGAAATCCTTGCCTAAGCCAATGCCTAGAAGGGTTTTTCCGATGTTATCTTCTAGAATTTTTATAGTTTCAGGTCTTAGATTTAAGTCTTTAATCCATCTTGAGTTGATTTTTGTATAAGGTGACAGATGAGGATCCAGTTTCATTCTCCTACATGTGGCTAGCCGATTATCCCAACACCATTTGTTGAAAAGAGTGTCCTTTCCCCACTTTATGTTAATGTTTGCTTTGTCAAAGATCGGTTGGCTTTAAGTACTTGGTTTATTTCTGGGTTCTGTATTCTGTTCCATTGGTCCATGTGCTTATTTTTATACTAGTACCATGCTGTTTTGCAACTTTGGCCTTATAGTATAGTTTGAAATCAGGTAGTGCGATGCCTCCAGATTTTTTCTTTTTGCTTCGTCTTGCTTTGGCTATGTGGGCTCTTTTTTGGTTCCATATGAATTTTAGAATTGTTTTTTCTAATTCTGTGAAGAATGATGGTGGTATTTTGATGGGGATTGCAATGAATTTGTAGATTGCTTTTGCTGGTATGGTCATTTTCACAGTATTGATTCTACCCATTCACGAGCCTGGGATGTGTTTCAATTTATTTGTGTTGTTTATGATTACTTTCAGCAGTGTTTTGTAGTTTTTCTTGTAGATGTCTTTTGACTCCTTGGTTAGGTATATTTCTAAGTATTTTATTTTTTTGCAGCTATTGTAAAAGGGGTTGAGTTCTTGATTTGATTCTTGGCTTGGTCACTGTTGGTGTATAGAAGAGCTACTGACTTCTGTACATTCATCTTGTATCTGGAAATTTTGCTGAATTCTTTTATCAGTTATAGAAGCTTTCTGGAGGAGTCTTCAGGGTTTTCAAGGTAAATGATCATATCGTCAGCAAACAGTGACAGTTTGACTTCCTTTTTACCAACTTGGATGCCCTGTATTTCTTTCTCTTGTCTGATTACTCTGGCTAGGACTTCAGTAGTATGTTGAAGAGGAGTGGTCAGAGTGGGCATCCTTGTCTTGTTTCAGTTCTCAGAGGGAACGCTTTCAGTTTTTCCCCATTCAGTATTATGTTGCCTGTGGTTTTGTCATAGATGGCTTTTATTACATTGAGGTATGTCCCTTGTATGCTAATTTTGCTGAGAATTGTAACCATAAAGCAATGCTGGATTTTATCAAATGCTTTTTCTGCATCTGTTGAGATGATCATGTGATTTTTGTTTTTAATTCTGTTTATGTGATGTGTCACATTTATTGACTTGCATATGTTAAACCATCCCTGCATCCCTGGTATGAAACTCACTTGATCATGATGTATTGTCTTTTTGATATGTTGTTGGATTCAGTTAGCTAATATTTTGTTAAGGATTTTGGCATCTATGTTCATCAAGGATATCGGTCTGTAGTTTTCTTTTTTGGTTAGGTCCTTTCCTGGTTTTGGTATTAGGGTGATGCTGGCTTCATAGAATGAATTAGAGAGAGTTCCTTCTTTCTCTTATCTTGTGGAATAGTGTCAAAAGGATTGGTACCAATTCTTCTTAGAAAGTCTTCTTAGAATCTGTCTGGTCGTGGACATTTTTTGTTGTTGGTAATTTTGTAATTACCATTTCAGTCTTGCAGCTTGTTACTGGTCTGTTCAAGGTATCTAATTCTTCCTGATTTAAGCTAGGAGGGTTATATCTTTCCAGAATTTATCCAACTCTTCTAGGTTTTCTAGTTGATGTGTGTAAAGGTGTTCATAGTAGCCTTGAATGATCTTTTGTATTTCAGTGGTGTCAACTGTAATATCTCCTGTTTCATTTCTTAATGAGGTTATTTGGATTTTCTCTCTTCTTTTCTTGGTTAATCTTACTAATGGTCTATCAGTTTTACTTACCTTTTCAAAGAACCATCTTTTTGTTTCATTTATCTTTTGTATTTTTGTTTGTTTGTTTGTTTCAATTTCATTTAGTTCTGCTCTGATCTTGGTTATTTCCTTTCTTCTGCTGGGTTTGGGTTTGGTTTTTCTTGTTTCTCTAGTTCCTTGAGGTGTGACCTTAGAATGTCAGTGTGTGCCCTTTCAGTCTTTTTGATGTAGGCGTTTAGGGCTATGAACTTTCCTCTTGGCACCACCTCTGCTTATATCCCAGAGGTTTTGGTAGGTTGTGTCATTATTGTCGTTCAGTTCGAAGAATTTTTTAATTTCCACCTTGATTTCGTTTTTGACCCAATGCTCATTCAGGAGTAGGTTATTTAATTTCCATGTATCAGCATGGTTTTGAAGGTTCCTTTTGGAGTTGATTTCCAGTTTGATTCCACTGAGAGAGTGCTTGATATAATTTCAATTTTCTTAAATTTATTGAGTCTTGTTTTATGGCCTATCATATAGTCTATCTTGGAGAAATTTCCACGTGCTGTTGAATAGAATGTGTATTCTGAGGTTGTTGGATGAAATGTTCTGTATATATCTTTTAAGTCCATTTGTTCCAAGGTATAGTTTAAATCCATTGTTTCTTTGTTGACTTTCTGTCTTGATGACTTGCCTAGTGCTGTCAGTGGAGTATTGAAGTCCCCCACTATTATTGTGTTGCTGTCTATCTCATTTCTTAGGTCTATTAGTAATTGTTGTATAAATTTTGGCGCTCCAGTGTTAGATGCATATATTTTTAGGATTATGATATTTTCCTGTTGGACAAGGCCTTTTACTATTATATAATGTCCCACTTTGTCTCTTTTAACTGATATTGCTTTAAAGTTTGTTTTGTCTGATATAAGAATAGCTACCCCTACTCTCTTGTCCATTTGTGTGAAATGCCTTTTTCCACCTCTTTACTTTATGTGAGTCCTTATGTGTTAGGTGAGTCTCCTGAAGGCAGCAGATAGTTGGTTGGCGAGTTCTTATCCATTCTGCAGTTCTGTATCCTTAAAGTAGAGCATTTAGGCCATTTACATTCAATGTTGGAATTGAGATGTGAGGTACCATTGCATTCATTGTGCTATTTGTTGCCTGTGGACTTTGGTTTTTTGTTTTTTGTTTTTGCCTTTTAACTTGTATTTTTGTTTTATAGGTCCTGTGTGATTTATGCTTTAAAGAGGTTCTGTTTTGATGTGTTTCCAGGATTTGTTTCAAGATTTAGAGCTCCTTTTAGCAGTTCTTTTAATGGTGGCTTGTTAGTGACGAATTCTCTCAGCATTTGTTTGTCTGAAAAAGACTGTATCTTCTTTCATATATGATGCTTAGTTTTGCTGAATACAAAATTCTTAGCTGATAATCGTTTTGTTTGAGGAGGCTGAAGATAGAGCCCCAATCCCTTCTAGCTTGTAGGGTTTCTGCTGAGAAATCTGCTGTTAATCTGATAGGTTTTCTTTTATAGGTTACCTGGTGCTTCTGTCTCACAGCTCTTAAAATTCTTTACTTTGTCTTAACTTTGGATAACCTGATGACAATATGCCTAGGCAATGATCTTTTTGCAATGAATTTCCCAGGTGTTCTTTGTTCTTCTTGCACTTGGATAGCTAGGTCTCTAGCAAGGCCAGGGAAGTTTTCCTCTATTATTCCTAAAGATATGTTTTCCAAGCTTTTATAATTCTCTTCTTCCTCGGGAAAACTGGTTATTCTTAGGTTTGGTCATTTAACATAATCCCAGACTTCTTGGAGGCTTTGTTCATATTTTCTTATTCTTTTTTCTTTGTCTTTGTGGGATTGGGTTAATTCAAAGACCTTGTCTTTGAGCTCTGAATTTCTTCTACTTTTTCAATTCTATTCCTGAGACTTTCCAGAGCATTTTGCATTACTATAAGTGTGTCCAATTTTTCCTGGATTTTTTATTTATTTTTTTTTCTTTAAGCTATCTATTTTCTTGGCTATTTCTCCCGTCACTTCTTGTATCGTTTTTTGGATTTCCTTGCATTGAGCTTCACCTTTCTCTGGTGCCTCCCTGATTAGCTTAATAACTAACCTCCTGAATTCTTTTTCAGGTAAATCAGGGATTTCTTCTTGGGTTGGATCCATTGCTGGTAAACTAGTGTGATTTTGGGGGGTGCTGTTCAAGAGCCTTATTTTGTCATATTACCAGCATTGGTTTTGTGGTTCCTTCTCATTAGGGTAAGCTCTGTCAGAGGGAAGGTCTAGGGCTGAAGGCTGTTGTTCAGATTCTTTTGTCCCATGGAGTGCTCCCTTCATGGAGTAATCTCCCCCTTTTCCTATGGAGGTGGCTTCCTGTGAGCCCAACTGCAGTGATTGTTGTCTCTCTTCTGGGTCTGGCCACGCAGTAAGTCTGCCCAGCTCCGGGCTGGTTCTGAGGGTTGTCTGCACAGAGTCCTGTGATGTGAACCGTCTATGGGTCTCTCAGCCATGGATACCAGCACCTGTTCCAGTGGAGGTGGTGGGGGGTGTGCAGTGGACTTCGTGAGGGCTCTTAGCTTTGGTGGTTTAATGCTCTATTTTTGTGCGGGTTGGCCTCCTGCTGTGAGGTGGCGCTTTCCAGAAAGCATCAGCTGTAGTAGTTTGAGAGGGACTGGCTGTGGGCTGGGCTGTAGAACTCCCAAGATTATATGTCCTTTGTTTTCTGCTACCAGAGTGGGTAGGGAAGGACGATCAGGTGGGGGTGGGGCCAGGCGTATCTGAGCTCAGACTCTCTTTGGACCGGTCTTGCTGCAGCTCCTGTGGGGGATGGGTGTGAGATTCCCAGGTCACTGGAGTTATGTACCTAGGAGGATTATGGCTGCCTCTGCTGAGTCATGCAGGTTTTCAGAGAAGTGGTGGAAAGCTGGCAGTCACAGGCCTCACCCAGCTCCCATGCAAACTGAAAGTCCAGTCTCACTCCCACCATGCCCCCATCCAACCGCCCCAAGTCTGTTTTCGGGCAGTGGGTGAGACAGGCTTGAGAACTTGCCTCAGGCTACCCACCTCCCAGCTGCAAAAGAAAGGGCTTGTTCTTCCCACCTGTGGAGAATCTGCACACCAGATTTGCGCCCTCCCCCGAGTTCTGGCCAGGAGGCTTCTAACCCTGTTCAAATTGTTACAAATTTCAGCTAGAGATTTCCTTCTCCCTGTTGAGTTTTACCCTCGCTCCTCTGGCTGCCCTCCTGGTGGATCCCTGTGGTGCCAGGCAGGAATGACCTGCTTGGGGACCCAGGGAGCTCCCAGGGCCTTTCCCGCTGCTTCCTCTACTTCTGTATTTCGCTCGACTCTCTAAATTGACTCAGCTCCAGGTAAGGTCGGAAACTTCTCCTGCAAACAGACCTTCCTTTTCTCCAGTGGGCGTGTGTGTTTGGGAGAGGATGCTCTCCCTTTCCCACTTCCGCAGTTTGGGCACTCACAGTATTTGGGGTGTCTTCCAGGTCCTGCAAGAGCAGTCTGCTTCCTTCAGAGGTCTGTCGGTCCTCTCGGGGTTGCTGGTTTGTTCTTGCAGTCGATCTGGAGCTAAAATTCACAATGCAAGCCTCTGCACATTGCTCTGTTCAGAGCTGCAATCTAGTCCTGCCTCCCGTCCACCATGATCCTATGTGTGCTGCATTACTTTACTTAAAGGTGAAGGTGAATTTTCTGTGTGTGGTTAGAAGCTTGGAAATTATGCATTTCCTTCTAGTCTGAACTTACAATTCAGAAGAGAACAATGAGCCTGTAAAATTTCAAATATTTAGCAACCACCTATTTTGAATAAGATATTCTACCATACAGAGTAGCAAAAGACTTGGTCTCTGCTCTTGATGTTCTTACAAGATGGAGATGGAAATAAACTGCCAGGAACTGCAGGGTCTGAGCTTTTAACCTACTTTCAAGCTAACAAACTAGTCTGTTACTGTTTACTGTTACTTTCCTGGCAAAAAGACATGAGATTCCTGGTTCAGAGACAAGGGACTTTATTATTCATGGCAAAAGCAGTAGCCAGAGCTCTAGGCTAGTGTGTGTCAGTTCCCCATGCCCTGGGGTCTCAGGGTGATGCTAAGGGCCCACCACGGATGCCTGCACATGTGTGGTGAGCTGCGTTATGGGGCAGAAACACTGAGCTTGGGGAATCCCTGTCTTTGTAGAGAACCTACACTTTGTCTAGGGGAGACGTTACCTCCTTCCTCAAGGTTTCTTGGTGCAAACACAGCCCTGGGAAATGGGTCAGGTAAAGAGCAGTCAAGGCCTTACATTCTTGGCATACCCAGCAGGAACTTCAGGGCATGCTCAGGGCCCATGGCAGACTGCCTCTCCCAACATAGATCTGCACGGAACGTCAGGTCCATGACCAATGTCTACCATCACAAGGCAACAAAGAATAAATGGTGTGGGCATTTAAGATAATAATTCAGATAAAGCCCAACACCCATCCCTTATAATTATTACCACATATACAGCTATTGCTGGATATTTCTTCCGCTTGTGTTTTATGCTGTGGAACTCTCCTTATCATCATACCTTCTATCATTATATCTTGACTGATAATAGGTTCCCATGAGACCTCTCTCCTATTCAAAGAGAGAAGACATAGGAAAAAAACTACTGAATGAACTAGCGGAAATAAATGTAAGATAGTTTGTCCTCATTTTGTCCAGCAAGCAAAGGTATCAACGTCCTGATTTTTTTTTTTTTTTTTTTTTTTTTTGAGACAGAGTCTCACTCTGTCACCCAGGCTGGAGTGCGGTGGTGTGATCTTGGCTCACTGCAACCTCTGCCTCCCAGGTTTGAGTGATTCTCCTGCCTCAGCCTCCTGAGTAGCTGGGATTACAGGTGCCTGCCACCACGCCTGGCTAATTTTTGTATTTTTAGTAGAGGCAGGGTTTCATCATGTTGGCCAGGCTGGTTTCAAACTCCTGACCTCAGATGATCTGACCTTAGCCTCCAAAAGTGCTGAGATTACAGGTGTGAGCTACTGAGAGGTGACAGCGTGCTGGCAGTCCTCGCAGCCTTCCCTGGCTCTCGGTGCCTCCTCTGCCTGGGCTCCCACTTTGGCGGCACTTGAGGAGCCCTTCAGCCCACGCTGCACTGTGGGAGCCCCTTTCTGGGTTTGCCAAGGCCAGAGTCGGTTCCCTCACCTTGCAGGGAGGTGTGGAGGGAGACGCGTGGGCGGGAACCGGGGCTGCGCGTGGTACTTGCAGGCCAGCAGGAGTTCCAAGTGGGCGTGGGCTCCGCGGCCCCGCACTGGGAGTGGCCAGCTGGCCCTGCCTGCTGGAGCAGTGAGGGGCTTAGCACCTGGGCCAGCAGCTGCTGTGCTCAATTTCTCACCGGGCCTTAGCTGCCTTCCCTCTGGGCAAGGCTCAGGACCTGCAGCCTACCATGCCTGAGCCTCCCCCGTCTCCGTGGGCTCCTGTGCGGCCCGAGCCTCCCGGGCGAGCGCCGCCTCCTGCTCCATGGCACCCAATCCCATACACCACCCAAGGGCTGAGGAGTGCAGGCGCACAGCGCGGTACTGGCAGGCAGCTCCACCTGCGGGATCCACCGGGTGAAGCCAGCTGGGCTCCTGAGTCTGGTGGGGACTTGGAGAACCTTTATGTCTAGCTAAGGGATTATAAATACACCAGTCGGCACTCTGTGTCTAGCTCAAGGTTTGTAAACACACCAATCAGCACCCTGTGTCTAACTCAGGGTTTGTGAATGCACCAATCGACACTCTGTATCTAGCTACTCTGGTGGGGACTTGGAGAGCCTTTGTGTGGACACTGTATCTAGCTAATCTAGTTGTGACATGGAGAACTTTTGTGTCTAGCTCAGGAATTATAAACGCACCAATCAGCACCCTGTCAAAACGGACCAATCAGCTCTCTGTAAAATGGACCAATCGGCTCTCTGTAAAATGGACCAATCAGCAGGATGTGGGTGGGGCCAGATAAGAATAAAAGCAGGCTGCCCAAGCTAGCAGTAGCAACCCGGCCCTGTCCTTTTCTATGCTGTGGAAGCTTTGTTATTATGCTGTTTGCAATAAATCTTGCTGCTGCTCACTCTCTCGGTCCACCTTGCCTTTATGAGCTGTAACACCGTGAAGGTCTGCAGCTTCACTCCTGGAGCCAGCGAGACCACGAACCTATCGGGAGGAATGAGCAACTTCAGACACGCCGCCTTAAGAGCTGTAACACTCACCGCGGAGGTCTGTGGTTTCACTCCTAGGCCAGCGAGACCACAAACCCACCAGAAAAAACTCCAAACACATCAGAACGAACAGACTCCAGACACGCCACCTTTAAGAGCTGTAACACTCAGCGCGAGGGTCCACAGCTTCGTTCTTGAAGTCAGTGAGACCAATAACCCACCAATTCCAGATACACTACCACGACCCGCTCAATGTCCTGAACTGTTTAATGTTTTTAACGTGTAGGCTATATGTATGTACATTGTCATTGCTGTCGCTTTTCTCTGTTAATCTTATTATTAATATCCATAACTTACGTAGACTGGAGAGATTTTCAAAATAATTTATCAACTGTAGCTTTGCCCAAGTATCTAAAACTTTTTTCTCTTGTTTTTGTTCTATACATCATTTATTAGATACATAACTTCCTTAACTTTATAACATTAATAACATCAAAAAGCTAATAACATCAGAATATCCAGTAGCAAAACTCAGTATCAGCAATGAAAGACCCGCCTCTCTCTCATATTCGCCGTTTTGAATCACCTTGTAAAGGAATTTTATAGAATGTGGATTTCAGTATTTGTAAAGGACTCTGATAAAACTTTCAAAAAGCAGAGATAGCCTAGCCAACATGGTGAAACCCTATCTCTACTTAAAAAAATATACATCAAAATTAGACGGGAGTGATGGCGTGCTCCTGTAGTCCAGATACTTGGGAGGCTGAGGCAGGAGAATCCCTTGAACCCGGGAGGTGGAGGTTGCAGTGAGCCGAGATCACGCCACTGCACTCCAGCCTGGGCGAAAGAGTGAGACTACATCTCAAAAAAAAAAAAAAAAAAGGCAGAGATAATGTCATTTAAGCCAAAAAAGAATTCTGAAGAAACACATAAACGCAATACCAGGTGGTTTGCGGTTACTTAGAAAAACATCAAGTATTTAAACAGCTGGAGGGGAAAAGTCTTTCTGGCATGTATTTCAAATGAATACCTTTCATGAGACGTAAAGCAGGCTGCCTCATGATGCGTATGCAAACAGAGGTCAGAGTTGGTGTTTCTGTCTGTGAGTAGTTTCATTTGGTAGCATATGCGAAATTAATATTATTTGTAGAAAGGCATTCATTTAAATGACAGTGGATTATGTGGTCAATAAAGTTGAAATTTCTAGATTGAGGACAAAGTAAAGGTATTGCTTATATTTTAGCAATGGTACATTAAGAGATGTCGCTATTGGCCGGGAGCAGTGGCTCACGTCTATAATCCCAGCACTTTGGGAGGCCAAGGCGGCTGGATCACCTCAGGTCATCCTGGCCAACATGGTGAAACCCCGTCTCTACTAAAAATAACAAAAATCAGCTGGGCGTGGTGGCGTATGCCTGTAATCCCAGCTACTCGGGAGGCTGAGGCAGGAGAATCACTTGAAGTTGGGAGGTGGAAGTTGCAGTGAGCCGATATCGCGCCACTGCATTCCAGCCTGGGCGACACAGCGAGACTCCATCTCAAAAAAAAAAAAAAAAGATGTCGCTATTTTAGTTATAACTTTGAATTGTTCTCCTGAGATATATAAAATACATACTTAAGAGTTCTAATTATGACTTCATTCACCAGCAGGATTGTTTTAAGACTACAGTGAGTCCAACTTCCTGCTCAAAAATGTGCTAAAGCTTCTGGCTGAGCCTTAAGACATTTTAGAAGCTCTTCCTCACAGGAGAGAAAAGGCACTCAGCCAGCTACTGCGCACATGGATAAATCTGTCAGTTTTCTAGAATCCAGCACAAAATTCATGTCACTTAGAGGAAAACTATGCTGAGGTGTATCTTTGAGGTGAGAATGGTAATTTCATCAAAGAAATGCCCTCTTCTGTAGGGAGCCTGCGGAGGCCCCCAGGCCCCTGAAGTCTGATGGATCTGGAGAGGGGAATGAGGACACACAGGGGCCCGCAGATACATCAAGGACATCCGCAAGGTGAAGGCACATTTGAACTCTGTAGGGATGACTCCTGGTCCACACCTCCAGTTCTGATCTCCATCGTCAGCCCCAGCCCCAAATTTCCAACCATTTGCCAACATCTCAGTGGGTCAGGCCCACTGGTAACTCAGCCTCCACATGTCCCAGACCACTTCAGGTGTTTTATTTTTTATTTTTTTTCTTCCAGACAGAGTCTCGCTTTGTCGCCCAGGCTGGAATACAATGGCATGATCTCGGCTCACGGCTACCTCCACCTCCCAGGTTCAACCGATTCTCCTGCCTCAGCCTCCTGAGTAGCTGGGATTACAGGCATGTGCCACCTCTCCCGGCTAATTTTTTTATATTTTTAGTGGAGACGGGGTTTCACCATGTTGGTCAGACTGGTCTCGAACTCCTGACCTCAAGTGATCCTCCCGCCTCGCATGAGCCACTGCGCCTGGCCTGCTGAGGTGTTCGTTAAGACTGCTTCTCTCCCACAGTCCCTGGCCCACGCGCAGGCATCTCATGTTTCCACTCACCAGAATCATCTTTCTACTATATCTGCACCCTCATCCCGGTCTCCCCTACTCCAGTAAACAGCCACGCCCTTTTGTTCTGAACTTCAGAGTCACCCTCAGACCGGCATCTGCATGCCTCCTCCTGGGCTCTGCTTGACTCCTCTCCGGTACCGCCTCACGGGTCACTGCCCTGTGTCCAGTCTCACTTCAACCGATGTTTACTCCATCTATAGTTCTGTGCTAGGCCCTCCCTGCAAAGGTGTCTTTCTCAATCAATTCTCAAAACAGGTTGCATGGGCTAGGCACCGTGGCTTGCACTTGTAATCCCAGCACTTTGGGAGGCCGAGGAGGGTGGATCACCTGAGGTCAGGAGTTCGAGACCAGCCTGGCCAACATGGTGAAACCCCATCTCTACTAAAAATACAAAAAAAATTAGCCAGCCATGGTGGCGGGCACCTGTAGACCCAGCTACTCAGGAGGCTGAGGCAGGAGAATCGCTTGAACCTGGGAGATGGAAGTTGCAGTGAGCCAAGATCACGCTACTGCACTCCAGCATGGACTGGAGCAAGACTCCATCTCAAAAACAAAACAAAACAAAACAAAAACGCCACCACCACCACAAACAACAACAACAACAAAAAACAGGTTGTATGACCTCTTTCCCAGCATCACACATCTTCAGTGGCATTCCATTACCTGCAAAATACAATCTAGGCTCCTCAGCCTCCCTCCAGCCCCACCTGTGCCTGCTGTTTGCCACAACTAAGCCCCCATCCTGCTCCATGTCTAGCAGCTGTAGGAGCAGGGAGGGCAGTGGAGATGCCTATAGTAGGATCCCTAAGGCAGTCCGCCTAGTCCTGCTACAAACATTAGAAAACGCAAACAAAAAAGCCACCAAGAGCTTCTGGCCAAGATGGAGTAGCAGGACATTGGATTTAACCTCCTGCCTGAAACAGCCCCCCAAAATGAACACAGTGTAGGAAGACACTATCAGGCAATGAAGAACCCTGATCCCTGAGGGGTGGGTGATAAATGAGGTGAGCCCTACGATTGCCCCAGCTTACTGCCTTGAGACAGTTTCCAGGTTCAGTGCTGGAAAGGGAACACAGCAGGGTCCCTGCAGACTCCCTGGGGTGGGCGTAGAGGGCTGAGAGTCTGAGGGGGATCAAGGCCTGGAGACAAGAGTTCTTAGGACAGAGCACCATCGAGGGCAGAGCTGCACCAGGAGAGAAACATGGGGGTCTTCAGAGGGTCTGCCTGGAGTTGTCAGTTGGATGCTGGTTAGCACGTGCATATGAAGAAACGACCTGAGTCTGGGAAAAGAACTGCCTGAAAGGATTAGTGATAACAGTGCCTGGTGCTCACACAGGAACAGTGCCTGTTCCCACATCATTCAGGGACTCGGATAGGCCTTACCTCCAAAGTGGGGAATAGTTAGCCCTAAACTGAGCCTTGCCTTGGTTCTGCCTAACGCTTCTTCTTTTTTTTTTTTTTCTTTTTATGAGATGGAGTCTCGTTCTGTTGCCCAGGCTGGAGTGCAGTGGCGCGATCTTGGCTCACTGCAAGCTCCACCTCCTGGGTTCACGCCATTCTCCTGCCTCAGCCTCCCAAGTAGCTGGGACTACAGGCGCCGGCCACCACGCCCGACTAATTTTTTGTATTTTTAGTAGAGACGGGGTTTCACCGTGTTAGCCAGGATGGTCTCGATCTCCTGACCTTGTGATCCACCCACCTTGGCCTCCCAAAGTGCTGGGATTACAGGCATGAGCCACCACGCCCGGCCGGTTCTGCCTAACGCTTCTTAAGTTCAGGACTCATTTTTCTGCCTTCACATGTGCATGGGGTTCTATAAACTTGGGAAAGTGTTTAAACACTGTATGTTAACCACCTTCCATGATATTATCCTAATCACACTTCTTTACTGTTTCACAGTGTGGGCTTGAGAACTGATGAGCAGCTTCTGAGGAAGGGGATTGGGCAGTGATGTTTGTAGGAGAACAGGGAATTGTCCAGAGGATGTTACAGATTGGAACACATGGGCTCATGTATACATGAACGAGCCCTGAGGATGCTGCTAGACTCTGTGTGCCCACATCCTAGCACACGCACAGAGCATGTCAGTGAGGGTGGCATTCCCCGTCTCCTCTTGAGCACTTGCCAACCCCTTGATTAGATAACTGAAACTAATCTGATTAATGCCATAGCCTTTGTGGTGAAAGATTCATGTTTTCTGATAGCTTTTTGAGTGTGTCCAGTATTTTGTACACTTGTATATGAAAAGATTTAATTGAAGGACATACTATCATTCTAAATCTTTTTTTTTTCTATTTCTGACATGGATTTGAGAGTAAGCTTCTCAATGAAGGCTATATTGCACTTCGACTGTTAAAACTCCATCAAGTTTACCCTCTAAGAGCACAAGATGGAGATGTCTGCTTTCATGATCTTAGTCATCTTATATTTTTATTTATAATGCTCAAGGTTCTAGCTAGCACCACGAGGCAAAAAAAAAGAACAATAATAATAATAAAAGGTAATAAAATGGAAGGAAATCAATAAAACACTTGCAGATGGCCTGATTGTCTACACAGAAAATCCCCTGGCATCTTCAAAAAATTGTTAGAACTAATAATTTCAGCAAAGTCCCAAGATATCAATTTCAGCAAAGTCTCAAGATATCACATAGACATACAAAAATCAATCACATTTCTATGTACTAACAACATTTGGAAAATGAAATTAAAAACATAAAAAGGAACCTAAACCTAAAACTCACATCTTATTCAAAATTTAACTTAAAATGGATGATATTAGCTGGGCACAGTGGTATGCATGTGTGGTCTCAGTTACTGAGGAGGCTGAGGTGGGAGGATCACTTGAGCCCAGAAGGTCGAGGCTGCAGTGAGCCATGACTGTGCCACTGCACTCCAGCCTGGGCAACAGAGCAAGACCCTGTCTCAGAACAAAAATGGAGCATAGACTTAAATGCAAACTATGAAACTATAAAAACTTTCAGAAAAAAATGGGAGAAACTGTTCACAATCTGGGGCTTGACAAAGTTTTAGACTTGACACCAAAAGTATGGAACAAAAGTTGATCAGTTGGATCTCAAGAACATTAAAATTTTTTGTTCTTTAAAAACTCAGATATAATGGACTTAATGCTTGTGTCCCTCCAAAATTCATATGTTGAAATTCTAATTCCCAATATGTTATTATTTAATAGGAGGCAGGGCCTTTGGGAGGTTGTTAGGTCATGAGGGTAGATTCCACATGATGGGATTAATACACTTTTAAAAGAGGCACCAGAGAGCTCCCCTGCCCTCTTTTCACTAAGCAAGGACACAGTGAGACATTAGCCATCTTCAACCAGGAAGCAGGCCCTTACCAGAATCCAACAGGCTGGCACCCTGATCTCAGACTTCCAGACTTCAGGACTGTGAGAAGTGACTGTTGTTAGAGCTACCTGGTCTATGGTATTTTTGTAATAGCAGCCTGAGCTGACTAAGACTCTATGTGAAACATGAAAAGACAAGCTACAGTCTGGGGGAAAATATTTGCAAACCACCTATCTGACAAAGAACTAGTACCTAGAATACATAAAGAACTCTCATAACTCAACACTACAAAAAAAAAAAAGTAAACATTACAATCAATTAGAAAATGGGCAAAAAACATGAACAGACATTTTACCAAAGAGGATCTCTAGATGGCAAATAAGCACATGAAAAGATGTTCGACATCATTAGCATCAGGGAAATGCAAAATAAAACATTTTATAAAGGAGTATCATTATGCACCTATGAGAATAGCTAAAACACAAACAGTGACACCAAATGTTGGCAATCATGCAGAGAAACCCAATCACTCATACACTGCTGGTGGGAATTAAAAATTGTTCAGCCACTCTGGAAGGCATTTTTTCAGTTTTTAAAATAAAACTAAACATGCAATTACTGTACAAATCAGCAATTGTGCTCCTGGACATTTATCTCGGAGAAACAAAAACTTATGTTCACACAAAAACCTATAAACAAAGGCTCACAACAGCTTTATTTGTAATAGCCCACAACTGGAAAACTGGAATACCAAAAAACCAGATATTCTTCAGTTGTTGAGGATTAAACCAATGTGGTACATCCATATGGTGGAATACCACTCAGCAATAAAAAGAAGTCAACTACTGATACATGCAACAACCTGGATGAGTCTAAAGGGAATTATGCTGAGTGGAAAAAGCCAATTCTGAAAGGTTACATGCTGTGCAATCCACTTATGCAACATTCTTGAAATGACAAAATTATAAAAAATGGAGAACAGACTAGCGATTGACAGGGGATCAGAACTGGGGGTTAAATGGGGAGCAGGGAAAGGGAGGTGAGTGTGTCTATAAAAGGTCAACACTGGGGGGACCCGTGTGGTGATGGGACTATTCTGCATCCTGACTATACCAATGTCAGTATCTGGCTGTGATATTGTACTATAGATTTGCCAAATGTTACCATTAAGGGAGAATGAGTAAAGGGTACCCAAGATCTCTCTGTAGGATTTCTTACAATTGCATGTGAATATACAATTATCTCAAGATAAAAAGTTTCACTTGAGTTATAGGTTGTGTTTGATAAAAATGGCCCACCTCCTTAAATGTTGGCCACCTTATGATTTCCTTAGACATGTTACTGACTACCTAATAATTATCAAAATTGTAAAACACATTGTTGAGTATTATGAATACTTTGCTCATCATTGTAACGGAATAAACGAATGTGTTTCTATGAAAGGCCAATTTTGATTATGAGGAAAACACAGACACACACAAAACAAAACCTCCATGAAGTGGATGGTCATCGACCTCGGCTCATTCTGGGCCCTGGCAGGAGGGCTAAGGATTCTGCTATCTATTTCGGGATGAGGCTGACATTCTCCTGCACCTTTCCTCGCAGGATCTCCTCTTCAGCGTGTGTGCCCTCAACGTCCTGTCCACTATCGTGTGTGCGCTGGCCACAGCCATGTGCTGTATGCAGATGGTCTCCTCCGATGTCCTGCAGATGGTGAGTGGCCTGATCCCCTCCTCCTCTGCGCGGTTTGAAACCAGTGTAGGAGTGGACGCTTCTGGCTTCAGCCAGATGCTGTGAGGACAGCGGCCCCTGACAGTCCATGGCACCTGGAGGCCACCTTGTGTTGCCCTCTGGAAGACCAAGCATCTGCACACGTGGCGCCGCTGATGTATTTATTTTAGGTGTTGTTGGAGCTCCATATTGACAGGGTTCTGCCACTGTCGTGTTCTCTAGGATGGCCCCTGGCATGTGCCCTTGAGTCATGTAGTGAAATTCCTGCAGCCCTGGACATCCCCTGGACCCAGCACCTCCAAAGCAAGGTGCCTTCCTCGGGCTTCAGAATTCTCTTTTAATCCGGGAAGTTTAGAGGTGTTAGAAGATCAGTTCTTTTCCAGTTGGAAAATTGCTAACCTGTGCATTTTTGATTTGCTAATGAACCCTGAGCTCATACTCCAGAGGCCAGTCACTGGCCATCATTTGACCCTTTGCCCAGGGTCATACACAAGAAGACCTGTCACTCCCAGGGGCAGCGAGGAGGCCCGGAGCATGGTTCACTAACACATGTTATAATATGTGGGTTATTAATACACATTTATAAATACACATCTCATAAATAATGAACGCTCTTCCTGTTTCAATGTGAATGGAACACAGCCTACTGATCAGAATGCTACTGAGTACAACAAAGAGAAATTGATGAAAAAATATTGTTCTTCCATGGTAAGGGTAGGAATATCTATGCGCACGCGTGTGTGTGTGTATGAGTGTGTGTCTGTCTCTCTCTGTCTCTGTGTGTGTCTTTCTGCCTCGGTCTCTTTCTGTCTCTCTGTCTCTCAATTTGCCCCTTTGAGACCTACGCTGCTTCCCACGCAATGATTTATGCATCTTATGCAAGAAAAGGCAGCTGGTTCTTATAGTGGGTTTTTTTAATGTGCTCTTCTTTGTCATTCACCCTGTGGCAGTCAACATCCAGTTAATCAAGATACAGGGCCAGAGAGCATCATTACCAAGACGTTAAAAATTCTTTGGTCCTAATTGCATGCCATGGGAGTCTCTCCCTCCCGGTGTATATCCACACAGCTGTCACAGCCAGGCTGCCCTTTCTGAAAGGTATCTAATTAAGCAGTTCTAAGGTAGCCTTGAACTTCTGCCCTTGTTCATCGGGGCCTCATGTTGGCAATTTTCTCCAACGTGTTCTGTAAAGGAAAGGTTAAGTACCAGGGGCTTCTCCTCACCTCAGCAGATTTTACTATTGATCTGTAAATATCACATCCATTTGACCAAACTTACAGAACTAAAGGCATGTAAATGCTAAAAGTTTGCATTCTCCTGGTTTTATGCTTTAAAATGAAAATTGCCAACTAAATAAGAATAAAGTAAATTCTCTTTATAAGAGCATATACGAGTATAACAGCAGTGTGCAGAGTCGCTCTGTAGTTGTGATGGGTGGGGCATGAGCAGGCGTGGAGCCGTGCTTCTCAAGCCAGGCGCTCCAGGGTCTGAGTCCCACCTCTTCTGCATTCGAGGCAGGTGACTCTGGGTGTGTCACTGAACCTACCTGTGCCTCAGTTTCCTCACCTGTGAAGTGGAATGAATGGGATGCCTGGAGATCCCTAATACGTGTGATGTGTTGGATTTGAAATGTGTAGGGAATATCAGTCTGTCACTGGGACGTCGCAGCAATGTCTGCAGACGCGGTGGGCTGAGGCTCTTTACCAGCAGAAAATACTGTGCAAGGGAAAGGCAGGCTGCGGCGACAGCGGCTGCCGTCAGAAGCCCTGTTGTTTCCTCGCTGAGTACTTTGTGGGTGAGTTTGCCTCACACCCTGGCTTGGAAGCAGAAATATCCGGCTTCCTGCCAGCACATCCTTTCCGGTCTGTGACGGGTACCGCGGGAGCCCAAGGCTCTGCTCTCGTGATGAGACCCCCGGCTCTGCTGCCGGGCTTGAGAGTCATGGGCGAGGCAAAAGAGAGCTGGTGGTGGGTGAATCCACACTTCCCTGTGGATTCAGAGGGTGGCCATGGCGCCCTATGGGACTGGCACAATCTTGGGCACATCACTGCCTGTGGGACCCCGTTTCCTCGGCTCTAAAGATGAAGCGTGTGCCCTGCTGTCCTCACAGAGCTGCTGATGGGATGAGTCCGCTCATCTGTGGGAATGGGATTTGAAGGAACGTGGTGGCCACATGGAGGTCGGCTCTTGCCATGTGGGCCGAGGCTTGAGCCAGGCTGGCTGTGCGAACCATTCCCTACCAGTAGCTTCCGCAGTTCACCCCTGCGCCATTTCTGCTCCAGGAAGCTGGGCCATGAGCTTTCCAAGGGACAGTTGTAGCTATTCCTAACTAGTTTATGCCAGTGATATTTGTTGTAATTACATATTCTAGTACTATGTAAAGCCATGAAATATGAGTGCAGAAAGATAATTGTTTCTGGTACAGCACAGTCGAGTTCTTTGGAAAGGTTCGGTGAAAGGGGGTGCTGCTGAATGTATTGCTGTCCATTAGATGCAAGTGAGACAACTATGGCGGTTGCGATAAATGCTGATAAAAATCTAGAGGAGCCGGGCCTGGTGGCTCACGCTTGTAATCCCAGCACTTTGGGAGGCCGGCAGATCACCTGAGGTCAGGAGTTCAAGACCACCCTGGTCAACATGGTGAAACCCCGTCTCTACTAAAAATACAAAAATTAGCCGGGCATGGTGGCACATGCCGATAATCCCAGCTACTCGGGAGGCTGAGGCAGGAAATTGGCTTGAACCTGGGAGGCGGAGGTTGCAGTGAGCCAAGACTGTGCCATTGCACTACAGCCTGGGCGACAGAGCGAGATTGAGACTTAAAAAAAAAAAAAAATTAAAAAAAAATCTGGAGGGAGTCCACATACACATTGCTTGACAAGTGCCTTTCAGCTCTAGCCCCACTTTAAAAACACAGAAAAGGGTTGTTAGATTCATGTCTTATGGATGCAGCTTATGCAGGAAAGACCACGAGGCACTCCACACAGCAGACTGACTCTCAGAAAAGGCTTTACTCAGGCAGAAAAAGGTCAGTCCATGTATGTACAGTCAGCCCCCACTGAGCCAACCGTGGATCGACACTATTCAAGGAAAAAACACAATAAAAATAACAAAACAACAACAAAAATATAAATAAAAAACAATACAGTATAACAACTATTTCCATAGCATTTATATTGTATTAGGTGTTAGAAGTATTCTAGAGATGATTCAAAGTATACAGGAGGATGTGTGTAGGTTATGTCCACATACAACATTATTTTATGTAAAAGACTTCACCCTCCACCGATTTTAGTATCCAGTGGCAGAGGAGGTTCTGGAAGCAATTCCTTGTGGATTCAGAGGGACACTTTATAAATGGTTTTTTTCTTTTACCAGGGATCTGTGAGATGGGGGATCGGGTAACAGCTGTCTTGAGATACAATTCACCTATCATACAATTCCTCCATTTAAAATTCAGCGGTTTTAATATCTTCACAGAGTTGTACAACCTTCACCACAATCCATTTTAGAACATTTTTATTATCCCCAAGAGAGACCCTATAGCCTTTAGCAGTCACCCTATTTCCTTCCCACCTCTCAGCCCTAGGAAACCACTAATCTACTTTCTGTATCCATGGATTTGCCTGTTCTGCATGTTCCATATAAATTGAATGATACAACATGTGGCCGTTTGTGTCTGGCTTCTTTCATTTAGCATGATGTTTTCAAGGTTCATTCATGTTTCTACATGTACCAACATTTCATTCTTTTTTACGGCTCAACAGTATATCCTGTTGTATCAGTATACTACATTTTGCTTATTCATCAGTTGATGTTCATATGGGCTGTTTGCCTTCTTGGCTGTTATTAATAATGCTGTTATGAACATCCTTGTACAAGTTTTTGTGTCAACATATGTTTTAATTTATCTTGAGTATATACCTTGGAGGGGAATTGCTGGGTCATAAGGATGATTCTGTTTTTGAGGAACTGCAAGATTGTTTTCCAAAGCAGCTGTGCCATTTTACATTCCCACCGTGAGACCATGAGGGTTCCAGTTTCTTCACATCCACTCCAACATTTATGATCTTTCTTTTAATTGTAACCATCTTAGTGGTGGTGAAGTGGTATTTCATTGTGGTTCCAGTTTCTTCACATCCACGCCAACACTTATGATCTTTCTTTTAATTATAACCATCATGGTGGTGAAGTGGTATTTCATTTTGGTTCCAGTTTCTTCACATCCACGCCAACACTTATGATCTTTCTTTTAATTATAACCATCATGGTGGTGAAGTGGTATTTCATTTTGGTTCCAGTTTCTTCACATCCACGCCAACACTTATGATCTTTCTTTTAATTATAACCATCGTAGTGGTGGTGAAGTGGTATTTCATTGTGGTTTGGATTTGCATTTCCCTGATAATTAATGATGGTGAACATACTTTCATGCACTTGTGGCTATTTGTATATTTTCCCTACAGAAATGTTTTTCAGACCTTTTGCCTATTTTTAAAATTGGGTTATTTGTCTTTTTATTACTGAGTTGTAAAAGTTATTTCTGTATTTCAGGCACAACCCCCTTATCAGATATATAATTTGTAAATTTCTCTCCCACCCTGTGGGTTATCTTTTCACTTGATGCACAAAAGTTTCAATTTGGATGAAGTTCAGTTTCTCTGCTTTTTTCTTTAGTTGTTTGTGCTTCTGGTGTCACATCTAAGAAAGCAATGCCTAAGAGCTTTATAGTGTTACTGTTAGCTCTTACACTTAGGGTTTTTTGGTTTTTTTTTTTCCCCAAGATGGAGTCTTGCTCTGTCACCCAGGCTGGAGTGCAGTGGTGTGATCTCGGCTCACCACAACCTCTGCCTCCCAGGTTCAAGCAATTCTCCTGCCTCAGCCTCCCGAGTAGCAGAGATTACAAGCGTGTGCCACCACCCCAGGTAATTTTTGTATTTTTAGTAGAGACGGGGTTTCACCACGTTGGCCAGGCTGGTCTCAAACTCCTGACCTTGTGATCAGCCTGCCTTAGCCTCCCAAAGTGCTGGGATTACAGGCGTGAGCCACCACACCCGGCCTGCACATAGGTGTTTAGACCATTTTGAGTTCATTGTTATACACTGTGTGAGGTAGGGGTCCAGCTTTGTTCTGTTTCCAACACCATTTGTTGAAAAAATGAATCTTTCCCCGTTGAATGGTCTTGGTAACATTAGTCAGACTCAATTGACCATAGATATACGTGTTTATTTCTGGACTCTCAATTCTATTCCATTGACCTATGTCTGTCCTGATGCCAGTGCCACATGGTTTCGATTGCTGTAGCCTCATAGTAAGTTTTGACGTGTGGACGTGTGAGCCCTCCAGTTCTGTAGTTTTTGAACATTGTTTTGGATATTCTGTGCCCTTTGATTTCATATGAACTTTAGGTTGAGTTTGTCAACTTCTGCAAACAATCCACCCGGGATTTTGATGAGGATTGTGGTTAATCTGTGGATCAGTTTCAGGAATATTGTCATCTTAACAATAGTAAGTCCTCCAACCTATGGACATGAGGTACCCTTCCATTCATTTAGATGTTCTTTAATTTCTTTCAGTTATATTCACGGTTTTCAGTGTGCAAGTTTTGCTTTTTTGTTAAATTTATTCCTGAGTATCTTATTCTTCTTGATGCTATCATAAATGGAATTACTATCTTAATTAAATTTTCAGATCATTCATTGCTAATATATAGAAATACAAATGATTTTTTATATTGATCTCATATCCTGAAACCATGCTGAACTCATTTTGAGCTTTATTGTTGTTGGGCTTTTCTCTGGATTCTTTCTATATGCAAAATCATGTCACCTGCAAATAGAAATCAGTTTACTTCACTCTGGATGTCTTTCATCTTGTCTTCTTTCCTGATTGCCCTGGCTGGAACCTCCACTACGATGTTGAATAGAAGCAGTGAGAGTGGACTTTCTTAGCTTGTATCTAGGGGAAGCATCCAGTCTGTCACCATTAAGTAGTATGTTAGCTGTGGGTTTTTCATAGATGCTGTTGATCAGATTCAGGAAGTTCCCTTCTATTCCTAGTTTGTTGGTTGTTTTTTTTTTTTTTTTTTTTTTTGAGATGGAGTCTCGCTCTGTCGCCCAGGCTGGAGTGCAGTGGTATAATCTCGGCTCACTGCAAGCTCTGCCTCCCGGGTTCACGCCATTCTCCTGCCTTAGCCTCCTGAATAGTTGGGACTACAGGCGCCCGCCACCACACCTGGCTAATTTTTTTGTATTTTTAGTAGAGACGGGGTTTCACCGTGTTAGCCAGGATGGTCTCAATCTCCTGACCTCGTGATCTGCCCACCTCGGCCTCCCAAAGTGCTGGGATTACAGGCATGAGCCACCGTGTCCAGCCTGTTGGGTCTTTTTTATCAAAAAGAAAGTTGGATTTTGTCAAATGCTTTTTCTGCATCTATTGAGATGACCATAGGGTTTTTGTCCTCTGTTCTATTAATATGTTGAATTACACAGATTGATTTTTCTGATGTTAAGCCAACCTTGCATTTGCGAGATAAATCCCACTTGGTTATGATAAGTAATCCTTTTCATATTAATAGAAGAGTTTGGAAGTGTTTCTTCCTCTTCCGTTTGTTGGAAGATTGTTATGAAGAATTTGTATTAATTATTCATTAAATTTTTTTTGAGATGGAGTCTCTCTGTCACCCAAACTGGAGTGCAGTGGCTTGATCTCAGCTGACTGCATCCTCCACCTCCCACGTTCAAGTGATTCTCCTGCCTCAGCCTCCTTAGTAGCTGGGATTACAGATGTATGCCACCACATCCGGCTAATTTTTTATTTTTTTATTTTTTTTATTTTTAGTAGAGATGGGGTTTCACCATGTTGGGCAGGCTTGTCTTGGACTCCTGACCTCAGGTGGTCCAGCCGCCTCAGCCTCCCAGAGTGCTGGGATAACAGGTGTGAGCCACCACACCCGGCTAAATGTTTTTTTTTGTTTGTTTTTTCCTGAGACAAGGTCTCACTCTGTCCCCCCAGCTGGAGTGCAGAGGTGCGATCATGGTTCACTGCAGCCTCTACCTCCTGGGCTCAAGCAATCCTCCCACTTCAGCCTCCCAAGTAGCTGAGACTACAGGCACACGTCACCATGCCCAGCTAATTTTTTAATTTTTTTGTAGAGACAGGTTCCCTCTATGATGCCCAGGCTGGTCTCGAACTCGTAGGCTCAAGTGACCCTCTCTCCTTGGGCTCCCCAAGTGCTTGGATGATAGGCATGAGCTACCATGCGCGGCCCTTCTTTAAATATTTGATAGAGTTCACCAGTGAAGCCATCTGAGCCTGCACTTTTCCTTGCGGGTAGTTGTATTATTACTAATTCAATCTCTTGTCACATTTTCTATTCTTCTCAAGTCTGTTTTGGTAGTTTGTGTCTTTCTATGAATTTCTCCACATATACAGGATTTAAGTTAAAGTAAAATGGGTTCAGTATGTATGTATTATGTTTGCATGTGTATGTGTGTGTGAAACTCCCCACTTTAAATAACTTTCTTATTCATTAACCAGGCAACCACTAGTCCCAGAGAAGAAGGCGTCTCTTGGCATCTGTGTGTCTTGGTGTTTTGTGCTTTCCTCAGCATGACTTTCTTCTTACCCTGTCATTTCTTTGGAGTGCGTCACTTCCCTCCTCCTCCCACACCATGGCCAGCTTCTGGGTTTTCCTGCGGTGGTTTAAAGTCATTTAGTTCCAGGCGAAATGTGTTAGAGTGTAAGCTCTTTGGGATGTCTTTTCTATGTCACTCCTCCTTAGCCCTTAAATCACAGCATCCCTTCACATCTTCATGACCCCTTTAGATTTAATTTTATAGAAGCTTTACTGCTCACTGCTGTTTCTGTGTTCTTTACCTTCCTGTATGTCGGCCTCTTTGTTCTGAGCGGGTTTTCATTTCTTGCATTCAGTTGTGGCTTTGGTTGTACTAACTCTTCATTTCTGGTGTTTATTTGTATCTGAGACCTTCCAAGTGAGAAGCACTAATTTATAAAGGGAGCATAATTAAGGAGGAAGGTCACTGTGGGCAAGTGTGTGTAAGCCCTTCGGCCACCCTTTCCCAATCAACTAATTTCTTTTCTCAGAAAGAACCTGTGGGAAGCCCCCCGAGCCACAGCTCCAGCCCCCACGGCCCTTCTCTGGTGCCCTGTTGTGCTGCGCCCTACAGAGGGGTGCTGGGCTGAGGGGATGACAGCCATGCCCTGACCTCCCACAGGAAGGAGCACCTCTTCCCAATTTGCCCCCAAGGCAGCCCTGCAGCCTGGCAACTCTGCTCCACTGTGCGGGTCTCAGCCCCACTTTCCCAGCCCCTCTCCCTGCTCCTCCATGTTAGCAGGAAGGACCCAGGCTGTGATTTCTATTGTGATTGATGTGCTGACAACTTACACAATTGATCAAAATTCCAGCCGTAACCATTTTTCAGGAAGAGTCCCAGTTTTGTGTTTACTGATCTGTTCACTTCTTTGCTCACTCATTCATTCATTCAGTTAGTCAGCAATTATCTCAGGGGCTTTGCTATGTGTCCAGTGCTGGTGGGAATCTAGGAATAGCAAGAACAAGTCTCCAAAGAACCTGAAACTCCCATCTTATTTCTGTGGATCAGCAATTTGGGATCATTAACTGCCGATGGAACTAGCATAATGCATGCTTGTATCCATGAGAAGCAAAGCGTTCTGCCTATTGTCAGAACTGATGAAGCTGAGCTACTCTAATATGTGTGGAAATCGTGGCAAAAGACATTCTGATGATACAATGTGGTTGATTGACATCATTTAGCAGAAAAGGTTTTTGATCATTTAAGTGTCTGTAATGTCATTTTTTTTTTGTTTTTAAATGTCATCTCATTCTTCCACTTTTCTGATACATTGTTTTCTTCTTCACTTACTTCCTCGCCAGCTGCTGCAGCCTCAGGAATATCATCTACTATGACATGTATCTCCATTAGGCATGCGCTTATTAACTTCATCTTTCATTATTGTCATTTAGGTAGCTGTCTGCCCTACAGAGTTGACCTCCTTTAGACAGTGCAGAGGGGGCACTGTGCCTTCCATCGCGTGGTAACTGTGGGTTTGCCCATGGAGCTGGTTAAGCGGTGCTGGCTGGTCAGGGACACGACACCACCCCATGGGAGCCACAGCATCACCAAGTTCACCAGTGTCTTCTCTCCGCCTCACCCCAGCACTGGCTGCACCTGCTGGAGAGGGCACTCTGGGGACCCACAGTAACCTTGAGGTCCTTGAGGCCTGGGCTCCACAGAATTGTCTCTGGACAGTAGGTGCTACTTATCTATCAGACCAGGAACTTCATCCAAACAGCTAATGCAGACAATCATAAAAATGATGTGGACACACAATCGTTTTTCTTTGACGTCAGATATGCTAATGAGCATCTGTCAACCAGTCATCTCATTTGGGGCTGTGGTCATCCCTTTGGTTATGGGTCTGTTGTCCTGTCTGGGTGTATTTCTTGCAGAAAGTTTGTGGAAATCACACCATCAATGATTTTCAGATTCAGTTCCTCTAAAGTGGAGCCAGCCAGGGGAAGCCAGCCAGGGGAGACAGACCTTCCCTAGATTTTTATGATTCTTCTCTGCTCTTAGACCTGCCTTGCCTGGACTTGACTTGGCAGCGGTTTCTGCTTGGCTGCCCTCCTTTATTGAGTCTTTCCAAAGCATTCAACTTGGTTTTCACAGAACGAGCAGCTCTTCCTGTCTGCATCCCTATTTCCTTATGCAATTACAGTCATAATGAACACAGGCCTCACCCTGTGCAGTAAGGCACCCTGGAGCCCTGGGTGGGCATGGAACCTACCTGGGGGTGGCGGCAGGACCAGGGGGCCGCAGGGCGGGCTCTCCCCAGGGTCTGGAGCGCAGAGCGGGAGCTCCAGCTCATCTGCAGGGTTGTCCAGGAGGAAGTTGATTCAGCAAACTTCGGTAGTAACAAGCCTGCTGTTTCTACCAAGTCTAAGGAAGGCAGAGGGAGAAGGCCCTTCCCTGTAATTCTGAGTCTTTCTGGAAAAATTCAGAGGTGTGTGTGCTCCCTTCAGGAGCCAGGATGTGGCAAGGACATTGGTAGAGGGAGCAGGGAGAGTGGGTGCTGGGCAGGAAACCACTAAATATAAAGGGAGGTGAGCAGACCCGGCTGGGACCTGGAGGAACAGGCAGCTCAGAGCTCCACGGTGTTTCTGCAAATCCCCGGCCCTTGTCCACAGACCCCTGATGCCTGCCCTGCCCCACCTTGTTCCCGATGGCAGGAGATGGAGGCATGGGCTGGATGAGCTCATACTAATGATCCAAGCCTTCCTTTCAGCCACACAGCACTGCTGTCTGGGTCTGTGTGAGCAATGGTGCTTCTCAGGGAAGGGGACTGAGACTCACAGGATCAGAAATGTGCTCACATCCTGTGGGCCCTCAGTGCCCAGGCAGGGCCCAGAGACAACTGACTTGCGGTCTGACTCCCGGTCCCAGGCAGGTTGACCTCTTCACGATCTCCCTCAGATCCCAGACTCTGGGCTGTGTGGATAGACTGAAATGTTCGGGGCTCTGTGTTAAGTGGGCTTTGGGAAGCTGCCCAAGGCCAGGTAGCCTTAGTTCTCATCCTCCATCACTTCCACGTGCACCCACCTGAGAAGGTGGACAGCACACACCTGAGTTCGGATCCCCTCTCCCCGGAGCAGACTGAGCAGGGGCTCTTCTCCAGCGGGGTCTCAAATCCTCACTCCTGTTGTGCGGGGACAGCCCTGGGCACTAGTGATGCCCACATCGGGTGCATGAGCCCCAGCTGGGCACCAGACACAGGTGTACCTTTGTCACCACATGGATCAGAGAAGACAGTTACAGATCAGGGCAAACAGAGCCACCTGGGAAAGAAGGGACTGTTCACAGCCCCTTTTTTGCCCTCCACCTCCAGGTGCAGAGTTGAGCTTTATACCTGGCAGTCAACATGCAGGTGAGGCTGCAGAGCCTGGAGCTTGGGTGGGATGGGGGAGGGGTGGCTGCCCACTGGCTTTTCAGGGTCACAGGCATTTCCGCTGGTCCTGAAGGTGACTGGGAGGCGCCAGGTGAAAGGGAGGTGGGGAGCTGGGAAGAAGGAACAATACGTGTTTGATAGTAGGGATTAGAGCTGGTTTGTTCAAAGAGCGGGGAGTTTGGGGGCGCTGGGTTAGGAAGCTGGAAACCAGATGGAGTTCAGTGAGCCAGGGTCTCATTAAAGTCTTTTCAACTGCAGTGACCTCATCAGATTGATTTAAAAACAGCTGTGGTAGCAGGATGGCGACCAAATTACAGAGACAGAAAATCAAGGCAGAGAGGCACACAGGTTAGAAGCTCCTGCGAGGAGGAGGTGGACAGGGGCTGAGTGGAGTTGCCCCGCAAGGAGGCGTCTGCCCGTCTCCTCTGCAGAAGTTTACTGAGTACCCGCTGTGTGCGATTGTGAGACGGGTACAGAGGTGGGTAAAATAGATGTGCCCCAGATGGTCAGGAAAAGAAATTGCCCTTAGGATTTCAACACAGTTACGGGGAGCAGGTTACTTGGGTGTGGAAGGCTGAAGGAACAGAAGAGGGTGCTGAGCTTACAGAGAGTGGAATAAGTGCGGAGGGCAGCTCTCAGCCCGCAAAGCCGGGGAACAGAAGGGAGGAGGTGGGAAGGCGCAGGAAACCCGCAGCTCCCTCCTCGCCCCGCAGGCCGGCCAGGTGCCCTCTGGCACCCCCTACAGGCAGAGCCTGCCGGCAGCCCAGGCACGGCAGCCTGGGAAGCGTAGTCTGCAGACCTCCAGCCCCAGCCTGCAGAGCAGAGGACAGAGCTGGCCACCCTGGGCCGCGAGACACACCCAGACCTAATTAAACACACACTGATGGTGGGGAAGAGAGGGGAGACGTCAAGCGCCACTTGCAGGATTCTCGCTGGGGAGGCTGAGGAGTCAAGGTCAAAGGATTCCTGGGAAAAGGGTCCAGGAAGGTGGGGCCAACATGTCCCCGAAAGGCGACCCGGAGCAGATGCAGCCGCGTCCTTTGACCTTTACATAGCCTCCAGTGTGTGGCAGCCTCTGCTCACTTGCACCTGCGGAGAGGGTCCCTTGCACCTCTGCCCCTCCTCAAATGCTTGTTCTCCTTCCTGGTGGAATGGTGCCTTGAATTGGAAAGTGTTTTGGTGTCTGCATGTCATTAGTTTTGCTTGGGTATGTCATTGATATTTTTTCTAATTTCTGATAGAGACTAATTGAAAATATTTCCTGATTAGACCTGAGGGCATTTGCCCTCGCCCTGCTTCTCAGCTCTGTGCAGCAGGCATCAGGACTGACAGCCTCCAAGGCGGAGGACCACAGACGCACATGCGTCCCGCTCACAGCGGATGATTCACCTCTGTTTCGGACAATTAAACACACGCAGCCGTGGGTCGGTCCAGCCAGAGAGGCGAGGAGTGTGCTCCGTGTGTTAGGAGGCCCACGGGAGCCATTTTCCTGTGATGTGTTAGACCTTTAGACACGGCCACCAGCCTTTCTTCGTCAACCTAGAGCATGCTTATTTCACAGCGCTTGACCCCATTCAGAATCGTCACCTCACCCATACCCGTGCAAAAGTGCTTCACGTCCTGGCCTCTGTCAGCTCCAGCCCACCCTACCCCTGCTGCCAGAAGGCACCTCCTACCACGCAGCTCCAGTCCCCCTGCTCCCCAGCTCCAACACCCTTACAGGCTCCCCAGTGCCCCAGAATTAAGAATTGACTTCCAGAGCCTTATCTATTTGCTTTTCTTAAACACATCCTTCCCTGGCTCACCTGTTCTGGGGCTTGAGTGTCTCCCTGAGCGCCCACTAGATGAAATCCCACCAATCTTTCAAGACCCGTTCAGATGCGTTCTTCATGAATGCTTTGGGGAGCGCAGTCCCCACACAGTGCTTGGAGACCTCACTGTTTTCTAATGGAGCTGTCCTTGCTTGTGTAGGGTGATTCTGGGTCCCTGTCTTCCCCTCAACACACACACACACACACACACACGCATACACACACATACACATACACACAGAGACACACACATCTACATGCACATACACATACACATATACACATGCACATACACATACATACAAACACACACATACATATATACACAGACACATGCACATGCACATACACATGCACATGCACACACACACACAACACACACATACAGACACACACGCACTCACCCTTCCTCTCCTTACCTCACCTGCCCTGCGCCAGGAGGGCCCCTGGCCCAGAGCTTTTGCAGCATGGATCTTCTTGCCGTGTAGACACTCATAGGGCGGCATTGACTGGAGCTGGAGCAATGTCCCAGGCATCTCACGCCACAGGTGACCTCTGGGCAGCAGAGATGTGAAGGTGGAAAGAAAAGCAGTTGGTTGTTGGTTAGTCCTTCAGAAACGGAAAACTAGGCAGAAACAGGTTTCATTTTTGTTAAAGTGATTTCACCTCACTATTAAAGCAGCATCTCGGTGTTCAAGGTTGGCCAGTAGAATGTTCTGGAACTCATGAAGTTGTCTCTCTTTCCTCAGAGCAGTGTTTTACAAACTGTGTGAAATCCTGAGACTGCAAAATATTAATAGATACTACGTGTCCAAAGGGGCCCATTATGAAATATTTGAGAAATGCTGGGTTAAAATGTTAAACAGCTAAATAAGTACTTCAGCACAGCCCTTCTCAGAGCCTTTAACACACGAATGCACAATGCAGGACTCCAAGAAGGGAGCATGTGGCATTTCCCACAGATTGACCACGGGAATTCTGGGGTGGGGTGGGGACATTTCGAGGGGAGGGTCTAGTGTTTTCTCATGAACACACTTTGAGAAATGCCGTCTTTGTTTGTTTGTTTTTTCAGACAGAGTCTCAAAAACACTCCAGTCTGTTGCCTAGGCTGGAGTGCAATGGCACAATCTTGGCTCACTGCCACCTCCGCCTCCCGGGTTCAAGCAGTTCTCCTGCCTCAGCCTCCCAAGTAGCTGGGATTACAGGCATGCACCACTACGCCCAGCTAATTTTTTGTATTTTTAGTAGAGACGGGGTTTCGCCATGTTGACCAAGCTGGTTTCGAAATCCTGATCACAGGTGATCCACCCGCCTCGGCCTCACAAAGTGCTGGGATTACAGGCATGAGCCACCACACCCAGCCGAAGTGCCGTCTTAAACCACGCACGTCAGGCAGCCTTCCGTCTGCAGTCTTTGAGTACTGTCATCAGAGGGGCCAGTTGGAGTGGTAGGGACAGCATGAAAGACTTCCCAGACCATATGTTTTCTTTAAAAAGAGGCATTCTGTATAACAGCGTGGGCAACAAAGCGTTTTGAGACTTCTGAGACGAGGCGTTCCTCCTGGCGCCTTCATTTTAAAGTGTGTGCTTAGCAGTCATGGCTTGACAGTTGAAATTACAGGCATTCCAAACTGATCATTAAAGCTCTCGTATAATTAGCTTAATGAGACACAAGCCACACAAGATGTCCCAGATAACTCTGTGGTTGTCTCTGTTTTCCAGTTCCTTCCGCAGAGGTCACATCCTGCCAACCCCACCTGCGTGACTCCTCACGGCACCGTTCTCCACCAGACCCTGGATTTCGACGAGTTCATCCCCCCACTCCCGCCTCCACCCTATTACCCCCCAGAGTACACCTGCACACCGTCCACTGAGGCCCAGAGGTTGGTCTCCCGCGGCTGCCCCCATCTCGAAACCACTAAGATGGGCAGCAGTGTCCGGGTGGTGGGAGTTGCAGTGGTCCTGCAGGCATGGCGGTGAGAACAGAGGAGGGGCAGTGGAAGGAGAGGGTCTTAGACATACAGCGTTCCCCGTGGCACCTTTGCAACGCAACCCGAAAGAAGCCGGAGGCAGACAGGTGTTGCTGCCTTAAGTTCTCATGACGTGCAAAGCTGCGGTCACGTTGCAGTCATTTGTGTAACATGTACAGTTTAATGAAAGATGTAATCAGCTGTATGATTATTTGAATTTTAATGGACAGGTCAGTAGAGTTTATTGAAAATGTTGATGTCGTTCCAGAAAAAAAAAAAAAACAAAAGTGCAAATCGCCCAGTGACTGAAGCTTTGATTTCACAATGATGGGAAGTATTAGAAGAGGGGAAGCCCTGGCCGCCCCTGCTCTGGCGGCTTTGAGAGCTGTCAGCACTTCTGCCTCCTCCTTCGGGCAATGACGATGTGATGATTCTGTCTTTTCAGGGGCCTCCACCTGGACTTTGCTCCGTCTCCATTCGGCACTTTGTATGACGTGGCCATCAATAGCCCCGGCCTGCTCTATCCTGCTGAGCTCCCCCCTCCGTACGAGGCGGTGGTGGGCCAGCCCCCTGCCAGCCAGGTGAGGCCTGGGGCCCCAGACAAAGCCAGTTCCCGTGGGAATGCTAGGGACACCGTCCCGGCCTGCCCTCGGAAGGCACCTCACACCGCGCCAGGTCCGAGCTGGCTGTGAGGTGAACACTCATGAGCGCCCTGTGCCGAGGCCCCCGGATGCATTCATCTCTCTTGAAGCCTTTCAGCAAACCTGTGGGATGTTGGTCTTATCAGCCCTGTGCTGTAGATGAGGCCACAGGCTCAGAGAGCGGCACCTGCAGAGACGCCAGCCCGGGCCTGGGGAACCCAGTGCTGGTGCTTTTCCCCTTAGATCCCCAGTTCCATTTCTGCAGCCACGAGTCACAGCCCAGGTGCGTCTGAGCTTTGTGCTGGTAGGTGGTCTGGGATCCAGGTAAAAGGACCTGGGACAGCTCCTGACCCAAGGGGAGAGCCCCCAGGAGCAGAGCTGGGTCCATGGACCGAGTACCCAGGGCGCCCCGGCCTGTCTTGATCACACACTGCCATCACCGCCCTCTGGGGTGGGGAGAAAGCAGCCCTGGATCCCTGGTCCTGTCTGAGGCCAAGAAGCTTCAGGCCAGGGAAGTGCCTCAGTTGCCAGGTCCTTTCAGCCTTCTCTGAGCTGGGCATGCCAGGCACTCCTGCAGCCTCATGGTGCCTGACACGTGACAGGCAGTATGTTCGTGGAGCCTCAGTTTCCTCATCTGTAAAATGAGGATCATAACAGTACCAGGGTTATGGGACGAAATGGGATGTTGTCCGTAATGGAGCCAACAGGACTTGGAACATGGGAAGTTCTGAATTCAGCAAGTCAGTCACCCTTTTGGGGTATTGTTTCCTCCTCATCATCGTTGTTGTCATGACTCAGTGTGGAATGCTGCTAGCCAGGACAGAGAGATGGGGACATCTGGAAAAGTCACGTGGCCCATAGTGCAAGGGATCTTCCAAGGACCCACCCTCCAAGGAACATGGGGTTATGTAAATAGACCAAATCGACAGCTCACTGGTGTCCCTGAAATACAGGGAGAGAAAGCAAACGACTGGAAAACATATTTTAGGATATCATCCATGAACATTGCCCCAATCCTGCTAGAGAGGCCGACAGTCCAGTTTAGGAAATGCAGAGAACTCCCGTGACAGGTGGCCAAGGAGGTCCTGGAGGCCTCGGGGACTGGGGCATGGCTGGGGAACACAGCAGTGAGTTGGAGCAGAGGGCGTGGGCAGGGGAGACTTGCAGATTCACCAGGGAGGGGCGGGGGTAGGGGCTGAAGCCAATTCTGAGCCCAAGCAACAAGCAGAGGAGAGCAGATGACAGCATGACCAGAAGCATCCAGGCCCACCCAGAACTGCACCTGCTTTGGGCTTCTCAGCAGCCGTGGAGCCCCGGATGGTTATCTCTACCCAGATCACTGGCCAGGCACTGGTACCGGGCATCAGATCAGGCCTGGCCAGCTGCTCGCTGTCTGCTGACTCCTGTAAAGACACCCTAGCACAGGGTTCAGACCTTTTGATGTCACCCCCAATGCTCTCCCTGTCACTTTGAGATCCCGAGAGCCCACATGCACGCAAGCCAGGTGGCAATGCTGGTCCCTGTCCCAACCAGTGACCAAGGCAGCGCTGACCCTGAGGAGCTTCTGTGGGTGGAGGAGCAGTTTCCATGTTGGCTGAATAAGCTCACAAGCCCTTCCGACAATCACACCCACAAGGACTGGTCACCGTTGCAGGCAGGGTGGTCTTAGGACAGGAAGAGATGTGACTTCTCTGTGCCCTGTGGAGTCATATATGGACAGCGCATTCAGACGCTGTAAGGTGCCCCGCACCTGGGGAGTCATATATACCACAGGGACCTCCTTCAGGGTGGCTTGTGGTGGGCCAGATCAGCTTCCGGCTGGCCCGTGAGCCCCCAGCACATCCTCACACAAGCAGACAGTCCCCAAGCAGCCACCCTGAAACACCTGGAGCAGCCAGGCAGGCTGCAGACAGTGGCCCCCTGAGCCCCGGCCAGGACCCCCTTTTTACTGTGGGTGCTAGAAGCAGATGTGTGGGAGCTGCCTGTGGAGAGGAATCCTTTAGTCAGGAGGTGGGCATGGCCCTGAAATCCCATTCCTGAACTGGCAGTAATGGAGATGTTCTTAGGTGTTTTTATAAAGCTGAGCTGGGACCTCTGCCTTCCCAATGTTGTTTAGTTTTCCATTTATGATAAAAATAATTCAAATCAATGTTATCAGTGGAGACAGTTGGCTGTGATAATAGTTGTCATCAGCACTGCAAGGGGAGCCCAGTACACTGTGGGGCACCTGTCATGATGTCAGGCCCAATTTGGGGGTCCATGGAAGGTCTGGGAGGTCAGGCTGGGTGGGCATCAGGCATGCGAGGTGCAGGGAGTGGGGCTGGAAGGGCTCCTGAGAGAGGGAACAGCCTGTGCAAAGGCTCAGAGGGAAGAAGGACAGGCACAGCGTATCCCCCAAACAGAAGGTCGTCCGTAAAGAGTCTCGGATGAGTGTGCATGGGTGTTGACCTGTCTGGGTGTGGTGGGTTGAATTCTGAGTGAGTGTCCACCAGATGACAGGAGCTGTAGTTCATAGTGATCAGAGTTAGCTGCCGCTGTCACTGGGGCCTGGGAAATGTGAGAGAGGGAGCCCCACAGAATGACACCATTGCAGGTGGCAGGAGAAAGGCACCCCCACACACGACAGGCTACAGGGCACTAGGCAGGGCTCCCAGGAGCCTGGATTTGCCAAAACCAGCAGTTCTGGAAGAAAGCAATGGGTCAGGTGCTGTCCAGAAGCTAACATCCAGGGCCACGTGGCGCACCATGGAGGGGCTGCTGGTGGCCTTGGCAGAGCAGCTTTGATGCGATGGAGGGCAGGGCTGGACCACACCAGGTAAAGGAGTGGACGGCACGTGCGCAGGGGAGCGCAGGTGTGGCTGTGGTTTTCAGACACCAGTGGGTGTCCCTGTGGGGAACTTGATAATCAAATCCTAATGACTGGGCCCACCCCCAGGGCTCCTGAGTCAGTAATTGGGGTATTGAAGTTGGGGGTATAAAAGCCTCAGCCCTGCTGCTGCTCCCACTTTGAGAGCAGGAGTAGATCACTCTCGCAGGATGTTTGGTAAAGAGGAGAGAAGATGGGATGGTAGGTAGAGGGGAGTGTGGATCTAGGACCTTGAGGAGGTTACCAGGCAGATGTGGAAGGACCTAGATACTGGGGATGGCAGGCCCAGGACAGGGCCCTCCGTGAGGGAAGCCCCTGGGAAGGCAGAGGGGAGGCTGACCGAGGGTGCAATGGGAAGCTCCATGCTGTAGCCAGCAGGGGCACCGGGCAGGGCGGCAGATGGACCCGGAAACCCCTGAAGGCGGCAGGGGTGTGTGGTTCCCCATGGCTGCCTTGTGGCGCGGGGGCAGCTCTGTCCCCTTCACCGCCTCTGCTCAGTGACCCTGCCTGCTGCCATCACAATTCCGGCTCTGCACTGGGACTGGCTCTGAGCCTGCTTCCCGGTTCTCCCTGCCCCTTGGACCCCTCTGCCTCCTGACGACAGGAACCCCTGTCCGTGGAGCCCAGACCCTGGCTTCCCGAGGGCCCTGCCTGCTGGAAGTAGCTTCTGGACCTGGGTGTGCCATTCAATGTCTGACCTCACAGCGGCCCCCGGAAGGAATGGGTTCCTGTTGTGTTCACAGTTTTACTGTTTTCTCTGAAGAATAGAATATATTGGAAGGGATCTGGCTGGTTCTGAAACCAATGCGACACCCTTCTCCAGAACTCTGGGGAATTCTCTCAGTTGAGATCTCTTTCTCAGAACTGCGGTGAGAACAGCTGAAAGGTCAGAGGCTGATCTCGAATTAGCATGTGTTGGCTCGGAGACCCCCAGCTCCCAGTGCTGGCAGGGGCACAGCACGACCGCCTGCAGGGCCTGTCCCTGGGCGCCCGCCTGGCAGCAGGGCAGCATCTGGTGATGAAGGGGCCGCTAGAGCCCTCGGGCCCACTGTCTTTGACCCCATGGCCTGGGAGCACTTTTCAATTCACGGCCGTGTCTGGGAGTCTGGAAGTCAAAGAAACCCATTACCGTCCACAGAGGGAAGGCCGTGCCGCCAGCTGCACCACCAGCTGTCCCCTCCCCAGGCAGCAAGGCCCCTCTGACTAGACAGCAAGGAGCACCCCTTCACAGCACGACCCCGCAGCCCGGGCGAGGCAGGGTCAGTAGTGCTCCTCCTTGTTAGGACAAATGGCGTAGAAAGTGCCCTCGGCCTCAGTTTGGATAAAGAGAGGAGGCTGCAGAAGGCGGGCTCTGTCGGGGAGGAGCTGACTCTGGGGCGGGGCAGGGGGTGTGCTGGGGAAGAGGTTTAACCCAAGAGGGGGCGGCCTCCACGAGGGTGGGCTCCGTGAGCACTCGCATGGGTGACGGGCCGTGCACACTTCCCTTCCGGCTTAGGTCAGATGCCATTCTCTTTCCTGTGGTTTGAGGCTGTACTCTTCAGCCAGTGTTCAAGGAGTGAGTTTCTTTTGATAGCAGGAAAGTGATTGAGAAATTACCAGTTTGATCTTCTTGTCTGGGTGGCAAGCGTATGGTTCAGGGGCCACTGACGACGGTGGCCCTCCAGAGGATGTAGGACAGAATCCCCCTGTCGTGGCACTCTCGCACTCTCACATGGAGACCGGACAGACACGAACTCCTTTGAGGCTTCTGCAGAGGAATCGGGCCTGGTGATCTGGGTGGGCTGGGGTGCGTGTAGAGGGGGAGGTGATATGGGGGGGCTTGTCGGGCTGGGGTGTGTGAAGGAGGGGGAGGTGGTGCAGGTGAAGGTCACAGCACCAGCTAAGGCGCATGGCAGGACAGCCTGGAGCCTGGCTGTGGGAGCTTCAGCACCCCAGGGCTGAAATCATTTGGGCAGATATTTTATGGCTTTGGATGTCAAACTGTAGAAGTGCCCTTGAGGAGTTTGGCGTCTTGGGTGCGACCCAGTGATGCTTTAGGAGTTTAATTTGGTGGCAGCATGCCAGGTGGAAGGGAACCTGAGTGCGAGACAAGGAGTTGTGAGAAGGGAGAGGGACCAGCAGAGTCCAGGAGCAGCACCAGGTCCTGACACTTACGATCCACATAAAATCTGTTAGCAAAGTGTCTTCAAAGTTTGCCTTGAGCCACCAGCCTAAAATTTTAACTCACATTTTCCATAATCGCTGGAATTGCCCCAAACGAAGAGCTCTTCATAAATCTGTTTCTAATGGTTGGCCTCACCCAGGAGTGGGAAACTACAGAATGGGGCAGAATTTCCATGCAAGTGTCTTAGCTTCATACAATTTGAATTATTTGTTGAAAAGCCAACTTATTTTCCAGTTACGATGACTGTTCAGAATAGCACATCTGCAAACCAGTAAGACCCAGGTGAAGTGATTCCCACAGCGTCTCCTGTCAACAGCCCTCTCCCCGCTCTCCTTCTGTAAGGAGCTGTGTTTATGAGCTTCCTCACTGAACTCAAATTTCAACTTAAATTCTATGCCACAAATATATTTCTTCCCCACCCTTTTCTACTGCTGTTATAGTTCATCAAAAATGCTGTATGAAAGGAAGTGCTATTTTCCCCATGGCTTAGCGTGGCAAGGTGGCTTCTGACATCAGGGAAGGGCCACATTTAAATTAAACTCTTGACACTCTGCTTGCGAGAGGTGATAGATAGGCTCCCAGGAGCTGCCTCCTCTGGAAACCAAATCTGACCGGGAGCCAGAAGGAAGTGAATGATGCTTCTGCACAACATGAAGTGAATCCAGTTTCCTCCTGACCTTGTCCCACTGTATATTTTCTTTCTCTTGTTTTATTTATATTTCTTTATTACCAGAAGATTTTCTTTTAGACAGCGGAGTTCTAAGTTAACCACCCGTCTACGATCCAAAAGAAAAGCAAGTCCGAGAGAGGGTTAGATACGGGAGGGGAGACACAGGATGAAACAAACCGTTAGGACATTGTTCGCTCTTTGTGATTCAGTGGAAGGTTCTGGACAGAGATTTCCAGGACTGGTTATTGGCACATAATGACTTCAGTGAAAAAGCAGGTGGGTGCTGATGGTGGGGTGAATTCTCCCTCACCGATTCCCTCCCAGCAGAATGAGAGGGCTAAGGAAGAAAAATAGTATGGACCGTATTATGCGAAAGCATCTTAGTGAGATCAAAGGACGCACTTGGGCAGCTCTCCGTCTTCTCTTTGTCTCGGAACCACCTCTCGAGCCCCACGCTGTGGGGGCAGCTCACACCCTTTGTGTGGGTGGGAAGGCTGCAGCCCCAGCCCCCGCCCTGGTGTCAGCCTGGTTGAAGAGGAGAGATGAAGGAGACCAGCTATCTGATTGAAGTGGCGGGAGATAAGGGAGGCAGAAATGTAATTACCTGAGCTGGAATCAGAGCAAGTCGCAGGAGCCCCCCTCACCTTCCCAGTCTCCTCTGGAGCTCATTATTTGCAAGTGTATCCCCAAAGCAATTCTGAAATAACACAGGGATTCAAAAAATTGTTTTCTGAGGTAGCATGGGGTGCATGGGGGTGCTCATGCAACATGTGTGTAGCTGGCATCACATCCAAACATCGCATCCGGGAGGCCCTGATGCCCTCTGAGGTGGAAACCATGGCCCACGCAGAATGGGCAAAATGAAGATGGGGCAGAGAGCAGAGGAGGTATAGCCTTCCCCTTATTCTGAGGCCTCTCCAGGCGGAATCAGAGTATATCCAAGAAGAAAGCTGAAAAAAGCAGGGCGTGGTAGCTCATGCCTATAATCCCAGCTACTCAGAAGGCTGAGGCCTGAGGATCGCTTAACCCCAGGAGTTCGAGTCTGCAGTGAGCTATGATTGCACCACTGGACTCCAGCCTGGGCCATGGAGCGAGACCTTGTCTCTAAAATGTATAAATAAAGAAAAGAAAAAGAAATCGAAAGCCACAAAAGCTCGATGACTGTGCAACTCGTAGGCTCAGGTGGCTCTGTGGCCCTGCCAGGCTCTCTGATTGCAAAAGTTCAGAAAAATAGGCTTTCGGCCAGGGGCGGTGGCTCACACCTTGTAATCCCAGCACTTTGGGAGGCCAAAGCAGGCGGATCGCCTGAGGTCAGGAGTTTGAGACCAGCCTGGCCAAGATGGCAAAACCCCATCTCTACTAAAAATACAAAAAACTAGCTGGGCACGGTGGTGGACACCTGTAATCCCAGCTACTCAGGAGGCTGAAGCAGGAGAATCGCTTGAATCCGGGCAGCGGATGTTGCAGTGAGCTGAGATCGTGCCATTGCACTCCAGCCTGGGTGACAGAGCAAGACTCCGTCTCAAAAAAAGAAAAAAGAAAACTAGACTTTGGCCTTGGCAAGGGCAACTTGAACCCTCACACCCCACCTCATAAATGTAGGGGAGAAGAGTGGAGGTGTGGATGAACGTCTCTCAGCGCTTCCCACCAGGAGACAAGTTTAAGCGCCTACACTACTGGAGGCTGCTGTGCTGCGTTCCCACGGACCAGCCGCCTTGACGCTTTCTGTTTCTTACTGTAGGTTACAAGTATAGGTCAGCAGGTGGCCGAGTCCAGCTCCGGGGACCCAAACACCAGTGCTGGCTTCAGCACTCCAGGTAAGCTTACCTCTTTCAGCTCCTGAAGTGGGGTGTTCCTGTTTTCAAGGGTGTCTCTTTTTCGTCCTCGTCCTATTCTCTTCTCTTCTCTTCTCTTTTTCCTCCTCCTCCCTCCATTTCTTACTCTTTAAGAGGGTGGAGTTTGCAGCAGTCTTTCCCATTAAATACCCTGTATATCCCCACATTTCTTCCTGTGTCTGCATCCACTACAGTCAGCATATGCAGGAGATCTCCTGCGCTCTCCGGGGAGACCTTGTCTTCCTCTGCCCCACTTTCTCACTTGAGGGATATGGATTTGAAGAAGAGCACGACTCCATCTAGGGTCCCCTTTCCAGAGCCAAAGTTGTACCTACCGGGCAAATGTCCACACGGCACCTCCCTCTGAAGAAGGTGGCTGGGCTGGGCGGCTGGCAGGAGGGTGCAGGCTGGAAGTCATGTCCTTGAGGGCATTGAAGGACACGTGTGCAAGGGTCAAATCCCCAGACACAGAGGGTGGGTGTCGCGTGCAGAGCCGGGGCGGGGGAGGTGGTCTAAGGCTCCAGGAAAGCAGAAGGGCCCTTAGCAGCAGAGGGAGAAAGGGCACGGAGGCCAAGTGAGCCAGAGAGCCACCGTCTTGAGGCCCCTGCGAGGGGTCACATGGGCTGGCTTATTTGGAGAACAAAGTTAGATAACTCATGTGATCCCACAGAGGGCCAGGATGATCGCCCCAGGGCGCTCTGTCCCCTGCTGAACACTCACTCAGCATCTAAGAGAAACAGGAAGGAGCCATCTTTCTGAGGCCACCGGGGGTTGTAGAGCGCAGCATCTTTGCAGTCGTGGGATTTGGAAGCAATCTTTTCCTTCCTTTGGTCACTCCAAGCCATCAGAGGCTGTTCAAGAAGGTATTCAGTGACTTTCCCACGGCCAACCCAGGGTACAGTGTATCTCAGTCACTGTCACAGGGCGGCCACACCTGCAGCATTCCAGGGTTTGGGCTGAAGGGGGCTGGTGCTACCTGAGCCCCTTCCTGTTTCCCATCTCAGGGCAGGTGGAAATAGACAGGGGTGCTCCTCACCCAGAATTCAGCAGGGCTGGATCTTCCTCCCTCCTGGGACCTGGGCGGTGAACTCTACAGCTGACCCAGGGACCAGCAGAGCTTCCAGCACCGAGGCTTCTGCTGGGGTACAGGGGTCAGGACTCTCCTGAGTAGAGGACCACCTTGGTGGCTGTGTGACCCTCAACCCTTCCCTGTCTAAGCCCATTTCTGCAGCTGTAGGGTGGGGGTAACCTGGGGCTGCCTCACAGACGGACAGGAAGGATGAAGTGGGAGGTGGCCTGAAAAGCCTGTTGCCCATGGGCAGGCTCACAGACGCAGGGAAAAACAGAAAGGGATGGCAGGAACAGACCCAAAGCCCCCACGCCTGGAGGAGTCCAGGCTTCTGTGATCTATGAAGTGTCCCCCATGCAGGCAACTCCACTGTGGCGCCAGGAGGGGGCTCTGAGGGCACCTGGTGATGGGAGGGGAGAGTGCAGGAGCAGCTTATCACACTGTCACATGCATGCACACCCCGTGGAGATGGTATTAAAACAGACTCCGATCCAGCCCCCGTAGAGTGGTTCCCGGCAAGAGCCCAGCCCTGACCAGCATCCCGGTCCAGACCAGCAGTTCTTACAGTTTGGAGGGCATCAGAATTCCCTGGAGGGCTCGCTTCAACCCCGGTGGCTGGGCCCAGCGCCAGAGTCTCTGCTTCCATGGGTCTGGGGTCCAGCTGAGAGTCTGCATTCCCCGCTTGTTCCCAGGGCAAGGCTGCTGCTGCTGCTGGCGTGGCGTCCACACCCTGAGAGCCAAGGCCAGTGTCTGGTGGGCGGAGTTTATCCCACCTGCCTGCACCACCCTGTCTGGCTGCACTCCAGGCCCGGGGCTGCACCCCTGCAAGGGCGGGCCTGAGATCTGGCCTGCCGCGACCTGGTGGGGATGCCTTGATGTCCCTTGGGGCTGCTGTGTACCCCTGCACTGGCCCTGTTCACCCAGACCAAAGCGTCTTGTGACCAAAGTGTCTGATTTCTGACTTTTAGTCTCTTGTGTAGTGTGAAGGGTCTAAGCCCCCGAACCATGCCATTCCTGGAATGATTTCTGGGAGCTCATCTGGTGCCCCCAACTTTCAACAGCATAAAGCAGCATTTGTCAATCTTATCCAGTGTTTCCGCACCCCCAGGGTTTCAGAGTTCATCTAGGTCTGGAGTTTGAGGGGCAGGCCTGTCCCACGCCAGCGTCCCCTGCGGCCGCCCACTCTAATGCCATGTCCCTTCTCTTGCAGTACCAGCTGACAGCACAAGCCTCCTGGTGTCCGAGGGCACTGCTACGCCAGGTTCCAGCCCATCCCCCGATGGCCCTGTGGGCGCCCCAGCACCCTCCGAACCTGCCCTTCCCCCTGGCCATGTGTCTCCAGAGGATCCTGGCATGGGCTCACAGGTGCAGCCAGGTCCCGGGCGTGTGTCCCGCTCCACCAGCGACCCCACCTTGTGCACATCTAGCATGGCAGGTAGGTTGGCCAGGCTCACCCATGTCCCCAGAGTGTGGCCAGCTTTCCTTGGATGCTGCAGGTCTCAGTGACCCCTGAGAGTGGAGGCCCGGCCCTGCAGATCCTGTCTGGGGCCACACTGGGAATGTGGTCTTGATGGCCCCTGAGCCAGGGGTGGGTGGGGAGCAGCCTGTGGGCCCCTCTGCACCCCACCAGGCTTGTCACTCTGGCAGGGGAGGAAGGATTCAAGGGGCCCGGGGCCCAGTCCAGGACATTAGCTATAAGTGCTGCACACGTGCTCCAGGGCCCAGAAAAGGCCTAGAGTCTGGCACAGGACAGATGACCCCCAACGATAGCTCTGGGCATGGGGGTGTCATCAGCTGGAGCCGCCCCACGCAGACACAGGTGCGTTTTCAGCAGCATTTCCCAGGCAGCTTGGCTCTCCACACAGCCCAGAGCTTTCAAAAATCGCCCCATGCGACTGTGTCTGCGGGCAGTGCCCTGGAGCCTAGGACCTGGCACCAGGTCCCTGTGGCCAGCAGCGCAGGAATTTGCATTTCACAGTAGCTCCCCGGGAGTCTTGGGCACCCCCGGCGCTGGAGAACTCACACCCAGTCCTCATCACTGTCTTTTGAGAGGAGGCACAGTTTCTGCCAATAAAGATTGGTGGGCCTTTGACCTCCATGCCATTGCTGTGGGGACTTTTCATGAAGTGGAAGTGCAGGAACCCTGAAGAGGGCGCAGTGGGTCCTGGCTCAGTCTCCCCTCGATGGTCTTGCCCAGCTGATCTCTACTGGAGCCCGGAACCGAGTCCCTGAAAGGAACCAGAGCCCGCAGTGGCCAGTTGCCTGGAGGTACCCTCCTGGTGGAAATACCAGGTTTGGCACATGTGGACTCCCTGGCTGCGGTCATCTCTGTATTCCTCCTTCCTGCATCCCATTGCCAGCTCACAGGGAGAGAGTCCCGTCAAACCTTCTGAAACACCCCCCTCTGCTGGTTTCTTGAGCTCCGGAACCTCTCTCCACCATGCTCACATTCACTCACTGAGGTTTGGAGGAGGATGCCCTGTACTTGGAGGGGCTCATGGGTCCACTCTGTGGCCCCCTGATGGCTTTGTTGGGCCTGTCCCTCTCAGTGAAATTCACACCTCGGCACCCACACACCCGCCTGACGCCTCTGTCCCCTCTTGGCTAGGCTGATGTGCACGCCGCAGGCACATGCCTTCCAGGGTGCCTGGAGCCCTTCAGGTGAGGGTGGGAATTCCCATGAAGGGTGCTGGGCTTTCTTTGAGCCACTGGCCCATTGCACTGTGTCAGGGTGGGACCTGGGACACCACTTGACCCACGGCAGGCCTGGCCAGCTGCAGGGCGGTTCCTGTCTGATCTGCCGCTCGGTGGGTGTCAGCTCAGCAGGCTTCTCCTGCTTGCTCGCCATCTAAAATGTCTTAGTCACAGGCGGGTTATGATAGCTTTCTCAGGAATTCCTTTTTCCTTTCATGTGTTCACTGAATTCTCCTTCTGGTTAAGGCGATGCCTCTTCACACAGGCCGTCGTGTAGCCAGGACCTGGAAGCGGGACTGTCTGAGGCTGTGCCTGGGAGCGGTGAGACGCTTCTTTTCTAAAGCGCTTTGACTGCGCCTGCTGGGAGGTGGGGCGGGTGTTGGTGGGTCCTTGGCTACATTGTTTCCAAATGCAGCTCCTCACCCCACCCCCGGGAATGGGGGCTGCCCACTGTCTGGCTTTGAGGGCCTTTCTCTTCCTTTGTCTCTCGGTGCACTTATATCCAGGGCTAGCACTAATTTAACACACCTGTGACTGCTCAGCCCACTTTATGAGATTTCATCTGGGGTAGATGGGCCCCACCTGGGAGTTTCTTAATTTCTCATGTTTAATTGCTAGGCTTTCCAGTTGCCACCAAACAAGACACCAGAACAGACGACCCAGAATGTTCCAACTTTGTGTGGCGTGAAGCTCAGGCTGGGCAAGCCGGGCCTTCGCTGGTCCTTGTTGGCGTCCCTCGCCACTGACAGCCCGGAGCTGGCCGTCTTACAGGGACCCTCAGCCCAGTGTCCAGCCTGTGGGTCATGCAGAGAGGCTGTCAGCTCTGTGGGGAGCTGGAGCCAGGTCCCCAGCCTCTGGCCTGGCAGGCAGTGGAGCAGGGCACTGAGTGGTGGCTGCCTGCACCTGGCATGATGGGGGGGGCGGTCTCATGTTCCCTCTGCCACCCCCAGTTCTGGTCTTAAGGCAGACCCTGTCTCTAGATGCCATGATTCTGCCCCAGCAAGAGATCAGACCCAAAGGGGCAAAGGTCGTGGAGGCGAGAAGACTGGGAAGGACCAGCCCCTGTGCCCTTGGGATTCTAGCAGAGGGCAGAAGTGGGTCGCTGCCTGCTGTGGTGGCCCTTCCCCCCAGGCCTTCGCTCCTGGAGGCTGCAGCCCCTGGAGGTTGACACTAGTTCAGTTTGGGGTTGAGAAGGGGAGGAGGGATGGGGACAGCAGGGCATGCCCAGAGCGCCAGCCCCAGGAACACAGAAACCCCAGCAGGAGGCTCCTCCCGAGCAGGCTTTTCTTTGCTTTTGAGTTAACTTCTTATTTCAGTGAGTTTTGAACTGCACTTTTGCCCTTGATTTTTAGCTTCCATGTCTCGCTCTGCCACGGCTGCCTGTCGGGCCCAGCTTTCACCAGCGGGGGACCCAGATACCTGGAAAACTGACCAACGGCCAACACCAGAGCCCTTCCCAGCGACCTCCAAAGAGCGGCCACGCTCTTTAGTGGACAGCAAGGCCTATGCGGATGCCAGGGTTTTGGTGGCCAAGTTTTTGGAACACTCACACTGTGCCCTCCCCACCGAGGCACAGCACATGGTGGGTGCCATGCGCTTGGCTGTCACCAACGAGGAGCGCCTCGAGGAGGAGGCCGTCTTCGGCGCTGACGTTCTGGACCAGGTATGAAGGAGCCACATTTCTGACCGTGGACACCAACGCCTGGCGCCACAGATGTTCTTGGCAGAAGCCATCATGCCTGACAAAGAGGCCTTCAGGCCCAGCTTGGCGGAGGATAAATGTGGGGGGGACACCCAGGATGATCTGGGGGCGGTGTGGGCAGGGAACTGTTACCCCCTCTCTCGAGGGGAGCCGAGCAGTGTCTCTTTGGGGATTGCATTTCCTGCCTAGCCCAGTAATTCGGAAAGATGACTTTCACGTCCACAGTGAACTCTCTGGTTTTATCTGGCGTGCAGCACCTTGAACTGAGCAGTGTTGCACAAATGTGAATACAGCAACAGGCGACACTTACGTCACCTAAAGACTCAAAGTATCTCCAAAATCAGGGCCTTCCAAAGCAGGAGTCTCCCATCCCCCATTTAACTTAGTGTTCAGTGGACAGAGGGTGACATCGAGTCATGAAACATTTTCTCATGTGGCTCGATGGCTCTATCATTAGGCGTTCATCACGCTCTGGCCTATTTCCTGTGAAAGGAAATAGGTAGTGTTAGCACAGATGGCAGCCTGGGCCCAACTTTCTGTCCACAGGGCTATTGTGCAAACAAATGTGCAGTGCGGGCCTCTGCCATAGCCCGGCCCCCCCCAGGGAACAGGCCGGTGTTGCGGGGGTTGGAGGAACCCACCATCTCCTGGGCCTTGAGCTCGGCCTCCCTCCGTGGGGTGCCTTCCCCCCCTCCTCTTGGGCCCCCTTTCTCCAGGCTCCCATCCTGTCCCTGGAGCAGTTGTGTGATCCGTAACAACAAGTGCCGATTCCCAGCTCCTTTGTGTCTGAGCTCACTTGATTGAGCTCAGCGGGTCACAGTTCTGCAGGAGAGAGGCCGGTTTCTCTGAGAAGTAGCCCCTCCTGATAAAGCAGGTCCCTTTGACCCAGAGCTGACCTTTCCCCGGGCATGCGGCAGCAGACACACCTGCGCAGGAGGATCATAAACCACTTACAAACCCACACGAGAAGGGAAGCAGACACCCAACGTGCTGCTTATGGAGAAGCAGACACGCCCAGCTTGGGGACAGCCTGGGGACCTTGGACTTTCTTAGCCCCCATCCCCTTGTTTTCTGGTGGCATCAGTGGCAGCTGCTCCCAACAATGGCCGTGGAACAGCGCCATCCACGAGAACTTTGTGCAGTGATGGAAATGCCTGTTCAGGGCCACTAGCAGCCACAGCCCCTGAGCTGCGTTGGGTGGGCCCTGCGGTGAACAAAACAGCCTAGAGGCCAAGGTCTCCCCAGAGAGCCCATGAGCCTGGCATGGGGGCGCAGGGGGACCAGAGGGTGTCTTCCACTCCTGGGTGCCAGGGCAGGGGGCTCACGCTGCTGTTCCCTCGGCTTTGTGGGGCTTGTCCTTGAGCTCCCCCAATTCCCTAATGCCACTGTGGCCAGTGTGCTGGGGAGCTTCTGTGTGGCTGGAAGCTGGGAAGGGGGTGAGGTTCCAATCCAGGTGCCCAGAGCCTTCCTCCAGTCCTTTATCCCTGCCCTGGGGGCTGCGGTGTGGGACTCCTTCAGCTGTGGTCGGCTGAAAAGGCTTCGATTGCTTTAGAGAGCTGAAAACACATAAGCCAGGCCTTTTGATGACAACCTGCACTTTTGCAGGAGAGACGTACTAGAGATGAATTTTTGAGCACTTTATTCAGACTATAAAACAGGAAATCTCTAATTTTCCTCAAGTGGGGGCTTTTGAATTCCCTCAAGGCAAGTCCCTTTGCAGGTGAAATTAATTGGTGGATTTTCAGAATGGCCGCCCTGGAGCCGAGCTTCAGCCACGCCTGACGCCCTGGCCTCTGAATCTCCACTGTCTCTGAGGTGCGCTGGGGCCACGCCGCAGGGGTTTCACCTGCTTGGGGGGGTCCACACTAGGGCTTGGGGGTTCACACAGCATTGTCCCTGGGCTGAGCCCTTGGGTGGGCTAGAGCTGCAGTCCTCAGACATGGCTGCAATTCCAGCGAGGCCAAGACCACCAGCCACCCAGTGGACTCGGTCTCTGGGGTGTTCTCCTCATGCAGCCGGGGCAGAGGCCTACTGGACCCCCTCAGCCTGCTGCTCAGCATCCTTCCCTTCTCTGCAGCAGGGCCCGGTCCCAATGGCCAATGGGGCTGCTGCCCCAGCAGTGCCTCCCTGTAGGCCCCTCACCTGCACCCCACCTTCACCCAGCTCTGGGTTTGCGCTGGTGGCAGCTCTGTTTTGTGGATACGGAAACTGTACCCAACTTGATGCCGCTGGGCTGGAACCTTCTGCCCCTTCGAAATGAGGCAGTCAGGGACGGGGTGGGGTGCCCCCATCAGCCCCGCTGCTCAGGGCCACTCATGGACTCTAGGAGGGTCCAGGTTCTGGGCTTCCTGGGAAGGTCCCCAGAAGAGAGAGGTGCTGGTAGACTAGGGAATGTGCTGGCAACTTGACCCAGAAGCTGTGGTCCCCTTGGCCCCGGCTCCACGGCATCCGGGTACCAGCAGCAAGAGCCCAGGCCCCGGGCTGCACGTCAGCTCACAGCCCAGGAGAAAGCTGGCTGCTTCCCCTCCCTATGCGTCTTTCCCCCGCTCCAATCATGTTCCATCTGGGATCTGAAATGGGCCAACTGTGGCTGCTTTGGGGGTGACACGCTCCTTCTCCAACTCAGCTGGGCCCCGGGCATCCCCTGCCCTCCCCTGAGACCCAAAGGGGGTTGGCACCTGCTGTGACACCACCGTTGACCCCAGCCTGGGGGCCACAAGGTTGCTGAGTGGGGAGAACATGGACCCCAACTCTATGGCAAGCAAGATCGCAGAAGGGGGAGCATCATCCGCAAGGACTTCAGGTCTCCCTTGGCTGGAGATGAGGATCCACATTAAATGCTTGTAACACACCAGGCCACAGAAAGCTCGCTACACACACATGCTTCTCCCCACCCATGCTGACTCTCAGAGGCTGCTAAGGCAGAATTTATAGGAAATTGTTTTCAAGCCACCAGAGACCTGTCTGTACAACTGGAAAGGCTGTATTTATTTAATGTACCTCAAGGTGTTTTAATAATGATCCGTGTTTTAATAAAAAGAAGTATTTCTGGCCTCTGTGTCTCTGAGGTCTAACTGGGACAGAGGCAGGCTGAGAGGCTGTGTACCCCAGTGGCCAGGGGCAGGGTCCTGAGAGGACCTTGCAGTAGCCAGCCGGGGAGCCTGGGATACCCATGCCACTCAGCTGTGCTTCCAGAAGCCTTCCGGAGAGGGTCAACTCCGGGGCAGAGTGGGGAGGGCCAGGGCCTGGACACACCCACGCCCGTCCACGCTGGCCATGGCAGCCCCTCCATGGACATGGCCTCCAAGGGCTGCTGGGAGGAATGCAGGCCATGGCTCAGATGTTTCCTTAAATACAGGTTTTTTAAAGATGTGTATGATTTGGTGGGAGTCCTGCCTGCATGTCCTCAGCTAGCCAGGGCTCTCTCCCCGGGACCTGCTTCCCCGCCTTGTCCTGGGCACGGCAGGAATGTCCCCCTTGGCCTCCTGAGTGGAATCCCGTTCCCTCCAGCTTTGACTCAGGCGACATTTCTCTTCATTCCCCAAGGATGTGGCCATCCCTGGCATTCTTGTTTGTTGGCCACGTCGAGAATTGTATTTGCTTTTCATTCTTTTTTTTTTTTTTTTTTTTTTTGCTAGAATTGTGAATTATTTTATTATTTTATTTTATTTTATTTATTTATTTATTTATTTTTAATTTTTTTTTTATTATACTCTAAGTTTTAGGGTACATGTGCACATTGTGCAGGTTAGTTACATATGTATACATGTGCCATGCTGGTGCGCTGCACCCACTAACGTGTCATCTAGCATTAGGTATATCTCCCAATGCTATCCCTCCCCCCTCCCCCGACCCCACCACAGTCCCCAGAGTGTGATATTCCCCTTCCTGTGTCCATGTGATCTCATTGTTCAATTCCCACCTATGAGTGAGAATATGCGGTGTTTGGTTTTTTGTTCTTGCGATAGTTTACTGAGAATGATGGTTTCCAATTTCATCCATGTCCCTACAAAGGACATGAACTCATCATTCTTAAGCATATTCATTCAGAGCGAGTGCATATACATTTCGGCATATACGCAGCTCTCTGTGACAGTCTCCTATGGAACAGCTTTCTTTGCCTCTACCATGTATACTTTCTGGGAAGAGGGAGGCACAAAGCTGGTGTGCGCCTTGAAAGGCCGTCTCTTTTATATGCCCCTGATGGCCAAGGTCATGCTGGAGCAAGCCCTTGGCCCACACCCTCTGGGCGGCTAGGTGAGAGTAAGTCTTCTCCTTACTCTGCAGTTCCCCAAGAATCCTGGGCCGTGAAGGTGGTCAGTGCCCACAGCAAGGAGCTCACGCTGCTGTGGGCAGGCCAGAGAGGAGGGCTCCTGCCCATCCAAGACCCACAGCCTAACCCAGCTGGACCCCAGGCCACCGCCTCTGAACAAAGCCCGTGCTTGCTACCTGGCTTTCCCACACCAGGTGACACCAGAACGGTGGCCATGAAGAAAGGTAAGTGCTGGCAGAGCTGCCAGAATTGTCACTCTAGACAGGCTGCAAAGGACCCACAGGTGCAGACAGGGTGCTGGGATGGGCGGTCCGGCTTTTACACACGCACACGCATGCACACCTTTCCCAGGGGCCATTTACGTTGAAATCTGAAGAAGCCCAAGGCTCCCTGGCTCCCTCATTCCATTAGTGAGTGCTCTGCGGACGTGTCTCCCTGCTGGGGCAAGTGGGTCAAGAACCTGGCGCTGACCCCGTGACCTGGTAGCATTGCTGGCACCTCCAGTTGCAGCGGGGCGTTGCCCAGCTGACACCTGGTGCCCAGAGCACCCACCCACCGAACTCATTAGTGACAGCTTCCAAGGTTCAGGATCCAGGAGGAGCACAGAGCAGCTGTGGCTGCCACCGCATAGTGAATTTGCAGAGCCGCATCCAAGCTGTGAATGAAAGGACAGGCGGGCACCCGCCGCTGAGGTAACAGACCAGTCACACACACGGCTTTTCATCACGACTTCAGGTTTATTAGTGATATGCGCGAAGTCTTCCTACGGGTAGCTGCATGCAACACACGGCACTCCTCGAATACAGTCATCCTAAAGCTTTAGTTACTGCGTGGTAAGGCTTCTTAAGTCACAGTGTATTCTTCAAGGCCTGGGCCAAAAAAAGAGACTTCGAGACAAGATGACGTCAGATTACATGGATCGCTAATGAACCGAGCTGGACTAGATCCGACTTGATCTACACACATGCCACTACTGCTCAGGGCCACTGCGCCACGCTGGCCAAGGGGTCTGCACTCACGGCTGGCTGCTTTAGGTGCGGCCAAGGTCGCGTTTTCTAGAGTGGGTTTCGTTTCCTCGGGGTCGCATGTGCGTGGATGTGTGTAGATCGATTTTAAAGAGGGGGCAGACACCTGTGCCCTCCTTGTCTCTGTGGGAGCCCTGCCCGGGTATGCAGCCGGGTGGGAGGGTGCCCAGAAGAGACGACGGGAGAGGCAGGTGTGGTCATTAGTCACATTGGAAAACCCTAGAGTCTGGAAAAAAGCCTGCCAAAATAAAAGTCCAAACAGTAATAATAGCATCTAAATAAATATGGAGTTTTCATGTTGTGGCCATCATCCTTTATTTACAATCAATCAATCAATCACATGTCCCCAAACTTTCATTACAAGTCGTGTCCTGGGAGCCAGGCTGCCCGTGTCCCTGCAGTCAGTGGCAGAGGCAGCTGTTTGGGACCATTGTGGGGGCCCCACAGGACCCCAGACGTCCCAGCCAAGGGGGCGGGAGGCAGGGGTGACGGCTGCCCTGCCCCGGGAGCCGCGTCCCTCGGAGGCGCCAGTTCGCTCCGCACAGCTTCAGGGAGGAAAGACACACACTCCACACCACGCACAGCTACCGAGACACACCCTGGCTTGTGCAGGGAGAAGACAGTCCAGAACGTGGCAAAATACTTGGAACGCTTTACAAACAAACATTTGTTCTGTGACTCTCCTTTGATAAAGACATACCCCTTTTTGGCAAAATGAAAAAAATCAAGTGGGTGGTGAGGGCACACCCTTTGGGGAGCCAGCGTCCGTGGCTGGGCTGTGGCGTCGGGGTCAAGTCTGCGGCCCGGCTCCCAGCTCCTCTGGGCCCGGGCGGCCCTGCCCGGTGTCCTGGCTGCGTGGCCAGGCTGGGGTGGCCTAGATGTACAGCGGGGTCTCCTGACCCGTGAGGAGCCTGAACATGGCGGCGGGCATGGTCTTCATGTGGATCTGCGGACAGAAACAGGAGGCTGAGCCGCTGCCCTCCCACCTCCCCTCCCACAATCAGGTGAAAGCAAAGGACAGAGGCAAACCCCCCAGAGTTCTGCTTCAAATGCCCATCTCCTAGAGTGAAGGAGGAAGGCCAGCCTGCCCAGGCCTGGGGACACTTATGATGCCTTCCAGATGCAGCAGACTGAGACTCCAGGTCCCCACCCCTGGCTCCAGAGGAGTCAATACAGTTGAGTGCTAGTTTTGCTTCCAGTCCAGCTGACACCCGAGGGGTGAGAAATTGGACTTCTAGTGGTGACAACAGTTTGCCCATCCACTGGGGCTGGCTGGGGGTGGCCAGGCCTCGGCAGAAACTGCGAGGGATGCACTCTGCTTCACTGAGGAGGAGCTCAATGGGGGAAGACACACGCACCCCTTCTTTTTTTTTTTTTTTTGAGACGGAGTCTTGCTCTGTCGCCCAGGCTGGAGTGCAGTGGTGCAATCTCGGCTCACTGCAAGCTCTGCCCCCCGGGTTCATGTCATTCTCCTGCCTCAGCCTCCTCAGTAGCTGGGATTACAGGTGCCCGCCACCACACCCAGCGAATTTTTTTGTATTTTTTAGCAGAGACGGGGTTTCACCGTGTTAGCCAGGATGGTCTCAATCTCCCGACCTCGTGATACGCCCGCCTCGGCCTCCCAAAGTGCTGGGATTACAGGCCTGAGCCACCGCGCCCGGCCTACACCCCTTCTTACAAAACACACACGGGCCAGGAAAGTGTGCTGGGGGCTGGGAACAGGCTCGCTGGGGCCCAGGGCACCTCAAGTTCTTAGCCTTTGGGGATCGGTGAGCAAATGACCCTTTGGGGCCTGGCCTCGAGCCCTGACTCCAAAGGAGCTGGGTATACAAGCAAGGCCTCAGACCGCCCCAGGGAGACCAACCGTGTGGGTGGCGCGCCTTGTAATCCTTCTTTGCGGACACTGGGAAGGAGCAGACTCTAAACGTCTGCTTCAAGAACGGAAAGGGAGCTCTACTGCCCACTTCTCCTCTCCTGAGCACGACGCTCTCCCCTGTCCTGCCCGGGACTGTGCTAGGCTGCGGCCTCCGGATGGGGGGCCCTCGCACTGCCAGGGTCAGCTGCCGCAGGCATGCTGGCCTCCCCACGGGGTGCAGCCGCCGTGCATCTGCCCCTCCTCAGGCAAGCAGGTCTCGGGCCCTGGGCTGAGCAGCCCAGAAAGGCACATCGCGCAGCTCTGCTTCTGAGCGTTGCCCTCCCTCCCCCGCCGGGATCTGTGTGGCCGATGTAGGTTTCCGCTGCTCCTGCTCCCGGCAGGGGCTTCCTCCATCAGCCATTCCCCGGCGTTCCTCAACCAGAAACCCACCCCGAGGCCCCTCGCAACTGCAAGCCTTGTTTATCAGCGACTCATGTTCCGCGTGGGCTCAGAGCTGCTGGAAACAGGCACCATAACCTCGGCAGGGCTGAAAGGATTCCAACGCCCCGGCCGCCTCCTGCCTCTTCCCCGTTCTCCCGCCCGCTCCTCCACGGGTGGATTTCCTCACAGGTGTGGGGCTGCTGGCCGTGGGGGCGGCCGCTTCAAAGCATCTACTTGGGAACACTGGCTTTTCCTTTCTTTGAAGCCATCAAAGGGAGGCTGGTGTCCGCCTGGCCCCTCCTCCTCCTGAGCCAGACCCCTGCCCCCACCAGTCCAGGGAAAACAGGCCTCCCAGCTCCCAGCCGACCCTGCAGTGCACAAAATACCAGTGTCCCGATGTGGCTCCTGGAGACCTCATCCGAAGAACAGGAACTAGAGACCCCTCCACCCACCCGCCCACCCACAGGCTGCAAGGATGGTCGCCACGCACTCAGCCTCACAGAGCCACCAGGGGGAGCACCACAGACGGCCCGGCCTGCTGCTGCTGTCCCCAGACCCAAATTCCCTGCCCGGTCCCCAGCGGGCCCCTCTGTAGGCCGGGCTCCTCAGCTCTCAGCCTCCCGCCTCGTGCGGCCACCACGCTTCCCAGAGAGCCTGCAGCCCCTTTGTGCTGAACACCCCTTCACACACCCCTACACACACACAGACACACCCACTCACACTCTCCTCACACCCCATGCCTCACACCCACTCACAGACCCACAGCCACAGCCGTGCACACATACACACTCATGCTTGACACCCCATGCTCACACACACCCACAGCCACACACCCCTGCACACACCCACACTCGCACTCCTACACACCCCATGCTCTCACACACACACGTACATCCGCATACACTCACCCACACACACACACTCCTCCACACGCACACTCAGGTACATTCACACAGCCACACACCCACACCCATCCACTCATGCACCCCTATACACCCACGTGCACGCACACACTCATTTCCCACACCTACCCACACTTACCCACACTCATACATCACATCCCACACACACCCATGCTCTCACACATCCACATGCACACACCCACACTCGCTCACACTACACACACACACACACGCACACCCGCTGCGCACTGGCCAGGCCTCCCCCGGTGTATGTGCCACCTCCCCAGCACCATCCCCCCTCCCAATGATCCTGCCTCCTTGTGAGCTCTGGAGGAAAACCTGCACCTCCCCCACACCATCCTCACACTGCCGTGGAAGCGATGCCAGAAAGAACTGGACTGTGGGGGGTTCAGCCAGTGAAGTGGGACAGGGCAAGCAGCCTGGCTGTGGGAGGGGATGGCCAGCAAGGGCAGAGAGGCAAGCCTGCCAGGGTGGCCAGAGCTGTGTGCCCTGCAGAGCTTCTGAACTGGACATACAGGTCCAGTCCCAAAAGTAGTGTCCAGGGAGCACCCCCAGCAGCCTGTGCCCTCCCGGTTGCTCAGTTAGAGCCAGACCGGGATGGCTCCGCATCACCTGCCGCTCCATTCACCCTTGTCACAGCAGCCCCGATGGGAGACACAGCCTGGCTGACCTTCAGATGCCCTGTGTCCTCTGGAGCGGGGGAGGCTCATGGAGGGCAGGCGGGAGCACGTGGGAACCGGCATGCAGAGGCACACTCAAAGTCCCTCCTTACCTCTCCGACCGAGTTGGACAGAGCTTGGACTATCTTCTCGTGGGCTGTGGCCACCACGCTCTGCCCGTTGATCTCGATGATGCGGTGGCCCACACGGACGCCCCCTCGCTCAGCAATGCCCCCTCTCATGAGGCTGCAGATCTAAGCAGACATGGCCAGGTCAGCACACGTGTTCCCGCCACACCCGACAGGCGCTCCACCACGTCCCCAAAGATGGGACATGCAGAGGGAAAAGCGCCACATGATGAATACGTGCACGTGCAATTCGCTGACTCACAGACAGAGATCCTTATGATATGCAGTATGTTTCTTTAAAACAAGAGAGTTAATGCCATGGTGTGTGGGGAACCACCAAGTTTTCTGACTCCCACGGTGGAACCTGTCCCCCAGCTGCACCTCCCCCAGGGCCGCTCCCTTTGTGGTCAGGCTAGAGACTGGTGACACAGCCCAAGGCCACTGCCACCTGGCCTCCTACGGCACAGCCTGGTTACCATCCTGGAAGACAGGCACTTAGCTGATGGGCGGGCGGGAAAGGAGAGGCAGCCTGTCCCCTGGCCACCAGAAAGGTGGGGCATCTGTTCTGTCAAGGGAAGGCTCTGTTTGCCGGATGCCCAAATGGTCTACATCGACAGGGAAGAGTCACTTTATTCCTACATCCCCCCCCCGCCAAGTGACGTAAGGGCATTTTGTGCCAAATATACTGGTTCTGGTTTTGTTGGAGACAGGGTCTCATTCTGTCACCCAGGCTGGAGTGCAGCGGTGGGGGCTTCCATTCCAGCCTAAAAGTGACGCCAAACAGATGGACAGGAGGGCCTGGGAGCGCCTGTGACCACGAGACTGGACAGAATGGAAAACAGGCGCCGTGCACACCCGTGTTCACAGCAGCAGTGTTCACAACAGCCGAGGGTGACAGCACGGACTAGCGGAGAAACAGAATGTGCTCTAGGCCTGCAGGGAAACAGTACTCAGCCCTGGAGAGGAGGGAGAGTCTGAAGTGTGCTACAACACGGACAGACCTCGGGGACACTATGCTGCATGAAACAGGCCAGGCACACGAACAAACACTGTGTGATGCCACTGATATGAGGTACCTGGGGTAGTCAGAATCACAGAGACAAAGTAGAAGTGGGGGGCCGCCAGGGGCTGGGAAGGAGAAATGGGCGGTGGTGCTTAGTGGGGACAAAGTTCCTGTTGGGGAGGAGGAAGACGTGCAGGAGAGCGCAGTGGCCATGGCTGCCTGACATGCAGATGGACTGACTGCCACAGAACTCTGCACTTCAAAATGGCTATGATGCTCGATTTTAAGTTACAGATATATTTTACCACAGTTATTTTTTAAATGAAAACAAAAACCGGAAAAATGGATGTCCAAGGAGAATTAGGACTAGAAGAGAAGGGGGTGGAGAGAGGCAGATTCCATACCGCAAGGCAGCTCCTTCGCCACCCCAGGGCCCTCTTATCCTGGAGAAAGGAGACTGTGCTGAGCCCTGGGAGGAGGCGAGTGGCCTGGGATGGGAGAAGCACAGACTCACCTGTCCCAAACACACATGCGTGTACACACACATGCAGACACAGACAACTGTGAGGGGGCCTCCCCGTCTCCTACACACCAGCACCCAGATTTCTGCAGCTGGCCCATATCTCATCTGACTGCTCGCTCTGGGTGCTAAGCATTGCCACCTGCCACAGGGAATGTTTCTGTGGTCATCAGGGAGAACCGCTGCAGGTCGGGACAGGAGCTGATAGACTCCTAGCCAGGCATCCTCCAGCGCCTGCATATGCTCCCCAGGTGGCCAGGCACATGGAGGCTGAGGGGAACCCCAGTCCCTGCCCACCAGCTCCCGGGATACAAGGTGCCGAGTGGCTGCCCCAGGCCAGCTGGAGCTAGGACTTCAGGCGAAGGGCCTGGCAAGGACGGGAGGACACAGGTGAGAGCTTCACTGGGCATGGTGGGGATGGGGGTGCCCAGAGAGGTGACACCAAGGGAAGCGCCCCACTGCTGCAGGGCCGGGGACAGCAGGAGCCCGGGGTTCCAGGCTCCTGAAAGTAGAGGCCAGGGCCCTTGGGACTGCGGGTCCTATCCTGAGCACGCTGTGAGGGACGAGGGGCTTGGACCAGAGTAGCCAGCACCCTCGGGTCTCCTGAATGTTATCCCAGGCTCATTGCTCCCTGGAGGTCCCGGCTGGGCAGTGGAGCCCCAGTGCACCTCAGCCAGGCAGATGCCTGGACATGGCCCTGGGGTGGATGAGCCCTGGCCTGCAGGGGCACAAGTGGCAGCCACTGTGACAGCCTCTGTGTCTAGGTGCACAGAGGGCCAAATGGGGACAGCCAGACCCCTACCCTCAACCCCCACCATGACCACGGGCACTCATGGAGCAGGTGCAGAGGGTGTGGTCCGCACCTGGGGGCCTGAAGGGCCCGGTGTTTACCGCCAGGCAGCCGAGCCACTCAGAGATGGTGACTGATCCATATGGCCGCCTGCATGCCATTTTCTGGATCACTGGGGAGATGGATCATAACCATGCCTATTCATTTGCTTCATCTAACCCTCCCTGGCACTCTCAGGGTGAGCTGTCCTGTATCCTGGAGAAAGCCCCTGACAGCCAGCATTTGCCCCTCTCCTCGGCTGCCAGCATCTCCCCTGCATCCTGAGCACTGAGGCCTCAAGGAAGTGGGACCCCATTTCACAGACAGGGAGGCAGAGCCAGAGGGTGGAACAACAGCGCATCCACAAGCAGGGCTGGGACCTCCAGACCCTCCTCGTCCCCAGTCGTGACCCAGACCACCCCCCAAGTTTCACAGACGCTTGGCCCCCTCCATCACTCCGGAACTCAGACCCTAGACCCAGGGCAGAGACACCGAGCCGTGGGTGGCACCCTCTCTTTCGTATTGCCACCCCGGAGATGTTGTCTTCAGAATTGCACATGACTCCTTCCTCACTGCAGGCCCCGCAAGTCTGCTGCTGCCCTCAACCCTGCACCCCCTGATCTTCTGAGAAACCCCCTTCCGCACCACCACCCTCAGCTTCCTGGCCACTCGGACCCACCTTGCCCCATCTTTGGGAGCTACTCCAGACCCCTCTGCACCTGCCCCAGAAGGCAGCTGGAGCGAGCCCTGGTCCCCGTCTGCTGCCCTCCGCCTTGACTTCACACCTGCCCATTGCACTCTCCAGCTCTCTGGGAAGAAAGGCACAGAACCCTGCACCTGGGCTTGGCTGGGCTGCTCCAGGCTGTCCCCTCCTTTCCCATTCATGTTAGCCCCCACAAAACACAAACCGGAGTCCTTCCCTTCCTCATCTCTTCTCCCCCTCTCCCCACCAGTGCTCCACATGGCTGTGTGACCTGGGGCAAGTCACTAAACCTCTGTGTGCCCCAGCTTCTCCAGTTCCTGTGCTCCTCATGGGGTTATAGTTTGGGGAAGACCAGCAGACTGAGGGGGCATCAAACTCATCCCGGGCAGGGCTATATTCACAGGCCCTACGAGTAGGTAGCCCCCAGGCCACCCCATGGTGGGGAAAGCCAGCCTCTCCTGCAGGGCTCACAGCGACAGGGCTGTCAGTGAGCAGCACTGGCCACCAACCCAGGCCCACCTGCCTCCTAGGCTGGGCAAGGGGGTGCAGGAACAGGACAAGCAGCTCCCCAGTGCCACTCAGGAGGCAAAGGCAGTGTGGTCACCAGGTTTAGCCAGGCAGGGGCAGCCCAGGGGACACCATACAGCACCCCAGGCTCTGCACAGCACGGCTCCTCATGAGGGCTGCAGGGCTGTCAGTCCCCAGCTTCCTCCACTGTCCCCAGTGCTGGGGTGGGAGGCACACAGGCAGGGCCTGGTGATGGTCGGGGGTGCAGTAGCCCAGAAGGATGTCCCAGCCCTCCTCCCTGGGGCCCAGCCATGCCCATCCACAAAGTGCGCACAGCAGCTGCAGACAGGGCTCCAGCTGATTTTCTGCAGAGCCCCCAAATTAGCTGGGGCAACTGCTTGTGCCCAGGTCACATGTGTGCAGAGCAGTCAGGCAGAGCCGGACCAGGCCAGACCACCAGCTGGCGAGCTCCTGCGGCAGGCGCACTGTCCTGAAGTCCCAAGTGGGGTGCAGACAACTCGTCCTGGCACCTGTGCCAGGTCCAGGGGCCACGGGGCCTCCTCCTTGGCAGAGACGAGGACCAGCGGGCCCACCTTGGATAGCTTGGGGTACTTTATGGATTTTCTCAGCTGATCTTCACAAGCACCTTTTGAGGGGAATCCAGTGAGCGTTCAGTGACTTGTTGAGGGTCACACAGCAGGGAAGGTATGGCTGACGCTGGCGATGCCCCTGTCCCTCTTCGTTCTGGGCACCAGCTGGCCCCCACTTCCCAGCCTCCCCATGGGTCCGTGGCTGAGCTATCTGGCCAGTGGGCTGTGGGCAGAAATGACAAGGGCCACTTCTGCCCTGGCCCTGAAAACCTTCACAAGGTCTTCTGAGCTGCCTCTCTTCCTGCAGTGCCAGCGAGACACAGAGCACCCAGTGGGGGCTGCCAAAGCCCAGCTGAGGGCAGAGCCTGGGCCCCTGAGTGGCTTTGTGGAGTGAAGCTCACCCCCACCGCCCCCACTGCAAATTAAACTGCAGCATGAATAAGCAATAAGCTCTCAGTATATGGAGATTTGCAGACTCTTTTTTATAGCAGCAAATTTGCTCTGACACAGCAGGGTCAGAGATGGACCCTAAACCCAAGCCCTGGGACTCCACCCTGACGGTGGGTGTAACCCTCCATGCTGCTTCACCAGAAAACAATGGAGAAGATTTGGTAGTCCTTCTAGAATGTTCTCCCACTGTCTTTCCTGACTGTGGGTGGGCACACACCCTCCCCATCACCTCCACAAAACTCCCACTCCAGCCCGCAGTGTCTCTCCTCCTGGGCTCCTTCATACTCAGGGCTGGTTTAAACAATTTGGGTATTGCCAGCCCTTTTCTTCTTTACTCCACTTAGTGGCCACATCTCTGCCCTCTGGGTCTTTTGCAGGAGGAAAAACAAAGGAAAAAAGAATTCAGGCCAGTCAAATGCAGGTCAGTGAGAGGGTGGAAACTCTGGGCTAAAGAACTCTGGCCTGGGGAACTGGTACAGGTTTTTGGCCAGAACCACACTCACTCAAGCCCAGCATCACCTCCTCCAGGCAGCACTCCTGCCTTCCCATTGCCTGGTACAAAGCCTAACACAGAGCAGGTACTTCACAAATGTCTGCTGAATGGCTGAGTGAACAAGCGAATGATGAGTACATGAATGAATGAATGAGTGAACGTCTGTTTGTTGAGCACAGTAAGTGATGCCACAATTGGTTGTGTCCAAGCTACAGTGGCTGGTGAAGTCTGCTGCCCTCCCTCCAAAGCAGGGGACAACCACCATGGGGACAAGGGAGCCTGGGAAAGGCTGGAGGGGCCCAATCCACGGCCATGCCCTGGCCCTCCCCTTCTAGCCAGGACCTCCCAGAGAGCCATGGAAAGTTCCTGCCCCAGGTGGCCTGGCTGTGGGCAGCTGCAACCACAGGCCAGGTCCTACCAGGCTGCCAGACATAGCCTGCCCCATTGGACGGGAGCTGCTCCCCCTCCCTGGGCCCTGCAGTGGTGGTGGTGGCCCAGAGCAGGAGGGGGAACTCACAATTCCATTCTGCACGCTGAAGCCCAGCTGGTACTTGAGGTCTGGCCGCTTGATAAGGACCGTGGTGACCGGGGGACAGCTGACAATGTTGAGCTTCACCTGTGTCTGGTTCTTCAGGCCCTGCAGAGCACGGGGACAGGAGTCACAGGCTGGGCCTTAGACATCAAGCCTGACCCAGGATGAGCGAGGCTGGCAGGGTGGTGGAGGCCGGGGGCAGTGAGAACACACAATGGGAGAGGCAGGCAGTCCCCTCTCAGCCTCGGTAGCCCCTCTGTGCAGCGGGGACAAGCCTCGCCCTGGCCCTTACCAGAGCTACCAGGTTTCCAGGGCAGCACTGCGCCCTCTGTCCCACCATGCGCAGGGTGCCTCTGCCCTGGGGAAGATTAGCCACTGCAGGAGCGAGCCCAGGTTCTGAGTGCCACTGGGCAGAACCAACGCACCTGGCACCAGGTCACCCTCAGGGTGTCGAGGGGGCCATCATCATGCCGAATTCGGGACAGCTTCCTACGGAAGGATGTGGAGACACCTTCCTCAAAACCCAATGCCCTCCAAGGACGGACCTCCTGCAGGGCAGGGAGTGACCACACAGCAAATCTCTGTGAGTGAGGACGCAATTGTCAGCGGGTGCGCCAGGCCGCCGGGGTCCGGTGGGGGTGAGGAGGCACAGGGAGGAACCCAAGCCTCCACCTGGGAGCTGCAGCCCTGGGAGGGGGGGCCTCAACTGCTGAGCCCTCTGGTGCCACTGGTGGAGGCCTCTCCCATGTCTCTCTGTGTGGCTGCCCATCGGGCAGACGCTCTGCCGGGCCAGCTCCGAGAGCCAGTCTATGGGATGCTCTGGCCTGGGGAATGCCCTTCATCTCTCATGCCGAACAAAGAGGAGGAAGGCGCTTCCTCCAGCACCAAGACCACAGCAGGGTGGGGAGGAACATGCCACAGAGGGCTGGGGGCCAGGCCACAGCTGGGTCACAAGAGCCGCCAGCAGCAGGCAGAACCCATTCCTTCGCAGGCGGCCAGTGTGAAGGCCCCCACCCTAGCTGCCGGTGACCCTTCTGCCTGACCCCTCACAGCGACAGGCAGCACCTCCCAAAGCTGCAAGCTCACGAGTCTGACGGTCAGGGTGGCCTCCTTACTTAAGGGAACCTGCGTCCCAGAACCCAACCCATGCAGGGTGCCCCACCTCCCCAGCCCACCAGCACTGAGGGGGTTTCCCAGAAGCCGGACTTTCAGTGCTAACCTGGCAAAGTCCCAGGCAAAGCAGGATAAGCTGGTCACCCTATACTCACTGGTTCTTGGGCCCTTGCCCAGGGCCACATGGCTCGGTACAGGGCTCAGACAACCCCTCCCTTCCCACCCCAGGCCAGCCCGGGTCCACCTCTGATTCAGACATGGGGAATGGTCTTGAGTTCAAATTCTGATACCATCATCGACCAGTCACCGGGTGGGTCTCCCTGGGCCTCAGTTTCCCCATGGGTGAAGTGGGGATTGCAGTGAAGTGGGGATTGCAGCAAAGTGGGGATGAAGTGAGGCAGGGTTGAGGTGACCCCTGGGCGGAGGATCCCAGGGTGCCTACCTTGATGATGCCTTGGCAGGTGGCGAGGGGCAGCCCCACCAGGCTGGTGCCATTGATGGACATGATCTGGTCCCCGATGCTCAGCTTCCCCGAGCGGGCAGCCGGGCCGCCATTCATCATGTTGGCCAGGATCACCGTGGGCAGGATGGAGCCCCAGCCCGACTCCACCACCACCACGCCCAGGATCTCGCCCTTGTGCTTCTCCAGCTGCAGCTGCAAAGGGATCAGCAGTGTGAGAGGGGCTGGCGGCAAGGACCGAGGCCTCTGCCAAGGACCCACAGGAGGATGAGGCTGACCCTGTCCTGGCACATCCCGCCCTGCCCTGGGATCCAAGGCTGGCTCATCTCAGCCAGGAGAGGTCTTGGGCTGGGAGCCCTGCCCACCCACCCCCAGCCTCACCCCAGTCTGGCTCCCACACCTTCCTGGGGTCCACCCAGCAATCCTGGGAACCTGGAAGCACAGACCCCCTATCCCCACCCGTGCCTGGCATTGACCCCAACCCCACCCGTGCCCAACACTGACCTTCCCACCCCAAGCAGGGCTCCAGTGTCCTGGTTCCTGCTCCTTCCACACCCACAGAGGCCAGAGGAATGTTCTCAGGCTCCCATACCCATATCCTGCCCCCGGCCTTCACTCTTGTTGGAAAAGTCCTTCTACTTTTATTTCCTCTCAAAGGTCACTGTCTCAGAAACTGCCTGGAATGTCTTCAGCAAGAAACCAGGATCATGCATTCACCCATTCAACAAGCAGCAGAGACCATCCACTCATCCACAGCAGACACAATCATTCAGCCATTTAACAAACAGTCCAGGTATGGGCCATCCCCAGGGAATTTGCTCCTCTGCCCATAAGAACTTTCCAAAGTCCCCTGGGGGAAGCCACTGGGACCAGCTAAGGCCTCTGCTACTGGTGGCTTCCAGCCTCCTCTGCCAGAGCCCCCAGGCTCCCTTTAGAGATGCCACATGCTTTTCAGAAATATCTCCTGGGTGCTGAGTGCTGGTTGATGATAATAGCAGCATTAAAAGGCGCATTTTCGAGGTCATTAAAGCTGACTGTAATCAGCTTCTTTGTTACAAACACCTCATTTCACACCCAAGTGCTCAGCTGGAAGGCAGGAGCGAGGTGCACATTCCGGGCCCCACTGGAGTCTGATAGGAAGGCAAGGGTGTGCGTGAGGACCCCGGGAAGGCTCGCTCTGCAGGAGCTCAGGGAGCAGAAGCTGGCAAATGTGGCCTCCCTGAGGCTGGTGGGTGTGGCTTACCTCCTTGCAGTTCTCCGAGTTTGAGAAGTGGATGAGGTCGTCGTTGTACATCTCCTGGGTGTTGATGATGTCGCTGTATTCCTTCTGGCTCAAGTCTTCGGGGTTGATGCCATTGGCTCGCAGGAACTCCTGGTAGGCCACGCTGAAGGCCTGGCCGATAGACTGGGCGATGAGCTGGGCCTGTGCAGAGGGCAGGCCAGCTGGAGACAGGCACGTGGCACAGGCTCCCCGCAGCCTCCTCAGCAGGGGGCTGCGGCAGGGCTGGGTGCAGGATGCACCCATAAGCCTTCAAGGGAGCCCTTGCTCGGGCTTAGAAGAACAAGAAAGAAACTGGGGGCCCTCCCTCATCTGATGAAGGCTGTCTCCCACCAGCACTCCACCGTGAGCGAACCCCAGTGTTGCCCTGAACCCCAAAGGGTCTACTCCTGACTGTCCCTGCCTAAGCTGTGGCACGGCCCAGATGCTCCAGGTCAAAGCTGTTTCAAAGAAAGTCTGGGACAACAATGAATTATTTACTACATGTCATATTTTTGTTGCTTTTTTTTTCTTTCGAGATGAGGTCTGGCTCTGTTGCCCAGACTGGAGTGGGAATGTAGGTGAGCACAACCACATCCAGCTAATTAAAAAAAGTTTTCTTGTAGAGATAGGGGTCTTGCCATATTGCCCAGGCTGGTCTCAAACTCCTGGACATAAGTGATCCTCCTGCCTTGGCCTCCCAAACTGTTGGCATTGCAGGTGTGAGCCACTGCACCTGACCCCATCTGTATTTCCTTTCCACTCATCTGATGCCGAAAATGGACTTTCAGTGTGTTTTCCGGGAGCATCGTGCTGCTAGTTGTCTACCCCGCATGTATTTATCGGTAGCAACAGAACCCAGTGCCCACTGGAGGCAGAGGGTGTGCCTGGCTGCTCTTCTAGGGATGTGTGGCTGTGCCAGGCCAGGCCTGCAAGACATGAGACCTGGGACTCCACACAGGCCCCATGAAGCACGTCACTTCTTTCTACTTCCGCTGAGCTGCTTCAGTGGACATCACCGACTCTGACATGGCAAAGGCCTGGACACTGAAACAGCACTCAGGGCCTGGCCGGCCGCCTGCTGGTGCGCAGACAGGAGACAGTGGGAGGTGAGGGCTGTACTGAGCTCCCGGAGCTCGCCAAGCAGGCTGGCAGCTGTGCAGCCCTGGGAGCGCGGCGGGGCTCTTGGCGGCCTTGGTGACGCCTCAGCCCACAGCGGGGCCTCCCGCCAGGCTCTGGGCTGTGTGAGCCCTCCTTATGCGCTGTCCTGCTCCTCACGTGCCTCCCCAACTGCCCTCAAGGGGGTCCTGCACGGGCGCCCCCAGCAAACTCCTACTCAACAGGATCCCAAAACAGGTGAAAACAAGGGCTTTGGCCTCAATTCCCTTCCCACTCTCCACGTGGCAGGATGTAAGAGCAGCAGATGAATGTATGCATTGGGAAAGACAAGCTGGGCCGGATTAGAAGCGCGCAGCAGGCGGCCTGCCCTCCAGCAGGCGTGGAACTGCCCTCCCTGACGGGCCCTAAGCCGTTTCCAGGACTTGCCGGTTCCCACGCCCAGCATCTCTGCCGCGCGCACAGACCCAGCTGGAGGCGCGACGCCCGGGGACCGCCAGATGGCGCCGCCGGGCTGGCCTGCGGAGTTGGCGAGCTGATGGGGCTCGGCAGGAGGGCCGGGGGCAGCGCCCGCGCAGGAGAGGGTCGGGCCTTTGGGAAGAGCGGAGGGCGGCCCCCAGGCCTCTGCTTCTGTCTCCGCCTGACGAGGCCACCTGGCTGGGAAGGACGGCCTGAGAGCCCTGGAGCCCCGGAGGCCCGGCTCCACCACCCACGGCCCTCGGACTCCACTTGGGCTCCCTCGGGCCACCGCCATTCTTCCTCCCCTTGGACGACATCCTCCGCCCCCGCGGAAGCTCCAAGCCCGGGGAGCCGGCTCCGCGGGGCTGCGCCTCCTTCCGGTGTCATCTGGGCCGCTGGTGTGCCGCCAGCCGCCGCCTCCCCGTCACTCCACGCCGGGTACCGGCTGCCTCCTGGGAGGTGTGGGGTTCAGGGGGCTCTCTCTGCGGCTGGCGCTTCAGAGAAGGGGTCGCCCTGCCGGCCCCAACTCGCAGCCAAGCCTGTGGGCGTTCACTGCTGTGAGTCCAGGAGCCCAGCCCAGGCCCCACCTCAGGGCTCAAGCGGCCTCCTGCAAGTGGGCTGTGGGCAGAGCCTGCAGGCGCTGGAGAGGTGGGGAAGAGGAGGCTGCTGTTGCTGGCAGGACCACCCTGCGGCCTCATCTACCCAATACGGCATACCCTGGCTTTAACCCTCCGCATCGGCTGCACCTGGGGGCTCTCAGTGCCCCTTGGAAACTCTCACCAGCTGACTGCCACCCTTCGCCACCGGGCCTGCTCCTGGCCTCATTCCGCCAGTACCTGTGGCCCATCCCCAAGCCAGGTCTCTCACACATCCTCGGCCCTCAGTCACACAGAAATACCCATCCAGGTTTCGAAGGGTCTCCGTGTAGCGGTGGAAGGAATGTGTGAGTGCGCTGTTGAAATGCTCTCTCCCTCCTGTAAATCTGCCATTGCGCCGAAGCACTTCAAGTGGACCCAAGTTCTTAGGAAGAAGATGACTGCGCCAGCCAAAGGTTTGAACCCTGTCTTCAGTTTCCATGCTGTATGTCAGGATCATGACAATATGGGGACCCTTCCCTATTGCCCAGGTCCCTGAGACAGCCTCAAGTCCTTATGTGAAAAAGAACGCCCTGGCCAACTGCCCCTGAAGGATAGATTTTTTTTTTTTTTTGAGACGGAGTTTCACTCTTGTCACCCAGGCTGGAGTGCAATGGCACGATCTCAGCTCACTGCAATCTCCGCCTCCCAGGTTCAAGCAATTCTCCTGCCTCAGCCTCCCACGTAGCTGGGATTACAGGCACGCACCACCAAGCTTGGCTAATTTTTTTGTATCTTTAGTAGAGACTAGGGTTTCGCAATGTTGGCCAGGCTGGTTTTGAACTCCTGACCTCAGGTGATCCACGCACCTCAGCCTCCCAAAAGTGTTGGGATTACAGGCATGAACTACCGTGCCCAGCCATAGATCATATTTTAAAATTTCACTCTGGCAACAGCCACAAAACTGGCTCACCAGCAGCGCCCCCTGCTGGTCTGTGAGTAAGATCAGCCTCCAGGAAGGACAGTTCCTCTCTGAGCTCCCCTCTTGGCCCTGCTGCTCCTTCCTCAGCCCCTCTGTCCCCCTCCAGGCTAAAAACAACACTCTTCTCCAGCCAAGGAGGGAGCCAAAGGGCTTGTGATCTTTTCCTGAGTCTTTGGTATCTTATACTTCAGAATCACTTTTTACTTCCTCTGAAGACCACACGCAAAGGCAGAACTAAGCCTCATGTGCAGATGTGCTTTCTTTATACAGCATGCCAGGGCCATGCGAAAATTTGCATTTTAATAACAAAAGTTATGCAAAGATTAACTTCATTTTTAGTAGAGAAAATGTTTTGTAAAGGGATTTCTTCAAATAGCTCCCTCATATATTTAACCACAACTCAATTTATAAACAGCTCCTGAAGAACCTATTTCAAGAAGTAGAATAAAACTGTATTCACTATCTTTGCAAACCCAAAGAGTATGCAAAAGATCACTGATCCACTGGAAACATCAGTAACAGCATGGAGGCTTTCCACCTGAGGGTGGTTTCCACAGCGCCTGGATCCTGGAGCCGCCCTGGGCTGTGAACTTTGGGAGGGGAGTGCCCTGGCAAGGGCTTACTTACATCCTCCGACTCGAACACATGGCAGATCATCTTATACTGCTTCTTGCCTTCCTGGGCCCCGGGCGTGGTCTCGATGCAGTCCTGAGAGGCTGACCGGGGCATGCGGCGTCTGGCCATCAGCACTACAATGTTCCCAATGTCGGCGATGTAGGAGATGGTACGCAAGGCGTGGTCCATCATGGTTTCCTGTCGGGAGGGAGACAGTGCCACGTCAGGGAACACTACTGGGACAATCCATTGAAAAGTACTCCAGGGCTGGGCATGGTGGCTCAAGCCTGTAATCCTAGCACTTTGGGAGGCCGAGGCAGGCAGATCACCTGAGGTCAGGAGTTCAAGACCAGCCTGGCAAACATGGTGAAACCCCATCTCTACTAAAAATATAAAATAAATAGTTGGGCGTGGTGGCAGGTGCCTGTAATCCCAGATACTCAGGAGGCTGAGGCAGGAGAATCGCTTGAACTGTGAAGGCAGAGGTTGCATCGAGCCGAGATTGCGCCACTGCACTCCAGCCTGGGCAACAAGAGCAAAACTCCGTCTCAAAAAAAAAGAAAGGAAAAAAAAAAAAAAGGCACTCCAATTATTCGGGTTTCGCAACCCTGATTCTCCTGACATTTGGGGCCGGATCATTCTTTATTGTGGAGGGCTGTCATGTGCACTGCAAGGTGTTAGGAGCATTCCAAGCCTCTCCCCAGGAGATGCCAGTAGCACCTCCCTCTTCCCAAGTGTGAGAATGAAAATTATTTCCAGCCATTGCTAAATGTCCCCTGAGGGACAAAAATCACACTGGTTGAGAACCACGGCCCTAATTAACAGAGCGTTTTAGGGTAATGATTTACAGTCAAAGTCACTCTGCCCTCATCTCAGTCCCAGCTTCCAAAATGGACTGTGCAGAACCCAGGGAGGCGTGATGTCAGGTGAGCTCTCGGGCTGTCTCTGCTGGAGCAGGGGCTTGCCATATAGTGAAACCCATACATTCCCGGATGAGAGGCCACCAGTGGCTCTGGAGAAGGGTCCCTTCTGAACGAGGTGCTCTCCTATGGGCCCAAGAGTGGCCTGGCCTGGCCTTCCTGCTGTGCAGAAGAGGAAAGCATCAAGGCCAATGTTTGTCATTCAATGAGCTCTTCCCAGGGAGCCCAAACAGCCTGGGCCTGGGTCAAAAGACACCAAGGTAGCCCACCTGACTTCAATTCCCTCGGCCTCTGGCAGGCCCATGACTCTTGATGGTTTTTTGTCCTTGGACAGGAATCTCCAGCCAGCATCTTGCCCACAACCCCTACCTAACAAGACTGCACACAAAGCTCAAAAAAACTAATCAACTGGTCTTTTATGCTTTTGTCCTCTGTTCACAAAAGAAACTCGAGTGTTTCTGCAACCTCTGGACCTCATTTCTTCCTCACAGAATCCACTTTGCAGTGCATGCTGCTTCACCTTTGTCTCAGCTGCTGACTTTTTTTCTGGCCAAAGCCATGAGGCTGTTTCATAACCACAAGAGTCACCTTCCAGGGAGGGACACTGAAAGGAAACAGTTGGAGTGGCTCTTCAGCATCTCCTGATTTCTGTCACTGTCATAAATGCCTGAATCAATCCCCAGGTGTCAGAAACATGTTCCTTCCCCAGCTCCTATCAATGGCAGATCCCTCCTCCTCCTCACAGAGGCTGCCTACCAACATGGCCGCATCTGCTCTCCTGCTCTGAATGGCTACTTTGGCCTTCCCAGTCTCTCACCTGTTCCCTCCTCTCCAGCTCCTCTGCCCCAACAGCTTTAATTTGCATGCCCTGTCCAGAATCCAAAGATCCAGAAGGGAAAGGAAAGGAAGGGAGAAGGGGCCAGTGGAGTGAACCCTGAACTGGGCCAGCCTAGGAGATTTCTCATCTCTCCTTCACAGGATCCAGCGGAAGAGTTACTCTTTCAGCTGGGGCTGTGGGTATTAGGAGGTTCAGAGATGTTCAGGAACTTGTTTAAGGCTATACAGCTCATGAGGATGGGGCTCAGCTTCAATCCCCAAGCCCATCCTCCCACCCCAGGTGTGGCACCCTCCATGTACACTGGCAAGAAGAGGTACTGGGGCAGGCCTAGCAGCTGTACCCAGAAAGGCCCGCCTGCAAGGCTGGCCCTCTCTGGCATCTGGGAACGTGGATCTCAGGAGGGTACCCAGCACCCGAACTGACAACCATGGTTCCTTTTGCCTAAACCGTTTGTGCAAACAACGTGGTCTAGGCTGGACACCTCTTTTGCCTCTGGGAGTCTGGAATTTTGGTAGCTGCCAGGCAGAGGGTGCCTATGACCAACTCCCAGTAAACACCTTGGGCTGAGTGTCTATGAGCTTCCCTGGTAGACACAACTTCTCTGTTGTCACAGCCCCTTGCCAGGGAGTTCAGTGTGTCCTGTGTGACTGCGGGGAGGGCTCTGGAAGCCTGCATCCGCTTTGCTGATTCTGCTCTGGAGCCATCTGCTGAAATAAATCTCAGCTGTGAGCTCACTGAGTCCTGTCAGTCCTCCAAACCACCCAGCCTGTGGTGGTCTTGGGGACACCCAGCACAGGTGGGTGATGAGGCATGGGGCTCGGAGGGTTGGTGGGGGGATCTAGTCCAGATGGTTTGCCCACAAAAGATCAGAAAATGAAGTCAAAGTCTGTGAAGCGTCGCAAGCCCAGTGCCTGAGCCCTGGCACCTGTCTCCCTGAGTTTTCACCAAGTGCCAGGCTCCAGGAGGGGGCTGGTTCCAGGGTAGGGGGGTGCAGGACACAAAGATCAGTGGGACAAGGTGCAAGCCTGGACACAGGACAGACATGGGATGAGGAAGGGCGCCCCTGTGCCCGTATCAGGGTATGTGAGGGCCTGGAGGATGGTCAGGGCACGGCACTGGGTTGGGAGTGGTGGGCTGCAGTGTGAGCCACATAGTGGGGGCTGCTGCCTCCTCTGTCCCCAGAGGTCAGGCTACCCGGGAGTGGGGAAGCAGGGGAGGGCCCAGGTAGCCCAGCAGGTCTTCCCACCTACCTCCCGCCCGCAGAGCCCTGGGGTGACGCCAGCACGACTGCTACCTGCTGTGCGCTCCTTGCTCCTCCCGCAGCCCGGGCTATGGGCCTTGGGTTGATGGGCGCAGAGAGCACAGGAGAGAAGCTGCTGAGAACGAGGGCCTATACCATGGGACAAGAAGGAGTCGAACTTAGGAGTTTACCTGATTTTGAACAACTGTCTTAAACGCTTACCTGCGTGTCTGCATTTAAAACCTTGATCCTCTGGGTGGAAATGAAGAGGTCCACTTCCGTCAGCGTCTGGGCATCCCCCTCAGAATTCTAAGAAGGACAGTGGATATTGTTAAAGTCCAAAAACCAACTCGGAATAGAGGACATGCAAATAGCATTATGACAAAATGCTCAACATCCCTAATCACCAGATAAATCCAAATTAAAACCACAACAATATATCATTTCATATCTGTCAGAATGGCTCTCGTCAAAAAGATAAAAGATAAGAAGCACTGGCGTGGGGTGGAGAAAAGGGAACCCTGGTACACTGTGGGAGGGTGTGAATCAGTGCAGCCACTGTGGAGAATAGAATGGCGGTTCCTCCAAAAATTCAAACTACAACCACCATGTGATCCAGCAATCCCACTGCTGGGCATATTTCCAAAGGAAGTGAAATCAGCGTGTCTAGGAGACACCTGCACTCCCATGCTCACGGCAGCACTATCCACAACAGCCAAGACATGGGATCAACCCGAAGTCCATTCACGATGAATGGATAAAGAAATGTGGCGCGCAGACACACTGGAGGCCTACTCAGCCTTCACAAAGAAAAAGCCATGTCATTTCCAACACATGGATGACCCTAGAGGACATGCTGTGAAGTGAAATCAGCCAGGCACAGAAAGATAAATACTGCACCATCTCACTCAGGTGGAAGCTACAAATGTCGATCTCACAGAAGTAGAGAGCTGAATGGTGGTTATCAGGGGCTGGGGCAAAGGAGTGAAGGGGGAAGTATTGGTCCACGGACACAAAGCTCCTGCTAGACAGGAGAAATGAGTTCAAGAGATCTATTGTGCATCATGGTGACTACCGTTAATAATATTTCATATTCTTAAAAATTGCTAAGATAGTGAATGAAGTGTTCTCATTACAAAAATTAAAACTAGGTGATGTAATGCACGTTAATTAGCTAGATATAGTCATTTCACAATGTGTATATGCTCCAAAATATTATGTTGTACATAACAAATACATACAATTTTATCCGTCAATGTAAAAAGTAATAACTCGAAGGAAGGCTCGGCAATTTTAACAATTACCCAGAGTCCACGTAGAAGGAAATGCTACTGGCCATCAGAAATCTACCTGCACGCCACCGGCCGCATCATCTAGCTAAGTGTGAGTTCTCGAGGCAGTCTGTAAGAGGCACCTGGGAGGGAGGAGGGCCAGCCCCCGGGAGCTTGACCGAGATGGGGCGGGACGCCTGGGTCTGTCGCCACAGCCCCTCCTGCCAGTGGCAAGCAAGGCCCTCTGGCTGACCCCTGTGGAATTTATAGACTCAGGTTACGTTTCCTGGATTTGGGATTCTAAGTATCCTTAAGAAATGGGGAAGACATTGTCAGAGAAGCTGAATGAAAATGTCAGCCTTTCCTTCTGATTTAATCAGTCACCACCATGTCCATCCCACAGCGTCCTTGGGGGACTGAGCCCTGGGGCTGGCCTAAGTGCTGTCCTCACAGCGACAGAGAGAAGCCAAGAGAGGTGCCACACAAATGGCCTAATTCGTCACCTGTAGCCACTGTAGTATGTCTGGCATATGGTTGTGAGACGAGTTTCATGGGCTCTTCTGAGCTGAGTGAACTCTTCAGAGTCTGCCCCAAACTAGGATAGCCTTTAATTGGTTTTTACATTTGTAAGAATCCTAATTACCACTGCACGGTGGCAATGAATTTCAAGTTCTATTGGTTTGCCCACCGAGGTGAATAATTCTCCGTGGTCACTGGGGAGCCCAGGGTGGTCTATTTTCCATTTCGAAACAGCAAAAACTATGATTTAATTATTCACTAGAAAATCTGAAATAAGAAATCTCCCTGCTGACAATTCCTCAAGAATTTTGAGTTTTAGAGAGGCCCGGTATTGTAATAATAAATGTGTATTTTAGCTCAATTTTCAAGGGAAAGGGTCTTTTGGGCTTTCTTTGCTTTTAACTCATTAGAAAGAGAAAGGAGTTGAAAGCAGTGCAGCTGACAATCCGCAGCCGCGGAGGAACTTTTTCTGTTTTTTAAAATTGGGTTATATTCAGCATCAGCATGCATTTAAAGGTTATATTCATGGGTTGTGGCTCAAAATCCTCTTGCTAAAAAGTAGGTCAAGCCAGAAGTGAGAAAAGTTGCAGGTGGACCTTGGCATTAGTGACAATTGTGGAGGAAACCTGAGGCTGGGATCCCTGGATGGGAGAAGAGGGGCAGCCTGAAGCCACCCAGCCTCCAGTGGAAAACCCATCAGTAACAGGGCAGGGAGAGGACACCCATCATCCTCCTTGGCAGAAGAAGGGAGGGTGTCGACAGTACGGATCCTACAGACACCAGAGAACAGGCCACAGGGTGGGCCTCGGCATGTCTGTGGATGGGGGGCATGACCTGCAGTCATCCCCATGGCTGTGGCCGGGCCAGGAAAGGGACCTTCAGCAATGACACTGAGCATCCCACTTTCCAAAAAGGAAGAACAAACCGTAATTAAATGTAATCAGGCGGCCACCTGACTGGCCGCAGAGGCCTTTTTGAGCTGGGTCTGCCTGTACCAACCCCTCTAAAGGCGGCAGCGACTCTGTAGGATTGCTGGACCTGCAGGTCCCAGAAGCCAGCTGCAGTCCGTAGGGACTCCCTGCTCCAGCTGGACTAGGAGGCTGCAAGCGAGGGCCCCTCTCTTTTGAGAAAAGCACACCCCAACTGCAAGTCTGCAATGTGTGGCACATTCTGCCTTGCCTGGAGGAAATCAGCCCGGGAAGAGGAGCATGAGCATGATCCTTCCTCTCCTGCTCCTGAGCAGAATCAAAGGAGACGCTGCTGGGCAAAAGGCAGACATCCTAGGTGGACCAAAGTCTCACTCCAGAAGAGGGAGTCCCCACATGGGTCTTCTGGCCAAAGCGCCAGAAAATGGCATTACTTCAAAGCAGGGAGGGGGAACTAAATCTCCTGCTGTTTAAACAGAAGAAAACAGTGGGCAATAAGCCAGTGCCAAGGACCCCGGGGTTTGCCCCAGGCCTTGTGACACCAACTATTTTGATATTTTCTGTATGAGGAGGATTGGAAAAGCTCTAGCATTTACTAAATGACCAGGTGACAAACAAATGACTCGATGTCAATCCTTTTTTTTTTTCTTTTGAGATGGAGTTTCGCTCGTGTTGCCCAGGCTGGAGTGCAATGGCATGATCTCGGCTCACTGCGACCTCTTGCCTCCCGAGTTCAAGTGATTCTCCTGCCTCAGCCTCCCGAGTATCTGGAATTACAGGCATGTACCACCATGCCTGGCTAATTTTTTGTATTTTTAGTAGAGACGGGGTTTCTCCATGTTGGTCAGGCTAATCTCGAACTCCCGACCTCAGGTGATCCGCCCGCCTCGGCCTCCCAAAGTGCTGGGATTACAGGCGTGAGCCACGGCGCCCGGCCTCAGTGTCAACCCATTTTTAAAAGTCTGCCAGTGTTTCAACACTTATTTTCTTTTTTTGTTTCTTTTTTTTTTCTTTAAGAGATAGGGTCTCACTCTGTCGCCCAGGCTGGAGTGCAGTGGTGCAAACACAGATCACTGCAGCCTCAAACTCCCAGGCTCAAGTGCTCCTCCCACTTCAGCCTCCCAGGCAGCTGGGACTTCAGGCATGTGCCATCATGACCAGCTAATTAAAAAAAAAAAAAAAGTTGTGGAGACAGGGTTCTCATTGTGTTGCCCAGGCCAATCTCAAACTCCTAGGCTCAAATGATCCTCCTGCCTCTGTCTCCCAAAGTGCTGGGATTACATGTGTGAGCCACAGCACCCAGCCCAAAAACTCATTTCCAATAAAGAAAGCACCACACGGGCAAACTGAGCTACTCACCCTCCTGACTTAGTAAATTAAGCTTAAGGAATCTTTAACTATCAGAACAATTCAGTAATACTGCACAGGAGGCCCAGACCCTACACCCACCACGTTGTCATATCAACTAAATGTCATATCAATTTAAAATGTCCACGTAAAACAGGAACATCACAGCATTATCCATACAGTACACAGGAGATGCTAAGAAAGAAGAATTAATAAATCCTTCCATAAATGGGTGGTTAAAAAAATGAAGTGTCTGTAGTTTCATTTACAAACATCTAAGATTCACCTACCAAGGGAAGAGGAAAAGCTGCTTTGCAACATTATTTAGATCCCCAGGGGAACCCCCCAGCCCCCACTGCCCAGGACAAGCCACGGAAACACAAGCAAACAACACTGTCCCAGGGCCTCAAGGCCCTACACACCGCTTTTTTCTTGATCTTAGCAGCCTTTTGCATCCTCTGACAGCATGGAAGAGAAAAGAAAAACAAGTTGGCACAGAGAGAAGGAAGGTGCGTGAGGTTATGTCACTTTGGTGGTTGATGCCCCCACTCTCAGGTCTGGTGCCTAGCAAAGCCCAGCAGGGACGGGTGGACAGCCATTGCCCACTTCAAGCACACACACTGACCAAGAGAAGCCCACACAGGTGTCCCTGGAGCGCTAGAAATGACTGCCAACCACCCCATCTATGGAGGACAGGAAAGATGCCATCAGCCGGCAGGAAGGGGAGCTGAGCTCCAGGCAGCGGAGCAAGGCAAGGGTCTGGGATGGGAGGGCCGGGCCTCTGCTGAGAGGCACTGGCCAGCAGGGCTCAGCACTGCCCTGGGTTACCTGGCTTTCTCCTGCCCACCCCGGATGGCCTCATGGTGCTTCTCTGCTTCTGTTAGAGGAGGTTGTGTATGGTGAGGGCTGGGGAGGAGGTTGCTGCCATTTCTCACCCCTGGGCTGGCGGGCCTCTGCAGATCCTGTCTTGCTCAGAGAGCTGAGACCTCAGATGGCTGCATCCCCTCCCCGCCGACCCCATTTAATTTTGCTGACGTGGCCTCATCTTCCCCTTGCCCGGCCTCACCCGATGTTCAAAACCAGACAATCCAATGAGCACTTAGAGCTACAAGCAGGTCAAAGTTTTTCTTGAGGTCCTGAATTTAAATAAAACGTGATTTATTTTTCACCCTTTCTTGAAGCACTCTGAATGGCACTAAAAATACACATACTGTTGAACTGGGATTTGGGATTGTTTGATGACTAGAATGCTTTGGAACGATGATCTTTAAAGGTCGTATTTCTGGGATTCCGTGGGCCTCTTGTTAAGGAGCTGGTTGCCTCTGCCCAGCCAGCTTTCTCCCAGCCAAGGCGCAAGCCTCCCTCAGCCTCGTTGGCACCTGGGCCGCTCCTGCCCCCTGTGCTGAGGGCTGTGCAGTCCGAGCTGGAAGAGGGCCTACGCCCCGCCATATTCCCTCCTGCTAGTGCCCCCCAAAGTGTGCGGGCATCCGCGAGGGGCCCTCGAAGCACCTCTACCTTGACCCGGCTGACGGCCTCCTGCGCTTGCATCATTCTGATGTTTTTGGAAGGGTTCCGTTCTGATAGCAGCTGGGTGGACCCCAGGTAATTGGCAGCAAAGATGATCCCGTCGATGAGGTCTTCTGGTTCGCAGGGCCCTGGAACTGAAGGAGGGCACAGAGTCAGAGTCTTCCTAGAGGAGAAGTCCCCTGAACAAAGAACTTGCATGCCTGGCCATAGCACAAGGAACACGGCAGCCAGGATGCGGGGCAAACTAGAAGGGCCCAACCATTGCCATCTGCAGCCAGCCACGGGCGGCCGGTCTGCTTCCCTCACTACCCCGTGCTGCAAGTAACTGCGCGAAATCAACACTTGGGCCAGAAAACTCTGCACAAACAGTGTCAGGAGGACAATGCCAGCATTCCAGTTGACTGTCACTCAAGATGACAATCACAGGCTGCAAATCCAGAAGGCGTCACATCCCAAACACAACAGCACTTTCCATGCCTTCCCCACAGCCCCGGAACTCATGCTGGTGACCTGAAACTGTGCCCTGGGCTTCTCCTTGGCCTGTCCTTGTGCATCTGTCCTGAGGGGCTCCTGCCTGTCTGTAGCCTCTCAGGACACCCGTGTAGCTCCTCACACCCATCACACCGCAGGCCCAGGCTTGGCAACATCATGCTTGTTCCATCTGCTGCCCCTAGACCATCGTGACCCAACAAACTTCCTGCCAGCCACAATGGAAGGTTCTATCTCTGCAGTGTCCAATACAGGATCCGCTACCCACATGTGGCTTTGAGCACTGGCACTGAGGCTCCTGCAGCTGAGGGACTGGACCCATTTCTTGTATGTAATTTTAATTAATTGAAATATAAAGAGCCACATGTTAGAGTCATATCCAACCAACCCCCAAGTCCTGTCCATGTTGCCCACAAACCAATCTTGAGTGGCTCCTATGCCAGACAATAAGGCTCCAGCTAGGGGTGGGCAAACCTTTCCTGTAAAGGGGGAGATGGTACGTGTTTTAGGCTTTGTGGTCTCTGTTGCAACTATTCACCGTTGTACCTGAGGCGTAAAGGTAGCCGTAGACAGTATGTAAAACAGGAGGTGTGGCTGTGTGCCAAGGAAACTTTATATGCAAAATCAGGGGGCCAGGAGGATTTGCGATTGGGGCTGCAGTCAGCCGACCTCTGAGCTATCCTAGACCGTGGCTTGGCTGTCCTCTCAGACCCATGTTGGCCATGTCACCTGCTTTATCCCTCCCGACTGCCCACCTCCTGGCCAGAGCCCCTTCCACTGGGGATTTTGGCCCTGGCTTCCTGGCTCCCCTCCTGCTCCAGCTGGCCCCTCCCTGAGTCCCTCCAGCATCACGGGCCCAGCCATCCTGCACTTCCCCAGCCCTCGCGCCAGCAACCTCCTGACCTCTTCCCTCCCTCAGCCAGCTGATCCCTGGTCTCACCTCTAACCCATTCTGTTGCTAAAATCATCAACTGGCCCAGCTTGGGCGCTGCCATCCACCACTTCAATAACATCCGCCCAGTATCCTCAGTTCCCTGACCCCAGTCCTGTGTATCTGCCCACAGGAGTTCAGCAAATCTCCAACCTGTTTTCTCTGGACCTGAGGCTGGAAAAAGCTGCCCAAGAGGGCAAATGAGTGCCATGATAAATGTATTATAAATTCTTGACCCCAAATGCCCCCCAAACAACCTCACAACTCTCATCTATCTCTCTGGGAAACTCAGACTCTTCCTCCATGCAAGAGTTATTCCAGACCCCTCCACTGCCTCAAACTCCTGGCTGCCCCTCCCTCACCTGCTCAGACAGACCAAGTGGGGAGCTTCGCGTTGGTGCTCAGCCCACTTGGCCCTCCTTCCTGCTTTCCTGGGCAGTAGTGGGTCTGCGTGCCCCTGGGGTCAGAGGATCACCTGTGCTCCCAGCCGTCTCTCCCCACAGGGACCCCCATCCCTCCCCTGTGCATCTAACTGAGTCCTATCAATGGGGTCCTCCCACGGCTTTTAAATATCCTCCATTCACCCCTTGCCCTGGAGCCGATAAACCTTCTCCCAGCTGGGCAGGGCTGCAGGCACCAATGTGGGGGACTGCGGGATTCAGGGGTGGCACCAGGGGAGGAACCCCTGTCCACCTGTCTCTCAGAGGGTACACCGGGATTCTCCTGTCACCAGGAGAATCAGAGGCAGCCCCACAGAGGGAACAGGACCCATCTATCCCAATGCAGTACCCCCACCATACCCTGGCGCTTCTTCAGAGTGAAGTGTGCACATCTGCCTAGCTGGGGGGCTTGGAGAGCGTGTATGACAGCCCTGGCTGCCACAGGCTCGCCAGACATGCCCTGTGCTGCCTTTTATGGCATCTGGCTGTGGGGCTGGGAAGGCTCCCAGCGCCTGAGGTAGGCCTGTTTCTACTACCTCACACCACCTTGCCGTCCCCAGTGAGCATGGCTCAACAGGCACCCCCCAGTGAAGCCCCAGTCACCCAGTGGGGCCCAATGCAGTGGCTCTCATTGACCACTAGATGGCGTCACTTTGTTCTGCAGGAAAGCTCTGGTTCTTCCAGGCGCCCCAGGTACCCCAGCCTCACAGCCCCAGCAGGTGAGCAGGGCCTTGGGCGAGTGTCCTTATGTCCCCTCTGTGGCAGGGGCTGCCTGGCACCCTGTCAGCCCCAGGCCCTGGGGAGGCTGGGAGGCCAGCCCTCCCTTTGGAATCTGACTCCTACCTTTCTAGGCACTGCCCCTTGGCTTCTCCCTCGCCAGCCCCCAGGGTGGCCCTGGTCAGTGCACCAGACCCTTCTGAGGTTCACATTTCCATGTTGACCCATGTCCTTGAGTAGATTTGGGAAAGACTGGCCTCGTCTCCCCCTGAAGTGAGCGTCAGTAGCTCTGGGGCCCATCTGGGCACAGACTGCTGTGTGTGAAGGATGCCCCATCCCAGGCAGGGGGTCACCACTGGCACCCACGGATGCCTGCTTCCGGGATGAGGCCAGTGAAGCACTCAAGGGCCTTGCTGCAACTCCAGCCACCACCCACCTCTGCCTGGGGGCCTTCCATGCCTGCCTTGCTCTTTTGTTCAGCGAGAAACAATCGAGTCCAAGGTGGCCCCAGCATCCTGCCTCCCACTCACACGCACCACGGGAGGAGAACCCAGACCCAGAGAAGAGTCCAGTGGGGGCGGCATGGTGTGGGGAGTATATCAGATTCATGGGCACAGCTCTCAACTTCCGCAGGAAACGCAGAACCCAAATCTAACAGCTTCGTTAGAAAATGAAAGCAGCTAGCCCTACATGTTTGGGTAGAAATTGCTGTTATTTTGCTCAAGTCTTGCACTGACCCTAAGCTGAGACCACCAGAGGGAGACAAAATGACAAGATAATCAAGATACAGGTTTAAAGATCTTGTCTCCCCAGAGAGTGATTTATCCTTTTCACACCGTATATCTTACTCACATAGGCATATGCACAGTGTATCTGCACAGTCTGGAGAAGAATAAGGCGCTCCAGGTTCTCCCCTGCCAGAGGAAGCCTCTGTTTGAAACACCGCTTAGGAAAACCCTAGGCCCTCTGGAGAGGGAAGGGGAGGGGAGTCCCACAGCTTCAAGCCTGAGGGTCTCCACTCCTGCCACCTTTGAAGAAAATTATCCTGAACATGGGTGGTGGACAGAGGCTTCTAAGGTGCCAGTGTGGCCCCAGGGGGTCTCATTAGCTCCAAGACCTGTCCCTGTATATCCTGGGGGTCTGGGAGGAGGTGGCTGGGTGGAGCTGGAGCACAGGTGTATGTGGGAGTGTGGGGGTGCATCCACAAGGCCCGCTGCTCTCTGCAAAGGCACGGAGTCTTGGAGTGCAGCCCTCATGCCCAACACACCAGACCTCTGTGCAACAATGGTACAGTTCCACCCAGTCCTCAACCACGCCATGAAGCAATCTCAGGGTCCCAATTTTACAAATAAGGACCATCTAAGTGGGTCACGTGGCTTTGCCCAAGTTCACTGTCATGAGTTCAGGTGCTCAGCATTTCTGAACCCACTGTATAAAGACCGGTGTTAAGACAGAAACATGGAGCTCACAGGCTACACAGTGAGGCTGACATCAGTCCCACAGCCACAGAACAAATGCATCAGGATGGGCCATGGTGAATGCTCAAAAGGGAGGCTATGGCCCTGGGAAGGAAGGGACAGGGAGGCTGCTCTGGTGAGGAATTTGGGGGTGGCTGCTGTTTAAGCTGAGGTCTGGAGGAGGAGAAGGAATCAACAAGCCATAAGGCAAAAGGAGGAGAAAGCCTCCCAGGCTGAGGCGGGAGCAGGTGCAAAGGCCCTAGGGTGCAGAGACAATGACACCTTAGAAGATCTATAGGATGTCTGGACTGCCGAGGCCTAGGGCATGGGCCAGCAGCTGAGACAAGTCGAGGGTGGGGAGGAAGCGCTGGCCAGATGTGAGGACCCTGGGGCCACGGGTGACAGGCCATAAGGACTGTCACTCCAGGGTATCCATCAGGGAAGTGGCCCAACCACTCCTTCATTAGAAATGAACTCTGGCAGAGGGGCAGGCAGCAGAGAGGAAGAAGGGAGAGCAGCTGAGAGGCTACTGTAGCCATCCCAGCACATGAGTGGTGATGATGGTACGGACAGGGTGACAACGGAAATGGAGAGACAGCAACAGATGGGGATTTAGGGGTCCATCAACAGGACGGAAAGGTGGACTGGAGTCTGAGAGAAGATGAGGACGCTAGACAATGGTTGCAGAGCTCGATGGACAGACCTGCCCCTCACTGAGAAAGGGTGCCTGGAAGAGGACTGAGCTTGGGTTGGGGATTCCAGGCAAGTTTAGTGGCAGGAGCCTGGATGCTCAGTAGGCGGCTGGACTCGGGAGTCCCGGTTAGAAAAACAGATTTGGGAATGAACCATCTGCAGGTGCCAAGTGAAGCTGCAGGCATGGATGAGTCTGCAAGGAAGGTCATGGGCAAGGGGGCAGGATGAAGCCCCAGGACTCTGCTCTGCTAAGTACCAAGAAAAGAAGGGGCTTAGAAAGGGAGGCCTGCCCATCTACACCCATGCTAGCAGGAGGCCAACTACAAGGAGACCTCGTGTATTGGGCACAGTGTCAAGGAAGTCAGTCGTGACCTCAAAGAGCTGTTTCAGAGGAACCGGGGCAGGAGCCAGAGAGGGGGCTGAGAGGTGCAGGGGAGGTGCAGACAATGAGGCTGCCACTCCCAGATTCCGGCTGTGAAAGAAAAGGGGCAGGTAGAGCGGGGTGGTGTGGATAGATGCAGGGTGGGACAGACGTGGTCAAAAGCCAGTGGAGGGGCGAGCAAAAGGGACAGGAGACAAACGACATCAGATCGTGTGAGGTTCCAAAGTGCAGACGGGACCTGGCCTCAACTGGGAGGAGGGGCTGCAGCTCTAATGGGGCAGGACAGGACTGGGAGGAGGCGAGCCACCAGATCAGCAGGAGAGCCTGCCCCCTGAAGTGCCCCCTAGGTCTGGAGTGGGGAAAGGAGGCAGGAGTGGGTGAGTATCAGAGTCGTGTAACTGGCGTCTCAAGTGAGACCTTCTGCTGCAGAGCTAAGGCGTGGCCTCCAGGCCCGACTCTCCAGTACTGCCAGGGCCTGTGCCTTGAGATGCCCCCACTGAAGGTGACCCTATAATATGGCTGATACGAAAGAGAAGACACCATCTGAAAATCACACCTATGGGACATTCACCAGGGAGTGGCCACACCTGGGCCTGCAGCACAGGCTTTGTCACTGATAAAAGGGATTTGGGGGTTCCACAGTGTTGAACTTTAGACACCCAATGAGCAAGATTAAGTCACTGGATGCTGGGAGGAAGAGAAGCCACAACAGAGAGTCAGGGAAGGAAGGTCAAAGCCAAGCTCAAGAAAACGCACAGAGTTGCCCAAGACAGATCCTAACCCTTGCAGTGGGGAGAATGACTTCCCAGAAAAAGCATAATAAATAATTTTTTTTAAAAAAAAATGGCAAAAATGGGAAAAAGCATATGCATAGGCGGTTCACTGCAGCAGCACTATTTGTAATAGCAAAAACCTGGAAACCACCCAAACACTCCTGAACAGGAGACATCTATCCACACAGTGGAGTTCTGCAGAACATCCTCTCCATGCTCCTGTGAACAGCACAGAGCTGTGGCATCACCGCCAGGGTTTAGTGTGAAGTGAAGAAGGCAAGATGGAGATATGGGAGTCTAATCCACTACCATTTACCTAAGAAAGGGGAAGACATGCTTACAATAAAAATATGTAAAATGCTCAAAATGGTTACCTATAGTGGAAGGGAAGAAATTGGGAGGTGGGGGGATAAATAGGGGAAGAAACTGACCTCTTTGCATACATCCTGTGTTGTTTATTTGAATTTCATACCATGTAATTATTTTATATAATTATAAAACAAAATTAAATGGAAAAAGCAAAGTCCAAATAACTAAGAGAAAAATGAAACCAATGAATCTAAAAGTGTATCCAGTTGTGATCTATTCCAAAATATTTTAAAACACAGTTGTCTGACTGTACATCCCTTGTGGGATGTATTCTAAACACAAAAGTAAATGCAAATAAATCATAATCTGTATCTACAATCATGTGTCCTTGGCAGTGTTTGGTATTGTTATTCTGAGACTGCTGTAAGCTTAATGGAATAAAACCAATGCAAAATTATGCTGGTGTCCTTGAGAACAGGAATTTGGGGCACAGGAAAAAGAAACTACAAATGTTAGAACCTATAAACCTGACAAAGTATCATTAGGAATCATGACGTTATTTGATCTTAAAAAATATGTTGTGTATTAGTTATTGTTGGCTGCATAACAAATTACTCGGGAATTTAGTGGCTCAAAACAACAACCGTGGATTATCTGAGAGTTTCTGTGGATCGGGAATCTGGGTGTGGCTTAGCTGGGTGACTTTGGCTCAGGACCTCTCGTCTGTCACAGGCAGCAAGGTACTCAGTGATGCTGCAGCCATCTGAATGCCTGAAGAGGGGAGCATCCACTTCCAAGTTCTCTCACCAGGCCGCTGGCCAGAAACATCAGTCCTGTGCCACGTGGGCCTCTGGATGGGGCAACTGCCAACCACACCAGGCTAGCTTGGTTCCTTCAGAGGGAACAAGTAAGAGAGAACAAGAAAGGACAAGCTGAGACAGAAGCCACATCTCTTTGTAACCTGATCTTGGAAGCCATATCCCATCTCTTCTACCATATTCTATTCAATAGAAGCAGCTCAGTAAGTCCATCCCCCACACAGGGGGAGGGAAGGACTCACAGCCATGAATACCAAGAGGCAGGGGTCCTTGGGGGCCATTTAGGAGGCGCCTTCCACATAGACATATACACTCTCACCAAATCTACAACAACGAGCAACCACACTACCCAGATTACAGTCTCTAAATGTTATTTCACAGGGCTCCATGGAGAAAGAACCAACTGGTTCCAGACCTGGGGCAAGAAATATTTAAGATGATCCTGGAATATACCAGAAAGAAAGGAAACAATCAAAGACTACTGGGTTCACATTGACGGGACTCAGAAAACAACCTAAAGAAGCTCTTATTGGCCATAGAAAACTTGAGCACCAATAATCATGGTAACACACACAAAACACATCAACTGTGCTAACAACAACATACACAACCTCACCGGTTATCTTTTAAAGGCTGTCGGGGAAACTCATTAATTTTTTTTTTTTTTTTTTTTTTGAGATGGAGTCTTACTCTGTCGCCCAGGCTGGAGTGCAGTGGTGCAATCTCGGCTCACTGCAAGCTCCGCCTCCCGGGTTCACGCCATTCTCCTGTCTCAGCCTCCTGAGTAGCTGGGACTATAGGCGCCCGCCACCACGCCTGGCTAATTTTTTGTATTTTTAGTAGAGACGGGGTTTCACTGTGTTAGCCAGGATGGTCTTGATCTCCTGACCTTGTGATCCACCCGTCTTAGCCTCCCAAAGTGCTGGGATTACAGGCATGAGCCACTGCGCCCAGCCAACTCATTAATTTTTAAATTTTTCAAAAAAGAGAAGAAATCAAGCATTTAATCTGCTTTTCTTATATGAACAATATTCAGGGTAACCAAATACTTGAGGGAAAGTTTCTCTACATAGAAGAATTCCAGCTAACTAATGAAGAAGAAATGATGAAATTAGAACACCACCATTTGGCAACTTCTAATCAATTACTAGATCTAGACAATGATCATTAATGGTTGCTAATATCACCAAAAAAGAGATGACCAGATATTATGTGCCTCAATAGAACAACACAAAAATATGTACGAAAGTTTTTGCCCAATCAAACTGAATCTGATCAAGCCTCTATGTCTAAAAACAACCACTATTTTACAGGACACAGAGAATAGAGGAACACATTAAACAACACCATGAAGATGCAATCAGCAAAATCCACACTGCAGGAAAATCTACAGGATAAATGACAGATTCTTCCACAATAACACCAACAAAAATTTGTAAGACAGAAAAAAGAGACGGATGGACAACCTAAAAGAGACATAAAAGAATTATGAAATGCATTGACCAATCTCAATAGACGGGTTTTGTTTGGATCCCCATTCAAACAGCGCCCTGTAAACTGGGAAAATGCAAACAAAAACAAATATTTAATGGCATAAACAAATATTAACTTTAGTTGTGATAACAGCATTGAAATTATTTTTAAAAACAGAACTCCTATATTTTAGAGATACAATATGAAATATTTAAAGAGGCTATGATGTAAGATCTGAGATTTGCTTTAGAATAATCTGGGAAAGGGTCAGGGTGTAGATTAAATACCACTAGCCATGAATGGGTAAATACTGAAGCTATTTTTTCATATGCTTGAAGTTTTTATGACAAAATTAAAAGCATAGATCTTTCAAAAAGGTGTTATTTTTAGGAAGCCATATTCTACTATTATGTAAAATTGTTCCTTCTGTTCTACCCAATCTGATTAAGCAAGAAGAAGTAATAGAAAACAAGAAAGGAAGCAGCAAAAATCATTCTTGTTTGCAGATGGTATGATTGCATGCCAGGAAAAACTCAAGAAAACAACTAAAAATCTATTTTTAAAAAATAAGAGAATTCACTAAGGCAATGGTTTCAAATTTAATATATAAAAATCGATAGCTTTCTTTGTACCTACAAACAGCAACATGTTGAAAAATAATGAAAGTCAGCATTTACAAAAACAATAAAAGGGATAAAACAACAAGAAACAGACAAACAAGATATGTGTTGAATTTTTATGAAAAAACTTTACCGATGAAGATAAATGAGCTTGAACAAGTGGACAGATAAATCCTTTGTTGGCTAGAAAGACTATGTTGTAAAGCTGACATTTTTTCCCCTAAATGGACAGACTTTAAGCATGCCTAATAAAAATACCAGTAAGAGTTTGTAGTGGGCCGGGCGCGGTGGCTCATGCCTGTAATCCCAGCACTTTGGGAGGCTGAGGTGGATGGGTTACCTGAGGTCAGGAGTTCAAGACCAGCTTGACCAACATGGCAAAACCCCATCTCTACTAAAAATACAAAAATTAGCCGGCCATGGTGGTGCACCCCTGTAATTCCAGCTACTCGGGAGGATGAGACAGGAGAATCGCTTGAACCCAGAAGGCGAAGGTTGCAGTGAGCCAAGATTGCGCCATTGCACTCCAGCCTGGGCGACAGAGTGAGACTCTGTCTCAAAACAAAACAAAACAAACAAAAGAGTTTGCAGTGAATAACCAGACAAGCTAGTTTTAAAGTTACTATGGAAAAATAAAAGTGCAAAAATACCTAGGAAAAAAATCTGAAATGGAATGATGGTGGCAAGGTCTGAAAGTAGCCCTACCAGGTAATAAAATGCACCATAAATCCCCAGTAAATAAAGCAGCCTGGATCTGGAACCTGAATGGACCGTCCCTGTAACAGATCCAGAAACAGACCGAGACCCACATGACGATTTGGGTACGGTAAAGGCAGCATTTCAAACTTGCAAGGGAAAGATTCCTTGGATAGTTCTGGCATAACTGGCTAGCTATTGGGACAAAATGCCTAAAATGTAACTTTTCCTGTATAAATACACCAAGATAAATTCCAGATAAATCAATTATTTAAATAATTTAAAATAATACCAAAGTCCTGGAAGACAGCTTTTTATTTAACTAATTAATCAATTAATTTTTTTTTTTGAGACGGTGTCTCACTCTGTTGCCCAGGCTGGAGCACTGTGGCACGATCTCGGCTCACTGCAACCTCTAACTCCCAGATTCAAGCAATTCTCCTGCCCCAGCCTCTCTAGTAGCTGGGATTACAGGCACGTGCTGCTGCGCTCAGTTTATTTTTTGTACTGTTAGTAGAGACGGAGTTTCACCATGTTGCCCAACCTGGTCTTGAACTCCTGACCTCAGGTGACCTGCCCACCTTGGCCTCCCAAAGTGCTGGGATTACAGGCATGAGCCACTGTGCCTGGCCAACAACTTTATTTTCAAAAATAATCTTAGGAGTGTGATGGTCACACTAACCTCAAAAACTCAGTAAGCTCAAAGGAAAAAGACTGATATATTTGACTAAATGACATGTTTAGCAAAGTAAAAAGCATACCAAAAAAAGAAGAAGAAGAAAAGAATGGTAAGCTGGGGTAAACTTTTACAGTACAAACCAAAGGGTTCATTTCCTTTATATGTAAAGAATAATACAAATCAATAAGAAACACCCAAATTCCCAATTGCCAGGGGCTGAGGGGTGGGGGAAATGGGGAGATATTGGTCAAATGGTACAAACCTTTAGTTATGAGATGAGTAAATGTCTGTAGTTAATAATCCTGTATTGTATACTAGTAATCTGCTAAGACAATCGATCTGAAGTGTTCTCACCACACACACAAAAAGGTAGCTATGTGAAGTGATGGCTATGTTAATGCGCTTGGCTGTGGTAGTCATTTCACCATGTAAACTTATATCAATACATTACATTGTATGACTTAATATACAAAACTTTTATTTGTCAGTTATACGCCAATAAAGCTGGGGGTGAAAATCTAACAGAGGAATGAGCACAGGAAACAAACTGGCAGTGCACTGAAAAGAAAAACCACCTATGAACATACGAAATAGTGTTTGGCTTCACTTATTATGAAAGACACGTGAAATCAACAAGACACCTCTTTGCACCCATCGGCCTGGAGCTTATATCAAACAGCCGGTCATGCAGTGTTGGTAACAGTGTGGGAACCTCATACGTAACCAACTCTCATACATGACCAACAGCAGCGTACGCTGTCCCCCCTTGGGAAGGCATTCTGCCCGTGTCTATCAGAGTTGCTGTGCTCCTGGCCTGTACCCCTGCCATAGCCAGGAACCGCCTCCATAAAAGAACCCACACCCAAACACAAAGGCGTAGCCACAAGGCTGTTCACTGCTGCACTGACTGGAAATCTCCCAACAATCAGTCCAAGGGGGCTGGTTAATACCCCATCCCACATCCACTCAACCGATCCTGTGCTGCCGCTTAAATAATCAGGTGGACCTATTGCTGTTTCCAAGATCTAGCAAGAAAGGAAAAAGCTAAGTACAGAGCCATGTGGCCAGTGCAATGTCTATTTAAGGAAAAGGGCCTATGGATGAGCTGAGAAATTCCTGGAGAAATTCACAAGAAATGTAAGTGGCTTCCACTATACAGAAGGACTAGGGATCTGGGATGTATAGGCAGAACAAGAGGTACTGTGGGGATTTCTCATTTTTAACTCTTGCAGCTCTTGGTCTGATACAAGCACTATTCTGAGAAATCTTTAACAACTTCTACTTAGTGAATAAAAGTTCAGATTTTAAAACGACGAATCCCTATTCCTGCTGACTGCATGTAGTACAGGAGAAACATGATCTTGTTTGTAGAAAAAGGAAAGTCATCTGGGTTTCCATAACTCCTCTTTGGAATGCGCCACATCCCCTCTGGTCCCACAGGGTGACCTTCCTCCCGTCCATCCCCCACCCAAATACACCAAAGAGGAGGAGGTGGGAGATGTCTTCACTTTAAGAGTCTTATCTGAACAGGTTCACCCCAACTGCCTATTTTAAGAGCAAACTAAGTCTCAGATCCCATGTGCCCACTGTATGAAACCAACAAAGCAGCTTTACCACTGTGAGGACCCCTGAGAGAAGGAAGGGGTGATAGGTGAGCTCAGCTCCAGGTCTGGGGCATGTAATCTCCATGCCTTCCACATGATCCACACGGAGCTGGGCAAGTTGATGAGCTATAGACAGGCTGTAAAGGACCCCAGGACCCTAAGGCCTGGCAGCATTTTGGCATAAGCCTCAAGCTGCTGGTGGGGTGGTGGGTTTCAAAACATCCTGTATGAGCTTTGGATGAGGAGAACAAAGTACAAAAAGCAGAGTAAGATTTACCAGTCTTTGTTATTTTGTACTGAAGCTGCCACTGTTAGGCCCCATTGCTTGGGACTAACATCAGCCTTTTGGTTTTAATGAGCACGTGTTTACCTGTATAGAAAAGCTGGTCATTCACATATACTCATCCAGAGGCAGTGACCCTCTAAGCAGCTTGGGCTCAAGCTGCTGCCAGACACCACGTCCTGTAGGAGGGGACATCTTGAGGGTGGCTGCTTTCGGATTCCTCCCCGCAGGACAGGCAGTGCATCCTCTGTGCAATCCGCACTTTCATAAGGAGGTTTTCTCTGCAGCGTTAACCTTCCCAGTCTGAGAGGGTCGCTAGACCCCGAGAACTTTCCACAGACAGTGATTGTGGCAGGCCCTTCCTCACAATGCCTCTGCTGAGAGAAGGCTGTGATCCTGCGCCTGACAAGGCCAGGAGCTCTGGCATCTGGAACGCTCCCCTCCACTGAACTCTCTGGCACCTGCATGGTAGGTCTTCTCTAAGTGAAGGTTCTTCCTCACCCACTGCGTGAGGGTCGCCAGGCAGTGCAGTGTGGTGATGAGCTCAGATTCCAGACTGGTTCGAATCCTAACTCTGCCACTTGCTACCTGGTGACCTTCGGCCCGGGATTCACTCTCCCTGAGCTGTGGATATAGTGATTGTTAAGTTGATATACTTAAAACACTTAGATCTGGGCCTGGCTCAAAGAAAGCACCTGACAGGTCTTACCTATTCCTGGTATATGAAGGCATGCTGGGTAGGGAGGAATGACCTCGGCTACGAGTTTATGTGTCAAGCACCAAGACATGGGTCCAAGTCCAGGCTCTGTCCCCCGCACAGCCATGGGACTGCACACAAGTGACTTTAGCCTCACTGTGCATCAGTTTTCTAACCTATCAGACGGGGGAAAGTACTTACTCCTCACGTGGTGGTTGACCAGGCGACATGAAATAGAGAGATGCTGCATGGCACAGGGAGTGGACACCAGGCCCCAACGAGGGTTCAGACGGTATCATGTGCATTGTTACTATTATTTTTTTCATTATTATCAACAATTATCTGATATGAAATAAGGCATAAGCTGAGACCAAATACTCATGAATACTCCAGGAACATTTCCCTTCAGGGCAACTTCTCAGACACAAATAGGGTGGAGGAGCTGCTCCTCCCTTACACAGGGGCTTCCCAGGAACTCACATACTCAGCCTCAGCACTGGACACGCCAGGAGGCTGGAAGGGCCCGCAGTGGGATGGGAAGTGGCGGCAGGCACCCAGGGCTGATTCCAGACCTGCCCTGCCTTCATAAAAAGCCCAGGGTTTGATTGTCTGGCCAACACTAACATCTGAGAGGCTGGTCATGTGACACAGCTCTGGCCACAAAGAAATAAGCAGTGTGTCGAAGAGGCTTCTGGGTCTTCTAAGTAAGGTTCAACTAGATATTCAGAAGCATGCAGTGTCCTAAGGCTCAGCTAGACATGGGGCCGTCTACTCCAAGGGAACAAGACAGACGCCAGTTTGCCTCCTGGACTCTCTGATGGGAGTCCACACTGCACCCACACAGCTAGTCTCATGGGCCCCTGGATGGGTCAGCTGCAATGGTACAGAACTCCCTGGATGGGTCAGCTGCAAGGGTACAAAACTCCCACCAAGAAGGGCATGTGGAACCCATCTGGTCTAAGAGCCTCATGCTCCCAGCAGCCAGTATCTCTCACAATCACCCCATGGGTGGGGCATAGCTTCCAGGGTCACCTTCAAGAGACATGCCAGTCACGAAAGTCACCACTGTGAGAAGCTCAAAGCCCTGGATGCCCTGCCCCGCAAGCATTAGAATTTTCCCATCTAGATACAGTTTATCAAAAAGAGCATCTCACCATAAGCAATGTTGCCTGGAGACACAGCTGACACGCTGCCTTTCAGGTTACCCAGGGAGCACACTATGAAAGGTAACAGAGGGTCCGATTCTCATGCAGAGAAGTCATCACCTCTTAATCCACAGAAAACCTTTGCTTTCCTAATGTCAAGGGGAGGACGTCCAGCTGGTGTGGACTTCAGCCCTTCTCCTTTTTTCTTCCTGCCTAGAACGAGAAGCAATGGCTGGGGCTGCCCACACACTGTGTGACGATGAGGTGACAAGCCTGAAGAGGAGGCCAAGAGACACAACAGCGCCAATCCTGACATCACAGAGCCATCGAACCGGCGGCCTCTTGCCTCTGGACTTTTTTTTTTTGTTTTTTGTTTTGTTTTTTTTTTTTTTGAGATGGAGTCTTGCTCTGCCGCCCAGGCTGGAGTACAGTGGCATGATCTTGACTCACTGCAAGCTCCGCCTCCCGGGTTCAAGTGATTCTCCTGCCTCAGCCTCCCAAGTAGCTGGGACTACAGGCACACGCCACCATGCCTGGCTAATTTTTGTATTTTTAGTAGAGACAGGGTTTCACCATATTGGTCAAGCTGGTCTTGAACTCCTGACCTTGTGATCCACCCACCTTGGCCTCCCAAAGTGCTGGGATTACAGGCATGAGCCACCGTGCCTGGCCACCTCTAGACTTTTTAATATTTTTTTTATATTTTTTTTGATACGGAGTTTCGCTCTGTTGCCAGGCTGGCGTATACTGGTGTGATCTTGGCTCATTGCAATCTCCGCCTCCTGGGTTCAAGCGATTCCCCTGCCTCAGCCTCCCAAATAGCATGACTATAGGTGCTCAGCATCACGCCTGGCTAATTTTTTGTATTTTAGTACAGACGGGGTTTCACCATGTTGGCCAGGATGGTCTTGATCTGCTGACCTCATGATCCACCCGCCTCGGCCTCCCAAAGTGCTGGGATTACAGGCGTGAGCCACCACGTCCAACCCTGGACTTCTTTATGTAAGACACACACCTATTTGTGTAACGTTAGGTGGGGATTTTGATACTTGTACCCAAAGGCATTCAAACTGATAACGGTGTTTAATTTGGAGAAACTTTTCCCATATCCATTATATTCTAGGGTTTGGCATCACCATTATGATGATCTCTTCCTGTTGCTGAGTAAGATTTTGGTCCATGAAGGCCTCGCTGCATATAAATGCTGTAATAGTAAAGGATGTTGTTTTGCTTCAGTTTTCTATGTTTTCATAACAATCAAAGGGCTTCTCTCCTACAGAAGAAACTATAAATTCAGGTTTTCCACATTGGTTCTAGCTGGTCACAGCAGTTTTAGCCTGTCTGAATTGTTTTAAGCCACCGGCCTTGTTTGGATTTGCTTTGGAACAGTCTGAGTGGTGCAGGGAACCAAGTCTTCTGGGATGCCAGGAGCTAGAGTCCGAGGTACCCCAGGCACTGACACTGCTTCCCGATCCCTCACGATCCCACTCCCTGCAGATATGAGATTGGTTCAAGGGTCGGGGAATTTAATGTCTAAATCACCTCCTAGTGTGAGAGTTCTGTCCAGATGACACTATGATACACTGACAAGTGAGCTTCTTGGATCCAGGAGACCCTGCCTCACTGGAGCAGTGTGACTGGCAACCCCACCCTGGCTTCTGCCTGCCAAGGAAAATGGCACAGTGACGTACTGCATTCGCCCTGCTCACGAGGTGCCAGCTCCTATAAACCAGGAACCCAATCAAACACTACAAGCGGGAATGTGGGGAGTGTGGTCTCTTCCAGGAATCATCATAACCTGCTGTGGCCTGAAGAAAACCAATTTGAACCAGATAAAATGTACCTAAAACCACATGTAAACTGCTGGGCAAAACCCATTTTAGCCTATCTGAATTGGTCAAAATGGAACCAAGTCTATCTCAATTGCATGATATTAATTCTGATGGTTTAAAACAGATTCTCACCCAATCTGAGCAGCATTAAGCCAGTTATAACAGTCAAAATTGATTTGAGCCAGTTAATCCAGTTTCAACCAATTGGAACTGGATTAGCCTGGTTCAAACTAGTTCTCTAAAGGCGAATTTGGGGGCTTCAGTTCCCCAGGCTTTAGTTGTTTGCTAAAAAAAGAAAAGCAGCATGGGAAGGGCTGAAAGTCATTTATTTCTGAAAACTAATTTACCTTGCTCCCATAAATATTTATAAGAATTAATTACCAGCTTATTGAAAGAATTAATGAAATTCACATTGTTTATTATAACACATTAGCAGGGGCAGGAAACATCCTCCTGGCAAAGACAGAAATCCTGCCGAACAAGCTCTTTACTCTGAGGTTGGAGCACTAGAAGCAAACCCAGTGGATCTCCTACAGGGGCCCTGCAAGGTCTCCAGATGCTCAGCTCCGTCAAAGCCAGGCAAGTGTGCTCCCCATCCCCAAGAGTGACACAGAACATATCGACCAGTTTCATTCTTTACTGAATGTTGAAATGCACTATTAACCTCCTCAAAAAGGGTGGAACGGTAAAGAAAAACAAAGGATCTAAAAAAAAAAAAAAAGCCTGAATTTGAATGCATTATATCCACCCTGATCAGAAGTGTTAGCTATAACCAGCTGCTTATAAAGACACATCTCAATCTATTCAGTCATCAGTGTCGTCTGTGATGCAATTAGTGAGGGTATAATTAAAGGAGATCGTCTACTGTTCCTTGCATCAAAGCGGGCAGATCAGCTGGACCTCCCCTCCCCACTAAGTGGGGCTACACAGTGTTCAAACAGACAATGGCCAAGCACCTTGCTGGTAGGTAGGCACGCTTTGTAAACAAGCTTTGCAGGTGAATGCCCAAACTAAAAGCACCATTTATTTTGATGTAAAATGCAACTGCCCCTTGAGAAATAAAATTCAAAGTCACTTACCAGCCACAAAACTTGGAAATGATGCCACCTTCTTTGTCTGTTAGGAAATATGGAAAAATAAAACACATAACAATTGTTAAGTAGGTAGCCCACAAGGTGAAGGCTAAGCAGGGCTGTGATATGAGCCATAATGAGAAAAGCAAACCCCCCATGAGTGATGGTGTTCTGAAGATGTCAGCTCCATACAGGAAACCAGTCTGCTGCAGGCAACATGATGTTGGGGAGTGGCCCAAAAGCCCATCATCTAAAACTTAGGGGCCCTCAGACTAGCATATCTTGACTAGAAGGGAGCCTAGGGACCATCCAACACAATGACGCTCCAACCAGGGGGCATGAGAGCCATCCAGGCCCATCTTTAAAAGCAAGATAAAGGAGACTGGATACCACTCCATCGGTGGCCATCGTTATTTCATCAAAGTTAAATAATCTCATCTAAACTATGTTACCAGAAAGGGGAAATAACTTCCATCATAGCACTGTTAGCTTATAGGAAATTGTTTGTTAAAACCTGTTGTTGATTTAGAACAGTGGTTCTCAACTGGGATGATTTTTGTTCCCAAAGGGACATCATTAGGCAATGTCTGGAGACATTTTTGGTTACCACAAATCAGGGATGGGGATGGGGTAGGTACAAGGATCTAGTGGGTTGAGGCCACGGATGCTGCTCAACTACAATACACAGGACAGTCCCCAAAACAAAGTATTACCTAGGCCTCAATGTTAATGGTGTCATTGTTGAGAAACCCTAGTTTAGAACATGGTTATCAGACAATGAATAGAATGGCTTTTTATAAAATTAAGTAGTACCAATGGTCCCCCACCCCCACACACACACCATCTGCAACACAAGAGCACTCCATGGCATGGTCCTAACATCAGGGAGGCCCTCTCCTCCCTCCTCCCAGGCCAGTGTGCCCTCACCTCCTCACCATATGGTGACACCAACTTGGCCTGACCTGGACTCCCTCTCCCCCAGGCACCGGGTGGGATGAGAACATCATGGACAAAGTGAGCAGACCACAACTCGGTGGGCCACTCCATCATTAGATGAGTGTTCCAGCCCAGAACTCTCATCCTTGAAAAAAATTACCTCTGGAATGTTGTTATTGTCAACAGGTCCATTGAGATCAGAGCGCTGCTGCTTCCTTGGCTGCTCCAGACCATTGCAAACCTGGAAACGGGGAAGTTAAAGATCGTGATTTTATATGTTAGAGAAATGCAAGATGCAAAACCTGAATATGCAATGTGATACAATTTTGTAAAATGCATGTGTATGTCTGTATGTGTATAGGTGTGTGTGCAGACGTCTATTTAATTATACTTAAACTGCTATGCACTTAATATTCTATTTTCATACTTCTAAAAAAGTTATTTTAAATCATTTTGAAATTTGTTATCTTTTGATTGCAGTAAAATGCACATAACATAAAGTTCACCATTTGACCATTTTTAAGTGTACAGTTCAGTGGCACTAAGTACATTCACACTGTCGTACAACCATGGTCACCATCCACCTTCAGAATGTCTTCCTCTTCCCAAAACTAAAACTCTGTACCCATTAAACAAACTCCTCAATATGCCCAACCCCAACCCCAACCTGAGCCCCTGCCAACCACCATTCTACTTTCTGTTTCTGTGAATTGGGCAGCTCTATGCCCCTCATGTAAGTGGAGTGATTAAGCAGTCAGTATGTGCCCTTTTGGAACTGGCTTATTGCACTCAGCAAAATGTCCTGAAGGGTCGTCCACATTGAAGCACATGGCAGAATTTCCTTCCTTTAAGGGCTGAATCACATTCTACTGTGTGTACATGCCACCTCTTGTTTATCCAGTCATCTATTGATGGACACTTGGGTTGCTTCCAATTCTTAGCTATTGTGAATGGTGCTGCTATGAACGTGGGTGTGCAAATATCTCTTGAGTCTTCACTTCCACTTCCTTTACGTACATACCTGGAGGTGAAATCACTGGATCATAGGATAACTCTATTTTTCAGTTTTTAAGGACCTTCCATACTGTTTTCCACAGCAGTAGTACTATTTACGTTCCCACCAAGAGTGCCCAAAAAGTTAAAAGCCATATTTTTAAAAAACCTAAATTCTTGGATGAGAATAAATGCAAATTAGCCAATCTGTTACTACAACATAGAAAATGCCCCAAGTACATGTCATAAGTCTTCTCTTAAAGAAGACACCAAACTACAACTGCTTCTACTTCAATTAATAAAATTTAAGGTTAGGTATATTTTCTCTATTTAGTTCCTTATATCATCCAGAAGACAGAAGCCAGATCCATAGCCCTTAAATCCCTGTCCACCTCCCAGAGGAGGTTCCGGAGCCTGCATGGTAAGTCCAGTTCCAGAACTTTCTGGAAATAAATTATCGAGAAATAACAATATGATGATGGCAAGGAAGACACTGATGATAAAAGTTACATTTACCAGCTGGGCACAGTGGCTCACGCCTGTAATCCCAGTACTTTGGGAGGCCAAGGCAGACAGATCAGTTGAGGTCAGGAGTTTGAGACTAGCCTGGCCAACATGGTGAAACCCTGTCTCTACTAAAAATACAAAAAATTAGCCGGGCATGGTGGTGGATGCCTGTAATCCCAGCTACACGGGAGGCTGAGGCAGGAGAATCACTTGAGCCTGAGAGGCGGAGGTTGCAGTGAGCTGAGATGGCGCCATTGCACTCCAGCCTGGGCAACACAGTGAGATTCAGTCTCAAAAAAAAAGTTACATTTACCTAATTTACCTAGCACCTTAGGGTTTACAAAAGCCTCTTGTGTACACAATGAATATTCTTCCCCCTGCTTGACAGGTGAGAAAACTGAGACCCCAAGTGTTGGGCTGGCTTCTCTCGGAGTCAGGTGATGCCACGAGGCATGGCTGCCAGCCCTATCCCCTGTCCTAGTCTATCAGTGTCTTGCTCTTTGATGGAACTCTGCCTCTCTGGGGTTTTGAGAAAAATTAAAGGATCTGGGCCCACCCTCCCAGCACTGATGGGGGCAGATATGCCGTGCCCCAGGTAGTTGGAATGATTGCTGGCTAAGCCTCCCCTCCAGGATCACAGACACCACCGGATTTCAGAGGCAATGGGAGTGGGGGATGCAGGGGAGCGGGCACCGGGCTTTAAGGATGGCGAGGGAGAAGGGAGAGCACTGCTGCTACATCTCAAGAAAGCTACATGGGGCTGCCCTTCCTAGAGCTGAGGTGGTGCAGGGGTGCAGCTGGGACCCAGCAGTTCTGAAGTCTGGTTGGTCCCTGCCTCCCCCAGTCCTGCTGCCCCTACCCCTGAGCCCCACAGGGGCTCACAGGCCTAGCCAGACCACACCCTGCTGTCCTGGCATGACCAAAGGCCCGGCTCTGGTTTGTCTGGGACTGCTGGCACACTGCCCTGCTTTTCGAAGCCTAGCATCCCAGGAGCAAAACCCATCCTTCCCCCTACAAGAGGGCTGTGACCACCCGAGACTCTGTTGCAGTAGACCCTGCACTGACCAAGTGGAGCAGACAGCGCCCCTTTCTGCAGGGCTGAGACTGGCCCAGGTACCGCTCCTGCAAGGTTTCTTCCCCTCACCCATCCCTGGCACTGATCTTCCTGCTATGGCCAAGGAACACCAAGCAAAAGCTTCCAAAGGATGCAACAAGAGAATCTCGCCTCAGATGCCGCTCACATTCTCCTAAAGTAAACCTTATTTGGGACATCCCCCAGAGAGCTCTGTTGAGGACACTTTGCTATTTCAAGGTGCACATAGCACACGTCGGTATTTTACCCACTTGTCTGAAAGTTCCCCAACACAGTGCCCTTCTGCATGGACTTGGGTTCCTGGAGGCCTTCCCTGCCTTACTAGTTGCTGGACAGGTGCTGGTCATCTCCAAAAAAACCCCAAAGAAATCAACCAGCCCACCAGCAAATGAAATCAGGTTAACAACATCCCTCCTGCAAGCTGGGCGGGATTTAATTTGTCAGGCAGAGGGAGCGCCACAGATGTAGGGCGACAGACTCTCATCAGGCGGCCAGATAAGTCAGGGGTTGGGGGACACAACAGGGGCTGCATCCACCACGGGTTAGGGCTGGGCCAGCCACTGTACCTTCATGCAACTTCAAGCCAGGGCTCAAGGCTTGGCTGGGGACACAGACTGATGGCTGCACCCCCATGCCCTACCCATGGGACTCCCCAGTACGGAGGCCATAGTATGGGGTGTCCACGGGCAACACAAGGTTGTCTCTAGGGGTGACCTTTCCTCCATAACAGCGTTTCCTCTATCTCCCTCCCAAGCGGGTGTCCACTTGTCACCATGACAACCACATCTCACAATAAACAGCCAGGGTTACTTTCCAAAGAGGCAGGAGGGTGGGCTTGTGATGCTTCTCCTTGGGAGAGCCCATCTGGTGCTCTAATTTCCATCTCAGGGGTGGCGGGGTTGGGGGGCTGGCAGCATCTGAAATTCACACAGTGGGAGGCCCACATGGATTTGGGGCTCCAGGCATCCTAGATAAAGATACTATTTAAATCCTGTTATGCCCTCCCCAAAGTACAGCAGCCAGCCACCCCTCAAAACAAGATGCCAGCCAGGGTCGCCTCAACTCCCTACAGCCAACAGAGGACACGGGGTCCCATCTGTCGCTGAGTAACTGTAGTGGGGCCTGAAACCCACATCAGCCATCACTCGGAGAAGGCGGCAGGCACAGCATGAGAATCAGCGTGTGTCCCCGGAGCTCTGAGGACAGAAAATTAATGTGTGGTGTGGCACAGACTCTTCACAGCACACGGGACTCAGGGGCAACTGTTCAGCACAGAGATAAATGCTTGTAATAAAAATACACTAATGCCAATAAATCTTTCTAATAAACACCTTGGCTCCAGGTGGTGAAACTAAAGCTTGGATTTTAAAAAGTGTCAATTCTCATTTTGCCTGCTTGATGAAACTGAAAGTACAGCAATATAATCACATTGCTTTGGATGAAACAACACCAAACTAGTGCACACTCACTCCGCTCAGGCCATCGTCAACATAGTCAGGATGCTTCCAAGCACTCTCTGGAATGACAGCCATGTCAGGAGCTGAGGTTAGGGATAGAGGGCATCAGTGGAAAGCCAGGCTAGCCACAGCCATCCCCAGTGGCCTGTGAAAATTCTCCCAAACGTAACCCTGTGACAGAGAAGTCCTGGGCGGACGAATGACTCCGTTAGATGACAATCTTCTCTGGGAATCCCTTCACGGCTCCTGTTTTCAAAAGAGGCGATCATCCCTACTCATCTGATATTTCAACAGGGACTTCTTCCTCCACCCAGCTCAGAAGGGGCGGCCGAGACCCGCTACAGCACCAGAACTCCAAGCAGGAGCAGTGAGAGCATGACCCCCTGGTCAGATGGAAGGTCTCACTCAGCAGCACAGAGGAAGGTCTCACTCAGCAGCGTGGACGTCTTCTTTCAGACGCCCTTGGATCCGTCCCCTGACATCTGCGTGGCTCAGAAAACATTACGGTATTGTTCTTTTCCTTCCACTCCTCTTTACAATTCAGGTCACTCCTGTGATGTTTATCTTGAGGAGAATGGAAGCTTGGATAGAGTATTTGTTCTTATAATAGTTACTCCCCTGGGGGAGATCATATCTTTTCAAAGCGGATCTGTGGCTTAAAAGTATCACGACAAGACACACTGGGAAAAACAGCCAGTCAGTCTGTACTTACAAATCTCTAGGCAGGCCTGTGAATGGGAGGAGGAAGGGGAGTCCCTCCTGCATCCCGGTATCCAGACATCTCATGGAACATATTTATACTAAAAAATTATTCGCTATCTACCTGAAATACAACTTATTTTTTCAATTGCTTATTATGGTAAAATACACATACAATAAAATATACTATCTTAACCATTTTTGAGTGTACAGTTCAGTGTTATTAAATTCATAATGTTGTACAACCCTCACCACTATAAGTTTTTTCATCTTGAAAAACCAAAATCCTATACCCGTCTAAATTCGAATGTAACTGGGTACCCTATACTGTTATTTGCTGAGTCCATCAGCTCTAGGGGGCAGACAGGCTGATAGCACACTCTGGCCTGGCTTTATTCTCCGTGCTTGGTCTGCTGAAATCTCTCCTCCATCACCGACCACTGGGGCCACCTGCACACGTCCTCCACTTCATTGTTCACTGTCTCTTCACAGAGCCCTGTAAAGGGCAGGCAGTGGATGGCTGTGTCCAGTGCAGCATTTCAGAACAGAATCATATTTATCTAAACTTGTCACTGCATTTTGAGGCTTTGTCAAGTACCATCCAAAGGTGGGCCCACATGGCCAGGCCTGAACAGGTGCCTGTTGTATGTCCCATATGGCACAGGGTAGCTCTTGCTAAGGACAGGACGATGCATGCAACAAAGACCCTGACCTAGGACAGCTCACCTTCCAATGTGGAGACAGAACCCAGTGATCCTGCCAGCCTCAGACCCTCCACAGGATGAGCCAGGGTATAAACAGACACACACATGAACAAAAGCAGGCCCTGGGAGATCAGGCCAGAGGAGCTGAAGCGGTGAGGCCAGAGACCAAACCATCAAGGTGACAGGGCTGCTTAATTTTTTTCCTTTGAAAGTAATCAGAACCCTCATGCATTGCTGGTGAAAATGTAAAATGTTCTGTCACTGTGGAAAACATCTGTGGTTCCTAAAAACGGTAAACACTGAATAACCACATGACCCAGGAATTCCACTCCTAGTGATACACCCAAAAGAGCTGAAAGCAAGTGTCTACACAAAAGCTTGTACACATATGGTCACAGTGGCACTATTCACATTAATCATGCGGTAGAAACAACTCAAATGTCCATCAGTGGATGAGTGGATTAATAAAATGTAAAATAGCCATTCAGTGGAATATCATTCAGCCACAAAAATGAACAAAGTACTGACACACACTACAACAGGGATGAACCCTGAAAACATGATGATGAAATAAGCCAGACACTAAAGGGCACATATTGTCTGATCCTATCTTTATGGAATATCCGGAATAGACAAATCCAAAGTGAGAGAAAACAGATTTTTCACTGTGGGGGCTGGGGGCGGAGGGAAGAATGGGGAGTGACTGCTTAATAAATACAGGGTCTCCTCTGGGGGCAGCGAAAATGTTCTGGAACTAAAGAGCAGAGGTGGTTGCACAACATTGTGATAAATGCCACTGAATTGTACACTTTAAAATGGTAAACTTTATGTTACGTGTGTATTACTACAGTTTAAAAATAATAGGAGAAGCAAGAGTAAAGAGAGCCCTCTAAGGGTCTCAAACATACTGCCCTGTGAGAGCCCCTTCACCTAAGCTCTACGGAGGTCATCCGCCAGCTTGTACTGAGCTAACCCTCCAGTGACTGACACCCAGGCAAAGTGGGAGATGGTCCAGGGGAGGGGGTGGGTCATCCAGGCAGCAGAGGCAGCTGTCCATCAACCACTGACAGCCCCTTCTCCTGGTCACCTGCACCTGCCTCACATACCAGGTGCCATTCTGTGTCCATTTGTGGGGAAGGTGGGAGCTCCGCCCATCCTTCCCCCACAAGAGGGCTGTGATCCACCTGGCACTCTGCTGCAGTAGACCCTGCGCTGACCAAGCTAAGCAGACAGTGCCCCTTTCTGCAGGGCTGAGACCGGCCCAGGGAGAGTCACCCACCAGTGCTGCGGAACTAGGGAGAATTCCATTTGGTTTTGTTCAACTCTCAAATGAGAAAATCTTCATCAACCCTTTCTAATACCATTGCTTAGGGGCCAGCATGGCTGCTTCTGCCACTGGTTCTACACATTTGCTGCAAACATCCGCAATTTTTCCATCCTGCTAACTTAAAAGCAAGAAGCCCTGTGTGCACAGTTTAACGACAGCAACCTACTGGGGCTAAAATTCAATCGCGTGACTTTATCAGAGGCTCAAGCTTGCAGTTCTCCCAGAAGGCTTGACCTGTGACCTCCCCTGTGGCCTCCACACTTGGCCTCGAGCCCTGCACACATTCTGAGAAAACTAGCTTGACATCTGAAAAATGAATGTAACGATGGTGCCCAAGCCAAAAGGAAATTGAATGACCAGTAGTAAGTCGATGTTAGACTTTGGTTTCCAGAGAGCATTTTCTACAGTATTTAACTTCCACTAATTTATGTAGGCCACATCTCTGTTCTCCTAATACGAGGAGTCCACAGTTCCAGTCAATAAGATTAGTCTTAATAAGAAAAAAACTTAGTCTCAATGGAACTGCCTAAGGCTACAGACATTAAAACAAAGCCCTACAACTCATAATTTGAAAAACAAGTTTCACCAGATGATCTATAAAGAAGGTACCAATGATCCAGTTAACTTTACTAAATCTACCTGTCTGCTTTTAGGAATATACACAGTAGAATATCTGGGATATTTAAACTTGTGGAAAAGGCGAGAGGATGGCAGAAATAGCTGTTATTTGATGGTGGATTTAACGATATATGTTTATTTTAATGACACTCACAAGGCATGACCACAATCACTTTACCATAAGCCACAGCCTGTGGGATCTGTTCCTTCCACTCCTGCCAAGGCGGGATCATGACCCATACAAGACCTAGGAGAGAAGGGGAGGCTCCCCTACTCCCACTCAGGATGTGGTTGTGTTATTTACTCATGGCTCATTTTGGTCTTGAATGTCCTCCTGAAACCTCCCAGGGATGTGCCGACCCACCGCCTCACGACCACACACGCCAGGTCCACAGGTCCACAGGCCTGAATGGGTATAATCACAGTTCATCCCCACTGTGGCTACATCTAAATAGTTTTGATTTGGCCCAAAATGTTTTTGCTTCTTTGTGGGTGATATAGTTTGGATATTTGTCCCTGCCCAAATCTCATACTGAAATGCAATCCCCAATGCTGGAAGTGGGGCCTGGTAGGAGGTGTCTGGATCATGGGGTGAATCTTTCATGAATGATGTGGGCCATCCCCTTGGTAGTAAGTGAGGTTTTACTTTGAGTGCACAAGAGAACTGGTTGTTTAAAAGTGTGTGGCGCTTCCCCCTCCAACCCCCACTCTCTCTCTTGCTCCCATTCTCACCATGTGAAGTGCTGGCTCCCACTCTGCCTTCTGTCACCATTGAAGGCTTCCTGAGGCCTCCCCAGAAGCAGATGTTAGTATTATGCTTCCTCTACAGCCTGCAGAACTGTCAGCCAATTAAACCTCTTTTCTTATAAATTACCCAGCCCCAGGTATTTCTTTAAAGCAGTGCAAGAATAGCCTAACACGGTGTGATAATGGCTACATGGGTTCAGACTGGCTCAACTTGGTTTTAGAGGATCCAAATTGGTTCAAACCAGTTATTCACTGAAAAACCTCTTCTTTTCTTTATTTATTTTATTGTGGTAAGTATACATAACATACAATTTACCATCTTAACCATTTTTAAGTGTACAATTCAGTGGCATTAAGTACATTCACACTGTTGAGCGACCATCACCACCGATGACCTCCAGAATGCTTCCATCTTCACAACTGAACCTCTGCACCCATTAAACACCAGCTCCCCACTCCCTGCTCTCTCCAGCCCCTGACCACCGCCACTCTACTTCCTGTTTCTATGACTCTGACTACTGTGGGTGCCTCAGAAGTAGAATCACACAGTACTTGTCCTTTTGTGACTGGCTCATTGCACTTAGCAGGACGTCTTCAAGGTTTGTCCATATTGCAGCCTGTGTCACAATTTTCTTCCTTTTTCAGGGTGAATACCATTGAAATCCTTTTCTTTTGTACTTTCTCGCTATGCTTGTGGCTCAGAAGAGCAAATACAAGGCCGCAATGCAGCAAGAGGAGCCCTGACCCACCACTGCTTTGCCTGTGGAGTGGGTTTTGAGGACTGGGGAATGGCTGGATGACCTCCCTCTCTCGAAGATGAACACAAGTATATCTAAAAGTGGGGCCCAATGAATGAATAATGAACATGCTATCTTTCACATAACTGGGGCCGCAATGAATGAATCAGAGGGGGCAGACAGTCTCCAGAAGCAGAATCAGAGGCCACCTGCAAGCACATGGGCCGAAGGACAGGGGCTAATGAGAAAGAGGGTAAATGACTGATGCCGCCACACACAGCAACAGCCTCCACCCTGACGTCACACCCGAGCAGCTCTTGGGGAGCAGCGTCTCCCTACCTGAAGTCCACCTCGGGCTCCCGAACCTGCACAGTCTGGCTGCACCCACAGCAGACCAGGCAGGCCACCCGTGGGACAGACCCAGAAGTGAGTCAGCACCCAGTGTCTCTTAAAAGGACCAGGACCAGATGGAGGCCTGGACCATGGGTAGCTGTTGACACTGGAGGAGGGGACAATAGCTTCTGTGAGCCTAGCCCAAACTTCCTTCAGCTCCAGCACTTTGGGTCTTGGCTTGGTCTCAGCTGGAGAGAGACCAACTTCTCTTCTGTGAAGGCTGACTGGGGAATTGGGGGCAGACGTGGGTGTGGCAAGTCCTGGAGGCCTCTATCAGCCCAGAGGGCTCCATTCCATTCCACATCTCCTTTCTCCACATGTCTGAGTTGTGCGTAGTTTTCTTGAGCTGCCCATGGTATTATCTGACATAGGATTAGGAGTTATTCTAATAGGTCAGCCCCCTATTACCATAGTCACATGTCTTCATAGTAACTGACTGGCACTGGTTGTGATCTGAATGCTTTGGGGTAAAACTCCCATGTCTGCCATCACCACGCTATCACATCTTGGGCAAGCACACCATGGGTGACATTACGCATCTCAGCGTGTTCAGCCATGCGATCTTTCTTCCTAAACAGATACTTCTATAACTTCTTGCACCGAGCCCTGCACTTCCTAGGGAATGTCACAGACTAACTGATTTTGCCAACTGGGTGTCTCTCAAGCCTCTGGTGCAAGAGAGGCATGATGCCAGGTGTCACGGAGGCCCAAGAACGGGAGGTACGGGGCCTCAAGAAGCAGACGCACGTGGACAGCCTGGGTCCCATACCCAATGCTCTCACTCCCCACAATCTGCCCTAGACACCCCACCGGCAGATGAGTACAATGCAAGTCAATATCTCACATACAAGCGTGCGTGCACACACACACACACACACACACTATGAGCACCTCGGCTTGCTGGCACCTCCTTGGGCCCTCCGTGCAAGTCTCTATAGACACTGTCCATCTACCATTCCCATGCCTCTGCCTTCCCAATCCACCAGAGCTGCTCAGGCTCAGGGGACCCCGCCAACAGGTGGCCACCGCCAACGGGTGCTTTCTTCCCCAGTAAGATATCTCCTAACTGCCCTGCTACATCTGGCCTTCCTAATGTCCCTCCCCTCAGCTCCCCAGTTCTCTCCTGGCTCCCCTCCATGCCCCCAGTGGAACCCTCTGTCTCTCTCTCATCACCATCCCCCAACCCATGTCCCTCGCCTTCCCTTTGTCTTGTTTCAGGCTCAAAGCCACATCACGATTCCAGCCCCTTCCATGCTGAGGACACCCACACACCTCTATGTTCATCCCCACCTTGTCGGCTGACTTCCCAAAGCCCCTCTCAAAGTCACAGAGCCTCTCCGCCTGTCCCTAACTCTGGAGCCTGTCCTGGAAGCCTGCCTGGAACTCGTCTGGAGCCTGGCCACACCTGGATGGGGGCGGGGAGAGTCTCATGTATCCGTCTCCCTCTAGAATGAGTTTCAAATGCAGGATAATGCCACTTTCACCTTTGCAGTCCCAGTGCCAACCACGTGGCAGGTGCCAATTTGCAAGGGCCATGCCAGAGATTTGCAGGGAGGGCCGGCCCCCCACATCAGGAGCAGCCCAGCAGGAGGAGCTGGCTTTGAAGAGTGTGAATTCGGGGTGGAAACTGGAAAAAAGGTGCCCAAGGTTAAGAGAGGCTTGGCTATCATTTGGAGTCGGTGAGAGACAGGTAGTCCCAGGCCCAGCTTGCCTACCTGGAAGAAGAGGTGTGTGGGCTTCTCAGCTAACTTCCTATTAGATATTCGGTGTGAGAAAATCAGGGCAGCCCTTGGGGCTGTGCAGCTGTTGCCCCATCTCCCAAATCAGTGACTCTGGAGTAGAAAGAGGCATGTGAGAACTTCTCCAGCAGGGCACAAGCCACATTCAGGAGGGCCCTGCAGAGGGGACAGCGTGGGGGCACCTTGGGAGGCCCTTACCCGACCTCACCCCCAGCAGCTCCAGTGTGGCCCTGACCAGTCCTGGTCCTCCTCTCATCCTATCTCACAAGCAGGGCTCACCACCTCCTTTGTGTCACTCCCGAGGACAGGTCCACTAGTGTCCTCACCCCTGCCCAGCATGGCCTGTACCCAAACTGGGTGCAGGGACTTGCCCACCCACCTCCCCCAGACCCGATGAGCTTCCCATGGACTGAAAACTCATCATCATCATCATCATCTGCACAAGCACTCCATGCCCCGCACCATCCATACAGACACTGACCCAGATCAACTCCCCTCCCCACCCATACAGACACTGACCAGATCAACTCCCCGCACCACCCATACAGACACTGACCAGATCAACTCCCCTCCCCACCCATACAGACACTGACCAGATCAACTCCCCGCACCACCCATACAGACACTGACCAGATCAACTTCCCTCCCAACCCATACAGACACTGACCCAGATCAACTCCCCTCCCCACCCATACAGACACTGACCAGATCAACTCCCCTCCCCACCCATACAGACACTGACCAGATCAACTCCCCGCACCACCCATACAGACACTGACCAGATCAACTCCCTGCACCACCCATACAGACACTGACCAGATCAACTCCCCGCATCACCCATACAGACACTGACCAGATCAACTCCCCTCCCCACCCATACAGACACTGACCAGATCAACTTCCCTCCCTACCCATACAGACACTGACCCAGATCAACTCCCCTCCCCACCCATACAGACACTGACCAGATCAACTCCCCGCACCACCCATACAGACACTGACCAGATCAACTCCCCTCCCCACCCATACAGACACTGACCGAGATCAACTCCCCGCACCACCCATACAGACACTGACCAGATCAACTCCCCTCCCCACCCATACAGACACTGACCAGATCAACTCCCCTCCCCACCCATACAGACACTGACCCAGATCAACTCCCCTCCCCACCCATACAGACACTGACCAGATCAACTCCCCTCCCCACCCATACAGACACTGACCCAGATCAACTCCCCTCCCCACAGCCCCACGAGATGGGGGGCTGCTGGCACAGGTGGCCCATCCAGAATGTTCCCGGGCCCCAAGCTGCTGCAGCCGGGTGGGATGCCGGCTTCCTGACTGTGGCTCCAGCATTCCTAACCACCGCACTCTGCTTTCTCCCCGAGGACTAGGGTGTGTTTGAGGGGAGAGGCACTTTTTAGATCACTATTAGTGGTAGTGGGAGAGCTTTACATGCTCTGCCCTGACAATGTTTTAGAACAATGTTTTAGAAACCCCGGCTTTACCTAGATTTTAAAAGTACCCGAAGCAATCCCAGATCCTGATAGATAAACTGCTCCCTGAAAATAACAGCCACCCATGGTGACATGTCATCAAAACATCAAAAGGCTTCATACAAATCAAAGAAGGCAGCTGTGCTGACTCAGCAAATGGGCCCTGAGCTTCTGAACATCAAGTTCAGAAGCTCATGCGGAGCCAGCCAGGATTGAAACGTCAATGCACACCCGTAGGATTTTATTTTTCAAGGCAATCCTGGGAATCAGTAGCAGGAGGTGCGGTGTCCACCCTGTCACAGTGCTGGGAGCAGAGCTGCACGGGAAGGGGTTCAGTACAGACGACAGGGGACACAGGAGCACCCCAAGAACCCTCCCGTGCAGCCTCCCCGTATGCAGAGCAGGAGTGCTAGGCCTGACGCCATGGGTGGGCGGGGCAAGGGACACTAGAATCTGAGGCATGGCTGCAGAAAGGAGGGAGCCGACTACTCCACTGAGGCCTGGGGGCTGGAGAGGACCTTCCCCTTCCCAGGCAGACCATGCCCCAATGCCCCCCATAACCCCCTGCCCTCAGCACCACCTACAGGCTCTTTCCCAAGTTCCATCCTACTGTGGGCCAGGTTTAGACAAACCCCAGACCACTCCCTCCTGGGCGCAGTGCAAGCCCCAAAGCCCCTCTGTGCAGGACCACCCCATCTGCACACCTGCTGCCCCACCACACGCTGATGGAGGGGGGGCGCCTGGGTGCCAACAACCCCATGCCACTCTTGTCTCAGTCCTCTTCTGTAAAGCAGATACTGACACTCACTTCATATGCTGCCCAGCGGGGCATGTGTGTGAGGCCGTGGCTCAGAACACACACGGTACCACTGCCTCCCACCTGGGGGACACACCCAGTTACCTGTGCTTTTAGCACCTTCTCTCCCTTGGCACCAGACTCCTATCACACTCTCAGAAGGTTCTTCAAAAAGCAAGCCTCTACTGAATGCCAAGTCACGGCCAAAGCATCTCTACAATGAGCAATGATGCACAATTCTGCATTCGATGTGGCCTCGGGGCCCTCGACCATGCTTCCCTTTAACTTGTATTAAGTTGGCTACCATGTATTGATTTTTCTTCTTTTTTCTATTGGCAGAAGGCTCTTTCTAGAAAGCACCAGCTGGGTCAGGGATAAACAGAAATCATGAAAACCCCAAATAATCAAAACGCATATTTGGTTTGCCATTCCAAGGTGTGGAGCTATTCTACACTTGCTGAGTAAATCAAATACCTCAACTCGGTAGCCATGGAGGTCCTGGACAAGGAATGCCTGCAGCTCCAGAAATCTCCAAGGTCCAAAGGAGTAAGTCTCTACAGGGAGAATTTCAGGCAGGGCTGACCTTTTCAGTGTATCTCCTGATAGACGTCACAAGGTAACAGGTGGGATGGGGCTCCAAAACAATCCGTCCAGCCCTCGCCAAACCCTTTATGTTCCACAGGCCACCCAGAGGCATCCAGAGAACATGCCATCCAGGGCCACCCCACAGACCCACAGAACTAGGATCTTTGGTGCTGGACAAACGCTCTTATGGTGCCCCCCAGGAGTGTGGGTGAGTTGCCCCAGGGAAAGCACTGATGAGCAAACTACTCTCTTCAAGGGAAGGCACCAAGGACGTGCCAGGTCCACAGGCTCATCCCTGGAGCTGTGAGACTGAGCCAGGTACCAGTGCCCAGCTGGGGTCCTCCCTCCACTCACGCTTCACTGCCTGATAGTAGAGGGCCACATGGGTAGGTGTAGTAATACTAATTCCATCAGGTCACACAATACGAGCCTTGCTGGACCCAACTCATGTATTCCTTAATCACTGCATGAAAAAAAAAATCAATACGTTATGTCAACAAAGCTCAAAAAAATTAAGAAAAATGCCACATGAACAATCTTTACTTGACTTGTTTGATCTGTGGCCTGAGCCCTGGTGAACTTAGGACACGTTAGCACTGAGATGGGGACATTTTACAGACCGGAGGCTTCCGTATCTACTGGTCACCTCACTGGCACCGTATCCCACTCACTGAGAACAACAGGGCACGCCAAGCCTTTCAACAGCAAGGAAACAGACAACAGAGGAGAAGAGACCATCACTCTCCAGGAGGAACACTGCACAGTTCCCCCACACTGACTCACCCTCCAGCAGGCAGGCTCAAACGCGGACTGAACAGAACTGGACGCTTTCTCTTCTCAGGTTCTTCAAGGGCTGTGTTATGCACTGTTCAGAGGCACGGGTTTTGGCATAACACAGTCCACAGTCTATTCACAGGTGAGCTACTTAACTGTGCCATCTGCAACACGGGACTAACCCTAGCTCCCTCTCTCTGGGTTGCTCTAGGATTTACTGCGATCATATTCCTAACACCCCTAACATGGTGCTGGCAGTCACCGCCAACACTGCTGCCACCTCCACCGGCACCCACGGACTTTACACAAACCACAAAATAAGAAAGGTTAAATCTGCAGAAGCCAAGGGTCCTGATGATAACACAATGACAACCTTTCCATCATCACCATTTGGGGTTGCTGAATCATCTTGGAACTGAAGCATACAGGGAGAGGCCTTGGGAGTTCATGTGTACGGGTCCTTTACTCCCCAGGGTGTAAAGCTTGGGTCTGTATTCTCCCACAGACCCTGCATGGAGGGAAAAGGGCTTGCTGATACACCATGTTTGGGAAGCACTGGCCAGGCTGGCTGGTGTCTCCGCTATAGCGAACGTGGGACTTTATGCTACTTGTGTGTGAGAAATCAGTAAACCCCCAAGAAGGGAAAAACTTTGCAGCAAAGTTTCCCAAAGTCATTTGCCAACCAAATACAACCAATTCTCATTCACATAGTTATGTTCTGTAAAGCTGCCCTGAGCACTGAGTTGATGAATACTGAATACATTGCTCCTAGGGGCGATACAGGGTTAGGTTCCTATGAGCCTCGGGACACATTTTTGTCAATGAATCAACACAGAACCTTGTTTTATGTGTGTTTCTGTTTATACGCACCTTGTTTAATATAGATTTCTTATAAATAATTAATTATATGCAATATTTCTTTAACATAAAACACTAGCTGAGAAGAGTTTAACATTTCCCTGACCCTAGATCACAAGACAGTAAAGTTCTTGGGTTTTCTACCTGTCCACTATGTGTTTTTTAATCAGTTATTGTCCCATGAATCTGCAAATTTAGCCATTCCTCCACCTTTTCCTTAACTTCATCATACGCTACAGAAGTTTACTTTAGCACCTCCCAGAGTGGCAGCATAGACGAGTCAGCACTGTCGCTCAGCCCTGAAGGAAGCTTCTCTAGCACATGTAAGGCACATGGCAGCCATTCTGTGCTTAGGATCACTAGGCTTCAGCACCACACTTGAGGGCCATTTTATCACCAACACACACACACACACACACATATCAACAAAAATGCAAAGAACATTAAATAGATTGTGAAAAGAACAGCTGTTTACAGTATGAGAGCTGAAACAAGAAGGCAAAGCCTTGTTCAACCTCAGCTGGGAACGTGAGAGTTGGGTGACTCAAATTCTTCCCCTCTCTGTACCTCCACAAATGACTGGGAAAGTGCTACGAGTATTGATTTCAGGGTTACAAATCAATTTTAGCAAGTTAACAAAGTTGCAAATATCAAATCCATGAATAGTAAGGATCAAATGGTACTTTGTTTACACAACACCTCTAAGAGCGTGTTTTGGGAAATCCTGACCTAGGTTTGTCTCTTTGATTTGAAAACTCTACAGTGGAATTCTACAATGCCACATGGCAAAAGATTTTTTTGCCTGTATTTTCCAAATTTTCCTCAGTAAACTTGCAGTGCTTTGAAATAACCTTTTTTTATTTTACTAAAATAATTCAAGTGTAGATCTCTGTTCCCCAACCTGTCTTCCTACAATTTTAGAAACTCTATCACCTTTGTGCCTCTCATATCCCAGCCCCCGGGCAGACCTCTTGGTCTCAGCAGAGTGGCACAGGTGGGAGGGCTCCCTGCAAACTGGAGCCTTTTCAAAATGCATGGCATCCTACAGCTCAGGAGGGCTCCAAAGGCCACACAACCTACTTCTTAGTACAGGCACAACTCATTTTTCTTTTCTTTTTTTTTTGGAGGTGGGAGTCTCACTTTGTTGCCAACGTTGGAGTGCAGTGGTGCTATCTCGGCTCACTGCAGCTTCTGCCTCCCAGGCTCAAGCGATTCTCCTGCCTCAGCCTCCTGAGTAGCTGGGATTACTGGTGCACACTACCATGCCCATCTAATTTTTATATTTTTAGCAGAGACAGGGTTTCACCATGTTGGTCAGGCTGGTCTCGAACTCCTGACCTCAGGTGATTTGCCCACCTTGGCCTCCCAAAGTGCTGGGATTACAAGTGTGAGCCACTGCACCCAGCCGGCAACTCATTTTTCGTATCGACCAGACCAAAGCAATGTCCTCTGTGAATACATCTACCCAGACAGGGAAGAAGGAAACATCCAATTAAATCCCTCTGTACCGAAAGGAGGTGGAGGGGTCACAGATGAGTCATTAACATCTTAAAAATGCTGCAGAGATGGTGAAAATAATATAACCAAAATTCAAAAGAAAATGTACTAAAGATGAGGACATACGCAACAGGAAGTCACACCTACAGTGTAGAGAGTGCTTCTATGAGATGGAAATGCATCCAAACCCCAAAAGATAAAGGGCATGCATCCAACATCCACAGAAGAAGGGAAACAATTAGGCAAGGTCATCGAGGGGAAATGGTCAACGTTGATGTACGGCATGGGGATTTATCCTCAGGTAATAAACCAAAGAAGGAAAACATGGTTTGTACAAAGATGTCTGTGGCAGCCTTACACCTAAGAGAAAATGCCACTCACAATCTGCATGCTCAATGGTAGAGTGTGTACAGAGAAATATGTTATACAGCACATCATCGCCCAAATGGATCATGGAAAGGTCACTACAAATAATCATGAAAATTATATGGTGACATGGAGAAACATTTATCATACATCAGATTTTAAAAACTGTATGACAAAAATACATCTGGGTTATGATGACAGCTACGTACATCATTTATGCTCAATGCTATGGTCTGAAAAGGCACACTGATGAAATAGCTCATCCGTTAGGGTAGTAGGGACCATGGAGAATACATTTTTCATCTTCCCATTTTTTCTAACTCTATTTTACTATTGCCATTCGTGCAATGACTAAATGCTATTCAGTCCTCTTCAAAATATCCAGGACACACTTTTTCAAGCTGTAAAATGAGTAGAAGAGAGGGGAGGGTTGCTACACAATTTCCTCCAAGTGAGTCTCCTACAGCATCACAGCTGGAATGTGGCATCTTGTTGAAATGCAGATTTCAGATTCAGCAATGTGGGGGCGGGGCTCCCCAGTAATGCCAATGCTGCTGGGTTAGGGTTAAAAACAGGAGTCTACAGCATCTAAGTGACCAATATTGCCCATTTCTCCCTTCAGATTTTTTTTTTACTGCAGCCTCAACCATAGGGATCACTACACTATGTGGACAGCACTGGGATCAGAGAGGTGAGCATGGGACACATGGCACCCTGTGCACCTGCTTGAGGCCAGGCCTTTGTTGGCTCCTGGCACGGCCTGGCTGTCCCCCAGGGGAGGAAGGGGATTGTTCTTAGGAAAGCAGGTTGTTATTTCAAGCAAGGCAGCACCAAATCTCCCAGTGCACATCCTTCATAAAAAATCTTGCTTTCAAGATGAATTCTACGGCTCTTTCTGGTCAGGTTTCAAAGAGGTCCTCATCTGGAATGGGGTACTCAAATCTAAGAATGTGGAGACCCTGCCCACGTGCAGCGGGCCTGGTAGAGTCTTCAGAAAGAGTAGTCAGGGCCCCTGGCACCAGGGTACTTGTCAGCCTGGAACTCTGGAACTAGCAGGTGTTCCCCTTGACAGAATTAATTTGTGAACTGATAGGAAAGAAAGAAAGAAAGAGAGAGAGAGAGAGAGAGAGAGAGAGGAGGGAGGGAGGGAGGGAGAGAAGGAGGGAGGGAGGGAGGGAGGGAGGGAGGGAGGGAGGAAGGGAGGAAGGGAGGAAAGGAGGAAAGGACAGAAAGGAGGGAGGGAGGGAAAAACAAAACAAAACAAAAGCTATACAATCATTAACCAGTTTAAATGAACTTTTCCAGTGTCTCAGACAAGAGCATGTCCTTCAAGGACACATTCTCCTTAGGGGGAGAAGTGACATACTTTTTCATTCAATGCCTCTTCTGGGAAGAACAGACATCCTCTTGATCCTCCACAATGGCTGGGGACTTCCCCTACCTCCACCTGCCCTTTTAAACAGCTACTATCACCCATCCATCCATTCATTCCCACTCATTTACCTCCCAGCTCTCCAATCGCAAGATCTCTGTGTTTTTACCCAAATTACCATCTGGTTAGCATGAAGCACAAAACCAGAAAATATCAGGTCTTGCTTACTCCCCACCACGCTCTAAAGATAATCTTCTTTGACAAGAACTTGGCTAGCGATGCCATTTGTCACAATAAGACGCAGCATGTCACACGCTCTGCACAGCCCACGTCAATCCCTGAGGTGCCTTCACCACTGTTGTGGGACAAGCCCAGGCCCTGCTAAAGACCAAAGAAACACTTTGCTTTGGCCTAAAGCCCAGACCCAGGGTCCAGAGCCTCCTGGCCTTAGGGGTGAACTCTCCCAACACCCACTAGTACCATGGGAGCTCCTATGCATCCCACAGCCCCCTGTAAACACGGAATTGCTGTGAATGACAGGAACACCCCCAAAGTGAAGTCAACTGACACTTAACGTTCTTTAGAGAGAATACAAGACATTAAAATACAAGTGCTGAAAATCCAGGAGTCAATTAAAATATAAGTGCTGAAAATCCAATGATTTCCATTCCAAACCCAAGCTCTCAGTACACACACACACACACACACACACACACACACACACACACACACTCAAATTCATGAACTCTTCTCGGAAAAAAATATTTAACAGTTAAGGCTGTAAAAAAATATGACAGAAGTCCACATAATTGGCCAAATAGAAGTTCCTTCACACAAGTCCAATAATCACATCTTCTTTATATACTCACAGTGAGGCTTTTTTTGGAAGGTGGCTTTTCAAATGTGTTTATTAGAATGCACGCTGACTTTGCTATAATTAAAATACAGTTATGCTGACATCCACTGCCCTCATTAGCATGCGTTTCTTCCCCGAGGTTTTGTCAAACCTTCAAAAAATCCTTTTCCAAATAGGTATTCACAGCTGATTGCCCATCAGGCCAAGGCCCCCGGGCTTTCAGAGACCCGTCCATTGTGAAATGCACTCTGGCCCCGACCCCAGCCACCAGGCCACCCAACACTGGCCGCAGCAGTGGGTGAGCACCAGCACCCCCACGTCTTTGCCACTGCCCTGCTGGTCTGAGTACACCCCTGAGGATTGAGGGGCTCTCCCACACATACTGCCCCACCATGAGCAGACCAGGGCAGTGGGCAAGAAATCGAACCTCTCTTCTAGGGTGGGAGGAGGGGTGTCTTCTGCGAGACACGAGTTGCCACTCAGCCCTCAACCGGCTTTAGTCCTGAGTCTGAGCGGTGAGCTTAAGAGTGGCCGGAGCATCCACGCAACATGTCTCCCAACTGGACCAATGAAGAGCTCAGCCACCATTAGAACTGTGAGGCACCCAGCACCCCCCACCGCCTCGCTTCAGCATCTGCAAGGCCTGTACCCTGAGGTCCCTTGCTCTCGGGCCCCTCTGCTCCCTTCCCCAGGACAGCCAGGGTCCTACCTGCTCGTGGGGCCACTTCAGCCTCTCTTCTGGGGTCCTGGTCTTGGGCTTGAAGCCTCTCTGGGGGTCTCCGGGGTGCTTGGCCTCGGGAAGGAGGTTCAGCGACTTGGGCCTCGCCTCGTGCCTGCTGGGGCTGCAGCTGGCCTTGATGGGTGGGCAGGCCTCTACAGAGTCCTCAGGCCCTGGCTCAGGCCCATGCTCGGGGCTGGCCTCACTGGCGCTGGTGATGCTGGTCATGCTCAGACTCATCTTGATCTCTGCCACGATCTGGTCAATGTCCTCCTCCTGGTCCTCCAGGTCCCCATCCCCACGCCTCAGGCGGTAGGGGGAGGCGCCGGTGTTCCCGTTGGCCTCCTCGGGGTAGTAGTCCTGGTAGCCCTCTTTGCTGGCACAGTAGTGACCATCTTCTTCCTGGTCATGGGCCTCAAGGACGGAGGGCTCATCCTCCGGAATGGGCAGTTGGCCGTCTGGGTAGTCCTGGCTGCCTTCAGCCTCGTGGCCGTGGGGGTGCGGGCCCGCCGAGTCCGTCCACTCCTCCACCGCCTCCTGGCACTCATCAGTGTCCACAGGGTGTGCACTGTGGGCCAGGTACTCCTCCCCGTTGCAGTCCATGCCCTCTAGGTAGCTGTCGTCCTCAGGGCAGTAGCGGATGTAGTAGGTGATGCCCTCCTCCTCCTCAGGGAGGCCCTCGTCATAGTCCTCCTCCTCAGAGGTGTTGTTCACGTAGTCAGAGCTGGAGTCCCCATCGGGGCTGTGGTTGTGGCACTCCTGTTCCTCTGGCGCGGGGCTCTCTGGCCGCAGGGCAGCCAGCTCCAGGCCCTCGGGCACATAGCCCTCCAAGGGCAGCTCCATGTCCTCGCTCTCGGGCTCCTGGCTGTGAGGGACAGGACCTGGTCTCACCCTATGGTCCAACATGCCGCTCCCCACGCTCTCAAGCTTCCGGTGGGCCATGGCAGTCGTTCACACAGCCATCATCACCCGGAGGCAGCCACTGTGGGGAGGAACATTGGGAAGGACAGAGTCAAAACCCCACAAAGCCCAGCCATGTGTGGGGCCACTTCACCACAGCACCTCCCACCACGTCCTCCCGCAGCCATGTGAGGGCACATCTGTTCAAACAGTGCGCCATCCCCACCCCCGCTAACTCATCATCAGAACAACACGCATCCACACCAAGGAGAACGAGGGCACACAGAGCTCCGGGAAAAGCAGTCAAGGGAGGCACCGGCAACTCACGAGGACACACGCCTCTCCCCAGGAACCTACCGGCTCATTCCTGACTTCTCACTCAGTTTGGGTAGCCCAGGTGACCAAGACAAATGGTCAGAAGATCAGGTTGTTTGCTCTCACGAAGAAAATGAGCAGCTTTCATTAAGAAGACATAATGAGGACCAATGAGGAGGGACAATAACTCTTCCCAATCTAAATCCATGACCCCTCAAAGACTATCTTGGGTACCTTCCCCTTCAGGCTTATCCCATCCTCTCCCTCCTCTTCCCCCTCAAACTGAACAATGTTCACCGAGGAACTGGATGCGCAGGGACCATCCAGGCTGAGCAATGTGCAGAAAAGCTCTACACAAGTCCCCAGCGTGGCAGGCTGGAGGGCTCAGCAGAGGGGACAGCACTGCTCGGCCATGGGGAGAAGAGGACAAAGGGTGCAGCCGCAGCCTGCAGGTATCGTGGGGTGACAGGGCAGCTGCAGAGACCTGGCAGGCCAAACTGGGAGAGGGCCTGGACCCAGTGCCCAGGACTCTGCACTTTATCCCCCAAACCACACGGCTATGGCCTTAATATGTCCCCCAAAGTTCATGCGTTGGAGACTTAATCCCTAATGCAACAGTGTTGAGAGGTGGGACCTTTGAAAGGTGATTAGGTCATGAGGGCTGTGCTCTCATGAATGGATTAATGTCTTTATCTTGGGAGGAAGTTCTTTATTGTGAGAGTGGGTTTGTTATAAAAGTGAGTTTGGCTCTCTCTTGCTCTCTTTCTCATTCTCCCTCACCTTCTCACCTCTGCCTTGGGATGACATAGCAAGAAGGCCCTTACCAGATGCTGGCACCTTGACCTTGGACTTCCCAGCCTCCAGAACTGTGAGAAACAAATCTCCATTCTTTATAATCAACCAGTCTTAGGTATTCTGTTATAGCAACAGAAAACAGACTAAGACATGTGCACAGTCACTGAGCCATTTTCAACATTTTTTCTTTTAGCCCTGTCTCTCTGGGCCTGGCGTGGGGACAGAGGCTAGAGGCTAGAGGCAGGGAGACCAGTGAAAAGGCTATTCTCTCTTCTGGGGGAAAGCAAGGGGCTAGCATCAGGAAAGTGGCACAGAGGACGTCCAAAAGTTTGCTTAACGTTCTACTTCTTTTTTTTTTTTTTGAGATGGAGTCTCGCTCTGTCGCCCAGGATGGAGTGCAGTGGCACCATCTCAGCTCACTGCAAGTTCCACCTCCTGGGTTCACACCATTCTCCTGCCTCAGCCTCCCGAGTAGCTGGGACTACAGGTGTCCCCCACCATGCCGAGCTAATTTTTCGTATTTTTAGTAGAGACGGGGTTTCACCGTGTTAGCTAGGATGGTCACGATCTCCTGACCTCGTGATCCGCCCACCTCGGCCTCTAAAAGTGCTGGGATTACAGGGGTGAGCCGCCACGCCCAGCAACGTTCTACTTCTTCAGCTAATTGCTTCCCCAAATGTTTGTCATATTCTTTAAACTGTACTCTTACATTACACATGCCTTTTTGCTTGCATGATAGTTCAATTATTTAAAAAAACATATTCCAGTAGTCCAGTTAAGAGCTTGCACACTTGAAAATGCTTAAAATGCTAAATTTTTTATGTCTATTTTACTGCAATTTTTAAAAAGAAAAAAAAGGAGAGCTTAAACTAAAACAGTAGAGAGGACAGTGGAGAAGTGGCTCAGTGAGGACCTTAGGTGGCAGAAGCAAAGGGATCTGGGCTCAGATGGGAGCAGGAAGTGAAGATGAAAGAGGAGCTATCAGTGACCCTCAGCAGTCACTGCCCGGGCTCTCATCTTGCCTTCCTGTACCTCCTCTTCCCCTCTTGTCTCTTTAGTTTAGGCCACAAACTCAAGGCCTTCCATATTGTGTATCCCCCCAGAGCTCCAAACACAGCACCTTGTTTGTAGTGGTGCCCAAAACACATCTTGTTATGAGACTGAGTGTACCAGATGGTCACGGTTACAGCAGTATGAATATTCCCAAAAGAACGAAGAAGGAGATAATTATTTCATCCAGTCCAGACACTCAGAGTGTGGGCACAATTACTGATGGAGCCACATGCTTCCAACGTGTGAATTCACTCCAAGGACACTTGACATCTAAAGAAGCAATGTTTACTCCGCCACCTGCACAGGCTTGTCCATGGCCGTGTTTCAGGAGCATCACTGGTATGCGGAGCAATTCACAGCACTCCCCCTAGAGTGGCCCACAGACAGCAAAGATGTCCCACACCAGGAAAATTGTCACTGAGATGGACCCTGCAGGGCCCGTCACCCCATTCGCAAACCCTGAAACTGGCAGGACAATTCGAAAGAGCTGTTCCCTAGAAGAGAACAAGGGGCCAGCACTCACTAAGACATCTGCAACCCAGATGTGTCAGAGGACACATCAAGAACACTGAGCTGCCTCAAAGACCACATATAACTTGTCACCAGATTTCTTATCTTCACAGAGGACAGCCAGCCACAAGAGAGAGGCTGCAGGAGTGATGTCAGGGACTTAGCAACCACAACTCTCAGACACAATCTCCAGTAACTACATTCCTCAAAACGGTCTCTCAGAAGCATGTGCTGAATGCAGCTGCTAACATGCAACCAGACGTCCATGTCTTGACGTCAGGACGGCAAAGGGCAGATGGTACATCACTGGCACATGAGCACACAGCTCCCATTCCTTGCATAGCGGTGCCATCTCTACAGCATCCCTGTTTCTCGCCAGGCTCTGACATCAAGCTGTGCACGTTGAAGGTATGCACATCCTTGTTAAGAGAACAAACTAAAGTACACAGTACTCTTGCTATCTTAACTTCAAAATCTCTGTCATTCGGGGGGATAAAATCTGTAATATGCACATATAAATATGTATACCAACACTAAATAAAATATTCTCTAGGCCAATATAGGACATAAGGACTAAAATACACATTACAGTAACATGGAACAGTCCAGATCCTATTAAAATGTTATTCAAGTTTTCAAAAATGAAAACACTGAGGACATTGTAGGAGAACTACAATAGAACCAGGAGTTTATTTTCCACTGGTGTTTCCTATTAGCTCTCCAAGCCTTCAGATGATTTCAGAAAAATTTATTCCAGATGTATAACACTACGACAACAATATAATTTGGACTATAATTACTCAATTCATAACTTACCACTGCTTCCTATACTTTTTGCATTTCTTTCTCTTGAACTATTTAGTGGGATTTCATTTTTATTTTGTAAAAATAATTGTTAGAGTCATTTTGTTTACTTAGGAGGTAACTCTTTTGTATCTATAAAATGGCTCTGATCTCACATAGAATGATACCTTTGCTAGGTATAAGATTATTGTATTGCATCCTTTTCACAATAATTTGCTAACACTGTTCCACTATCTTCTAGCTTACAGTCTCGCAGATGTGCATTTTAATACTATTCAGATTCTTTTTACCTTGGTACAAAAATCTATTCCTTCCGTCTGGAAGCTGATACAATTTCCTCTCCACTCTTAGAGTTCAGAAATTCCAGCAAACTATGTCTAGATAAGGGTCTTTTTTAATTTTATGAGGGTCTCATTAATTTTATGTGAGATTCATTTGGTGAGCCCTTTCCGAATCAAGTCCCACATCTTACTTTAGTTACAGGAAGATTCTTGCTATTTCTTTTTTATTTCTCTCCCTAATGGCCTTTTTCTCTTTCTGGAATATCTCTGGAATTTGCCCTCCAAATCACTGAACTTTACACTCATAGCACCCATTTCACATTTTTTTCTGTGTGGTATAAATTAGTTCCTCCATTTGACCTTCCAAAACACTAACTCACTTTTCAGCAAGATATAGCATGTGACCTGTCTTTGCTCTTGCTGGCAACAAAGGGCCCCTGAGACACCAGTGCATGTCTTTCAGCGACTGGTGGATGGCTGGGCAGTGTAAGATACAGTGGGAGAGGATTTTATGGTGAGCTGGAGGCAGTCAGGGTGGTCATCTGGGACTTCACTGTTGAGATGTGAAGAGGTGCCTGTATTTTTTAGGTATGACAGAGATAGGCTGTCCTCAGCCAGATCTGCTTGCTTCCAGGGAAAATGTCCACCCTTCCTAGAGGCACAGGAATAAGGTGCTCCCCTGAAACTCCCTGAGTCTGTGTGCTGCACCTGTCCCTAGCTCCAGAAGTTCCAGACTTTTCATGGGAGGGGTCAAACCTCTTCCCTTGGAGCAAGCAAATCCAGTCACTGTCTAGAATCCTTTATTTTTGACACTGAAATATTTAACCCATCAGAAAGTGTAAACACACAAGGTAGGGAGCAGCTTCATGTTCTCCACGATGGTTACCCCAGTGATTTTCAAGTTTTGTTACCCATTGAAAACCCTGATGCCCAGGTCACACCACATACCAATGAACCTAGAATGTCTCAGATAGGAACTAGGCATCAGTATTCATAAAAGTTTCCCAGGTGATTCCAATATACAGCAAAGTGTGGGCACCACAGCTTTACTCAGGTAACCCAATACCCTTTACTAAATAGACTATTCTGTTTCTCATGTTTTACAGTGACCAACCATCTCAACTTTAACACTCAAAGTCTCATGTCCCAGGAAACCCTCAGTTCCACAGGAACTGGGATGGCTGGTCACCCTGCGTGTCATACACTAAATTCTTTTTTTTTTTTTTTGAGACTGAGTCTTGCTCTGTTGCCAGGCCGGAGTGCAGTGGTGTGATCTCGGCTCACTGAAACCTCCACCTCCCAGGTTCAAGTGATTCTCCTGCCTCAGCCTCCCGAGTAGCTAGGACTACAGGTAGGTGCGCACCACCACGCCCAGCTAATTTTTGTATTTTTTTTTTAGTAGAGATGTGGTTTCACCATGTTGGCCAGGATGGTCTCGATCTCTTGACCTCATGATTCACCTGCCTCAGCCTCCCAAAGTGCTGGGATTACAGGTGTGAGCCACCCCGCCCAGCCATCATACACTAAATTCTTACATAAACTTAGATCTGTCCCTGGACTTTCTAGTCTACATCATTTCTATCTGCCCAGCAACAGTACCATGCCATTTTCATTATTATGAATTTAGAGCATATTTTAATACGACATAAGGCAAGTTCTCTCTCATTATTCTCATTTTGTCATCTTCCCCTGCTATTTTCACATTTATTCTCCCAAAAGAACTTAAGAGTTAGTGGTTCCAAGTATCCCCAATATTCCACTGAAATTTTGGCTGGAGTAACTTTAAGTTATAAATTACTTTAGGGAATTTTTTTTTCTTTTGAGACAAGGTCTCGCTCTGTCGCCCAGGCTAAAGTGCAGTAGCACGATCCCAGCTCACGGCAGTCTCTGCCTCCTGGGTTAAAGTGATTCTTGTGCCTCAGCCTCCTGAGTGGCTGGGATTACAGGCATGTGTCATCACCCTCCGGCTAATTTTTGTATTTTTTGTAGAGATGAAGTTTTGCCATGTTGGCCGGGTTGGTGTCCAACTCCTGCCTCAAGTGATCAGCCACCTCGGTTTCCCAAAGTGCTGGGATTACAAGAGTGAGCCACCGTGCCCCGGCCTCAGAAATTATTCATACTTACAATACTGAGTCTTTTTACCCAATTTCACCCAAAAAAATCTTCCTATTTATTGAAGTCTTAAATGTCTCTCAACGGCTTTGTAATTTTCTTTATAGCTGTAGACATCTCATATTAAGTTTTTTCTTAAATATAATATTTCTGTGGCTGTTGCGAATAGATCTCTTCCTTATATATTTACCTGGTTATTGTTGGCATACAGAAAAAAAATGATATTGATTTTGTAAAAATAGATTTTACTAAGCTATTTTTAAATCCTAATAGTTTTTAGTTGATAATGTTTTTCTAGGTAAATGATGTCACTTTCAGAAGTCACCATTTTGCTTCCCCTTTCCGGCATGTGGTCATCTTGTCTAACTACCCTGCCCTGCACTTCCCTGAGGAGTTAACAATGGCACTAACAGGCACCCTTGACTTATTCCTCATTGCAATGAAAATGCTTTCACTTTACGATGGCTGAACCAGGGGGAGATCAGGGAGGCCCCAAAAACCTAAGCAATCAAAAATAAATAATATTTTAATGCAATGCTTTAGAAATCAAAACTAAGGCAAAATAAATCCATGATGAACAAAATATCAAAATTGTAAATGAAGATAGGATTGGTATTCCTGATTTTTCCTGTTGCCTCAGGCTGCAATATGGCTTGGCTGTGGACTGGTAATGATCCCGTTTTTCACCATGACTACAATGCTAGCGCTGGCTAATGGCAGCTCTTTTCCTGAGTTTGACACCACAGACATTCTGATCCAGCTCTCTTTCCCATGAGTGCAAAGGGTAAGGGACCCACAGCAGCTACCCAGAAGGCAGCCACGTCTTCAAAGACTCCACAGAATTACACGGAACCTACTGGGGCACTTTTGGTATAAGACAAAGAGCCCGCCTGTTAAAGATGAAGACTGAAGGTCCTTGTTTCAATTCAGACCTCTGTTTACTGTGAGGCCTGGGGCAAGATATTTAATGGAGAGATGGCCTTCCCCTCCTTAGGAAACTGAAAATGACAGTATGTGCCTGCAGGGCTTGAAGCGAGTTAAAGAAGAGAGCAACCAGTGCAGGCCTGAACTCCATAAACACTACATAAAGGGAGTTAAGGAAAATGTCAATGAAATGGTCCAGGAGAGATGCCTGATGAGGTGAATGTCTTAGATGGGAACGGGGAACTCTGCTGACACAGGTGGCTGGGAGTGGCTGTGGCCAGATGACACTGTCCCTGGCTATGTATGCAAATTGCATCCCTGCAGTGGGATATGGGTGCATCTTGGAGGGACTGAGGAAAGCAGGGAGAGGTCCTTGTGAAAAGCCAAGAGTCACTCCTCCAATGCAGTGATTCGCTCACTTTGGTGGGCACAAGGCCCACCTGGAGAGTGTGCAGGTTCATGGCCCAAGATTCCAAGGTTGTGGGCCAAAGGCCAGGTCTAGAGCTGCAGGTGGTTCTCATGTTGGAGGTCCAAAGACTGCACTTGAAAACTCTGCCCTAAGTAGATGCTTGCAGGTCTCTGATGACGGCCCAGGGAATGGATCTGACCTCCTTGTCAACAAATACAAGGCCCTCACCAAGAAGCCTAGGCCCACCACATTCCAAGCCTTCTTCCCCTACTCCAGGGGGTGGAGAGCAAGGACAACTGTCCCCAGCTTCTTCAAACAAGGGCAAAGGTGGGTGGCCTGGCAGGACGGGGCTATTCAGAGCACAGCAGATAATTCCCAAGACACAAAAGTGGGGTGTGGCCAAGGGGAGGTGAGAAGGAAAGGTGGGCAAAAACGTAGGTAGAAACAAGTGGTTCTTTCAAAGAAAGTGTTCTCCTACTGGATTTCTGGTATCTCATTGAGTTCACTAAAAGCATATTCCTGCAAGGAACTAACACATTGCCTTTTGCACAGAAGCAGTTTGCAGCCTTATGATAAAGAATTCCATTTAACACACCTCAATGTGTAAGCAACTTTTTCAGGAAGCCCTTTAGTGCCTGAAGGAAGGTCCCACATAGCTGCCAAATCCCACCTTTCCGGGCTGCCAGACTCTCAAAACGTCTGGTCAAAGAATCTCCAATTACTTTAACTGCATACTCCTTCTAGGGATACAACTGTTATATGGGGACAGCTGCCCTGTAGGAGGGCAGGAGAGAGCCGGAGATATGACTAATCATCTAGCACATCATTTGTGAAACTGATGTGGGCAGACTTCTGTACTCAGAGGGTGACTGTTTCTGAGGGCACATTACTTCCCAGCAACAAGGACTACAATCTGTTTTGCTCTGTGTTCTTAATAGGAAATATAGAGAGGAATGGATGCCCACTCACAGTTGTTCCACCCATAGAAAGCCAGTGTTTGTTTGGTGGTTTCTTTCTTTCCAGTCTTTTATCTGTGCATCTCTTTTGCATAGCCGAGACCTTACTGTAAACACAAATCCATGTTGTTCTCTTTTAACATGCGGTAAGCAACACAAGCTCTCCATAGGTATCATTTTAATGGCTACATCCTATTTCCCAGCTGAATAGATATCATCTGACCACTACAGACTGAATGTTTGCATCGCCCCCAAAATTCACATGTAGAAATCCTGACCCCCAGTGTGATGGCATTAGGAGGTGGGGTCTTTGGGGAGTGATGAGGTCATGAGGGTGGAGCTCATGAGTGGGACTGTGCCCTTATGAAAGAGACCCCAGGCCGGGCGTGGTGGCTCATGCCTGTAATCCCAACACTTTGGGAGGCCGAGGCTGGCAGATCACATGGTCTTGAGTTTGAGACCAGCCTGGCCAACATTGTGAAATCCCATCTCTACTAAAAATACAAAAAAAAAAAAAAAAAATTAGCCAGGCATGGTGGCGTGCACCTGTAATCCCAGCTACTTGGGAGGCTGAGGCAAAGAGAATCACTCGAACCTGGGAGGCGGAGGTTGCAGTGAGCCGAGATCACGCCATTGCACTCCAGCCCAGGTGACAGTGCGAGACGAGAGAGAGAGAGAGAGAGAGAGAGAGAGAGAGAAGGAGGGAGGGAGGGAGAGAGGAAGGAAGGAAGGAAAAAAGAAAGAAGAAAAAGACCCCAGAGAGCTGCCTTGCCCCTTTCACCATGTGTGGACACAGAAAGAAGATGGCCACCTATGAACCAGAAAGCAGACAGACCTCAGCAGACACTGAATCTGCCCATACCTTGATCACAGACTTCCCAGCCTCCAGAGCTGTGAGAAATAAATGTCTGCTGTTGGAGCCACCAAGTCTATGGTGTTTTTTGATATAGCAGCCTGAGCTGACTAAGACACTAACTATTCCCCTGCTGAACCCACATTATGTCCTGGTTTTGCATAATAAGTAATGCTGTTTATTCTGTTTCCCTCAGAATATACTATAGGCCTTTTCTCCCCTCCCAGAGCCTTTATCCAGGACCCTTTGACGCTGTCTTTGCTGCATACAGTGTCAATCCAAGGCCCAGGTCCCCATATGAGCCCAGGGGGGGTGTGGCCAGGAGAGAGTTAACCATCTCTACAGTGGGGGCTGGGGGCTTTGCATTGCAGAGCATGTATGCAAACACACTCAGGTCCTTTGCTTCTAGTCAATCATATTAAAGATAAATCCTGTACAACACACCATCTGGAAAGCAATTCAAATGTACAGGAGAAGCATGATTACCTGCTACATGTCCAAGAAAATGAGTCTCCATGTCCAGACTCAATTAATTCTATAACAGCACATAAATCAATAGCTAATGCGGCCCCCGACACCGTGCTCACCACTCGCCTCCTGAAACATTCTAATTAGATGTGAGAAATAAAGGCTCATTGTCAACAATAAAGAGCTCCAGTGTCCTTATTCTAAACCATGTTTTTCTTTTGCACGGGAAAATAGCATTAGCTGGTGCTTAGAAGAGCTAGTAATATAGCAGACCAGATGAAAAATAGCTATTCAGTGACCACAATACAGGCTGGGTGAAAACGTATCATACAAATGAGAAACAGACTCAGCCAAATTGTTCCTGACACCAATCTTGTCCCCCATTTGGTCTCACATGTTGTAAAGATAATATTATTTTGTTCCTTTCAAATATAATTTAGTTGCTTTCACTATACACTATACATGATGTGGGTTTGAACAGTCCTGGAGAATGCTTGTATAATCAGCCCAAGCATTCCAGACAAAAGTCACCGAATAAGTATTTCACTTCAAGATCACAGGCAACCGCAAGCTCTGAAAGGACACTAATAAATTAATCTTCCAAAAACAATACTGATATCCAACACTGTCAAGCAAGGCTCTCTAACCTAGCTTAGGGTCACAAAGGGATGTGTTCTCTTTGGAAAACGGCAGTGAAATGGACAAAAATATTGAGCACACACTAAACCTTCAATAACAGGATCCTAGATAAATCAGTGTTAGCACTTCCACAAGACAATTTTGTGGCATCTGAAATATTTACAAAAGGCTTAGCATGTAATATGTATTGTTATGATTTATTCACAACAAATAAACACAGAATCAACTGTGAAGAAATGCATTAAGACGTTAGCAAGGGCTGCCTTCGAGTGATGGGACAATGGTACCTATTTCCTTCCTCTAGTCATTCCTGGCTATAGTACTTCTACAGACAAATAACATAAAAAAGACAAGCATAAAAAAGCCCAGGAAGCCTTGGGCAGCCATACCTGTCAGGTGACATTTCTGCGGTGGGAAGGGTGTTAAGTCTCAGCAGCCCTTGGAAGAGGCTTGGGGTTAATGTTGGGCCTAACTTCTTCCTTCTGGGCATTCAATATGCTGAGACATCTGCCCCACTGCATCCTCATCTCGAAATACGCAAAGGGCGATGATCTGCCCTTTAAACATCATTAAAATTGCTGTCAGACCTTCATCATCAATACTAGTCTCCAGGAAATGGCATTTTCAATATCTCACAATGTAGTCCACGCCTGAAAGCAGCATTAATGCCGTAACAGGAACAGAGTAACTGTGTGCACTTCTGGCCTGGCCGGTATTTGCTGTTCTTCCTGGGTTACGTCTAACAGTAAGAAGTCAACTCTCTCCCACAAGAACTTCTGGAAATAGCGGTGCCTTGGCAAAGTCTACCTCTGCATGTCATGTTTGCTCCTGGATGCCTTTAGGGGAAAAGCGAGGGTCCAGATAAGAGGGCAACTGAACACAGAACGTTACCAGCACTGACCTTTTTCTTAACATGCTGGAGAAAGGGGCGCAGCTTCTGCAGCTGCCAGGACCCCGTGCAAAGAAGTACACTGCTAAATACACCCTCTACCAGATCCATCCTCAGAGACAAAGAAATCTGTCACCCCCAGAGAAGCGGCCACAAGACTCGAGGGGGAAAAGTCTGCTTCTGCTTGTTGCCCTGTGATTTTCACATTTTTCTAGTCATTTCCAAGTGCATACAGTACTGTGTAGATTTAAAATAAGCCACATCCGTGTTATGGCTGAATTATGTCCCCTCAAAATTCATATGTTTAAGTTCTCATCCCCTGTACCTCAGAATATACTTTGTTTAGAAATAGGATCACTGCAGCTGGGTGTGGTGGCTCACTCCTGTAATCCCAGCACTTTGGGAGGCCGAGGCGGGCGGATCACAAGGTCAGGAGACTGAGACCATCCTGGCTAACACAGTGAAACCCTGTCTCTACTAAAAATACACGTGGTGGCATGCACTTGTAGTCCCAGCTACTCAGGAGGCTGAGGCAGGAGACTCTCTTAAACTCGGGAGGCAGAGGTTGCAGTGAGCTGAGATCGGGCCACTGCACTCCAGCCTGGCAACACAGTGAGGAAAGAAAGAAAAGAAGAGACAGCGAGAGAGAGAGAGGAAGGGGATTACTGCAGATATAATTAGTTGACATACAGTAATTTGCGTAGGCCCTAACCCAATAGGACTGGTGTCCTCTAAAGAGGGGAATTGTGGAGACAGTCACACAAACAGGATGAAGGCAGGGCTCTAAACTAGGGAACATCAAAGATCGCCAGCAAACCACCACAAGCAAACGGAGACGCATGGGACAGACTTTCCCTCACAGCCCTCATGAGGCACCAGTCCTGAGGACACCTCAATCTGGGACTTCCAGCCTCCAGAACTGAGACAGTAAGCTTCTGTTGTTTATGCCACCCAGTCTGTGGACTTCTTACAGCAGCCCTAGAGAACTAAGAAAGTCCATAAGGATCATGTGCCCTTTATTCAAAGTTCAGAGTTCCCTTGTTTTTCATCTTCTGGGAAATTCTCCCGCATGTAATCAGGAATATTTTTTCACCAGGGATCTAACCATTGTTTCCACTATTGATCCCTTATTTTTCTATATAAATTTTAGAATCCCATTATCAATATCTAGTTTTTTAAATCCTGCTGGAAATTTGATTGGGATTGCAATGAATCTATAGGTCGATTTGGGGAGAATTCACAACTATACTGAATCTTCCAAAATATAAATATATCTTTCCATGAGTTGGGTCTTTGATTTCTCTCATCAGTATTCTTTAGTCTCCAGCATACGGATCTTGTATATTTTCTTATTTATATGTAGTTCTTTCTTTTTTGGGGGGATGCTATTGTAAATGATACCTTTTTTTAATAATTGCTTTTTTTTTTTTTTTTCTGAGACAGGGTCTTGCTCTGTCACCCAGGCTGGAGTAAAGTGGCACAAATATGGCTCACTGCAGCCTCAACCTCTGGGGATCAAGTGATCCTCCTGCCTCAGCCTTCTGAGTAGATGGCACTACAGGTGTGTGCCACCAGGCTCAGCAAAATTTTATTTATTTACTTATTTATTTAGTAGAGAAGAGGTCTTACCATATTGCCCATGCCGATCTTAAACTCCTGGCTCAATGATCCTCCCACCTTGGCCTCCCAAAGTGCTGAGACTACAGGCATGAGCCATCACACCTGGCCTACTCATTTCTTAAACTCATTTTTCTTTTATTCAGGATAATTTCTATTGATCTACTTAGAGCTAACTTAGATTCTTTCTTCTGTCATATACATTTGCTTTTGAACTCATCCAGTAATATTTTTACTTCATTCTAAAATTCCTATTTTTTTCTTTTTTTTTTCATATTGCCCTGCTGCGAATTTCTATGTTTCTGTTAATTTCAGAACTGTCCATCTTTTACCTCATGGAACATGGTTATAACAGTCACTTTAAAGTCTTTGATAATTTCAACATCTATGTCATCTCAGGGTTGACATTTGTTAATTGCCTTTTCCCTTGAGAACTGGGTCATTTAAAAAATATTTTTAATTGATTGACTGAAGAATTAGTCAGATTTTTTTGCTTCTTTGTATCCCAAATAATTGTAGATTGCATCCCAGATCGCTTTAATATGTACATTTTAACCCTGATTAAAAATGTTGAATGAGAGAGAATGTTGAGAATGTAGAGAATGTTGATTTTCATGTGTCTGCTTCATCAGACGATAAATCCACTCAGGTTGAGAACACAAGCTCTGGTTCCCCTTCGTTAGGGGATGGAGTTAACGTCAGTGCGGTTTCAAAACCCTTTGCTGTGCTCTGTGAGTTGGCTTCAAGCACGAGCTATTCAGGGATTAAGTCTGGGACCCGGGCCACGGTTTCTATTGCAGCTTAAATCCAAAGCCTTTGCTATGGTTCTCTGGGTATATCCCATACATGGAGTTGGTTCAGAAACATAAATAAACCCTCTTTTCCAGATTTCCCCTCTCCAAGATTTCTTCCATATTCCGCTACTACCAGATGCACCTTTTCCTGGTTCCTCTGCCCATAAAGTTGGGGCTCTCCCAGAGTTTTAGCCTAACACATCACACTCTTTCACAGTTTCTTGCAACTGCAGCCCCTGCTGAGGGCAAAGCAGAATGAGAAAGAGAAAAAAATGGGGATTCTTCCCACCACCTTTATGCAACAACCGGTTCCTCCAACCAGAGAGTTGGATTTTCTCTCAGGGTAGTAGGTGCTACTGCTCTGGGTCTGGCAGGGCCAGGAGAGAGGAAAAGACAAAACAAAACAGTGATCCCTCCTAATCTTCAGCTTGCAGCGTTCCTCTTTTCAACCCTCTGGCCACAAAGATGGGTTTCTCACAGAGTTTTGCTGCCTCTGCCCACTGTGCTATTTCCCAAATCAGTCAGCACTCAGATCAAAGGAGGGAAAAAAACCCAACCACAGAAACTCTATTCTAATGTGCTGCGCATTCAAGCTCCAACCCCCTTCCCGATGGGGTTGCTTTTCATTCTGTTCAGAGTTTTGAGTTCTAATCCGTGAGTGGAATGGACGATAGTGGGCTTACTCCATCCTGGACAGCACTGATGTCATCCATGGATCTCTTTACAGATTTGGGGAGGTACATTAAGTTAAAACCTGTTTATTTTTACTTCATTCGATTAATCAGACACTGCCCATCAGCGTTCAGCTAGGCTTGACATCATCAGCATTATCATCGGCAGGAAAGGTCACGCCACACGAAAACTGGCAGGCTGTGGTCCTCGGGCCTAAACCCCGGTTGGATGCTAGAATCAACCTGAGGAGGTTTAAAAAATATCAATTCCTGGATCCTGCCCCAGCTCCATGAGGTCAGAATTTCTGGGTGAGGAGAATTTGGACACTCTGGGTGGCTGACATGCAGCCAAGGCTGAGAACCACTATAATGAATATGACAAAAATGTGAAGGGTCCATGGTCCCATCATATCTTAGGATTCACAGTTTCTGATGGGGAGCTGGATGCCAGGAGGATAAGGAGGAACTGAGGAAGGAATGAGAGAGTTACGCTGTTAAGGGCTGGCCTGACAGCCTCTCCTCTACCACTCCCTGCTGCAGATATCCCAGGTCTTTGTGGTAATAAGATACGACCTTCTTTAATAACACATAAAACTTCAAAGGCCCTGTCTGACCCCCTCACAGGAATCTCCCTGGTGGGCCTTAGGGAAGCAATGCAACTCCTCAGCAGCAACCCTGATACACACACACACACACACACACACACACACACACACACACACACACACACACACACACCCTGACATACAGCTGAAATAAGGCTGCATGCTCAAAGGACACTTTCAAGGCAGCATATCTCCCCGCTTCATCTTCTTCCTTGATCAACAATAGTAAATCATCTCAAGGTCCTTCTAAAAAATGCATGCGCCAGGCGTAGTGGCTCACACCTGTAATCCCAGCACTTTGGGAGGCCAAGGCGGGCAGATCATGAGGTCAGGAGTTTGAGACCAGCCTGGCCAACATAGTGAAATCCTGTCTCTACTAAACATACAAAAATCAGCCAGGTGTGGTGGCGCACACCTGTAATCCCAGCTACTCGGGAGGCTGAGGCAAGAGAATCATTTGAACCCAGGAGGTGGAGGTTGCAGCGAGCCAAGATGGCCTCACTGCACTCCAGCTTGGGCAACAGAGTGAGACTTCGTCTCAGAAAAAAAAAAAAAAAAAAAAAAAATGCCTGCATATAGGACAGAGCCAAATAGGAAGTGGGTGTGTGTCCCTCCAGGGCCCCTACTCCAGACAGAGTCTGGGCTTCTGTCCCCACCGTTCACCTAATGCTTCAGTACTATCTTGAGGGCTCTAATCGCAGGACCAGGAAGCTCAACTGTCAGAGTTGCAAAGTGCAGCGTTGCTGATTTGGTTCAGCACTGTGGAGACAGGACAGGAAACCAACCCATACCACGGAAAAATGCACAATTATTTTCAAAAGCTAACCATTCAAGGATGACCTACGGTTTCAATCCCCCAATCCTCTGAGCTTCTCCATAGCTGAGGTTCTGTGAATTCCCAAGTAGCCCTCGGAAGATAGGTCACTTGGAGCCAGAAAAGGGGATTTCCCAGGTGCTGTGGAGGGACGTGCCTGGAGAGGAGCTCTGTGGTGAGCCAGAGTCCCCCAACACCAAAACGAAGAGGAGACCCTGGAGTTCAGACAGTGTGGGGAAGGCAGAAGTTGTTGTCAAAGCACAGAGCTGGCAAGCACAGCACCAGCTGCCTTGGCTAGAGCTTACAGAGTCCTGGGGGGCAAAACCAGAGGTGCCAGCCAGAGAGTGGACTGGGCCCAGGGTGCAGGACACCAGGATCCATGGGGAAGGCAGTCCCTCTGCTATGGTTCAGAAGTCCCTGCCAATACTCATGTGGAAATTTGATTGCCATTATAACAGTATTAAGAGACAGTATGCTGAAGAGGTGATTAGGCCATGAGGACTCTGCCGTCAGGAATGGATTAATGCCATTACCCAGGGAGAGGGCTCCTCATAAGAGGTTAAGTTTAGCCCCTATCTTGTCTCTCTGTCTCTTTGCCATGTGATGCCTTCCACCATGTTATGAGGCAGCACAAAGGCCCTCACCAGATGCTGGCACCATGCTCTTGGACTTCCCAACCTCCAGAACTTTGAGCCAATAAACTTCTTTTCTTTATAAATTACCCAGTCTGTGGTACTACGTTATAAGAGGACAAAATGGACAAACACACCCTCTAACAAGGAGAGTCAAGGGTCCCAGTCACTCTGGCCTGATTTCTTCCAGCCCCACGTAACTCTGGCTGTCTCTCTCTGCTTGCCTCAGGTCCTCACCCACAAAAGACATGTAAAGACCCTCCTCTCCTGAAAGGCCTGGAAGCTGCCCCTCTAATCCCAACAAACCCTCAGAGGCACTGGCCATGGTGATGGGCAACCTGTAATCTCACACGATGATTCACATCATCCTTCTGGTAACTCACCCCAGGCTGTTTGCCTGGTCCCTAGAACCATCTTTAACTTTCTGTACACGGTGGCTACACACCCACCCAGTCCATAAGCCAATGGAGGCAGGGGCTGCATCTCATATTTAAGTGTGCTTTGGAGCTACCAAGACGGGTTCAATGATAGCTGCTAAAAGGGTAAACATGAAATTCAAATGCTTAAATTAAACTCCACTGGATAAATTACAGGTTACTCAATCACTTTGATAAATGATTATCTTCTGAATAAAAATTCTCCCAAAAGATGTCTTTAAGTAGCAAGTTTCTCCTAGCTTATTTTAAACAATTTAACTTTTATTTTAAATAATTTTATTTTAAATAATTTAACTTTATTTATGCAAAACTTTCTCTTTTTTTTTTTGGAGACAGGGTCTCTCTCTGTTATCCAGGCTGGAGTGGACTGGTGTGATCTCAGCTCACTGCAACCTCCACCTCCCAGGTTCAAGCAATCCTCCTACCTTAGCCTCCAAAATAGCTGAGATGACAGGTACACACCACCTTGCCTGGCTAATTTTTGTATTTTTTATAGAAACAGGGTCTCACCATGTTGCCCGGGCTGGTCTCAAAGTCTTGGACTCAAGCAATCTGCCTGCCTCAGCCTCCCAAAATGTTGGGATTTCAGGCATGAACCACCATGCCTGGTCTACTTACTGCACAACTCCTAAACAAATGTTACCACTGTAAGAAGCAGGGAACTCTGGGGTGTTCAGCAGGAGATGATGTAAAAGAGGTGTGGGAGTCACCTGCTGGGCCTCTGGCCACCCCTCCTTTGAAGGCCACCTGAGGTCTCTGCACCCCAAACCCTCATACACAGTTCCCCAGTCCAGTGGGGAGGCCCCATATCGCTTGCTGGGGTGGAGGCAGCTTCACCCACCACCCGACCAGGTTTCTCCAGAGCTGCTCCCACCACCCCTTGGCTCAGCAGCACTGCCTCCCATCCTAGCTGTGCACCCTGTGGCTACTAGTGAGGCTCGCTTTGAAGTGAGCATCTCTGCTGAAGCACCCCTTCCTCAATGCAGGTGATGCTCATCCTCCCTGAAGGAGACCTGGGGACATTTGTCTACTAAGCAACATTTTCTTCCCCAAGAAATACCTGGTAAGGGGAGAGTCTGTAGATATGTTAAAAAAAATAGTTTTTTAAGACAAAAAATATATATATATGTATTCAGGCCATCTGTCAGGCACTGAGGCCTGGGCAAGGAGGTGTGGCTGGTGGGTGGCGGGAAAGCATAGGGGGGTGAGGGCTCTGCCTACAAGGACACAAGGGAGGGGCAAGGCAGCCTCTGGCAATGAACCCTGGCACCTCTCCAGCCTCCCGGGCCCAGCCCTGAGCCAAAGGGCACAGCCAGGGCCAGGTAAGGGGGTCACCAGCGGTGGAGTCCCTGGGCCTTGGCTTGCAACCAGGAAGGTTGCCAAAGCTTCCCCAGGTAGGGGGGCGCTCCGGGGTGACAGCTGGCACCCTGAGGGGTCCATATTCAGCTTCAGATCTTTGTCTGCTCCTGTCCTCTCTGGCCTGCTTTGCATCCCAACAGTTCCTTCCCATGCAGCAGAGCCACCTGCGGGGCTTCTGGCTCCCAGCCCTAGAGCTTCTGGCTCAGCAGGTCAGGGGGAGGCTGGGAGTGTGCACTGCTCACACATGCCCAGGGGATGCTGAGGCTGCTGGTCCAGGGCCCGCACGTCACGGAGAACCCCTGCTTCGAACGTGGAACACCACATCGATTTCTTGTCACATAATGAGCCAGCAGTCTCCCTGCTGAAATCAATAATAAAAATCCCATGATGATGTCCCAGAAAAACACATTAGCAGCTTCCACAACTGAGACAGACTACAGTTAATCATCACATGGCGCCCCCAAGGTCCCCACACACACCCCTAATTCCACCCTCACTGAACATGAGAGAAACAGGATTTCCAGGCCACATCCACTGTCACTTAACTGGCCTGAGCAGGGTCCCAGCACCAGAGCCCTACCTGAGATAGTAGTCGATTCATGCTTTCCCCTCAAACTGGGAAACCACACCCAAATGCCCTCCCAGGCTGTTCCTGAATCTATTTTTTAAGATCTGATGGCTATTTACTAATTAATCCTAATGACCCCACGATTGCAATCATTCGATGTTCTCTGCCCCGGTAGCAAGCCCTTACTCCTCTGCCTGTCTGGCAAGACTGAAGGAAGGGCAGTGGCCCCAGGTGACCAGGCCCCAAGCCTAGCAGCCCAAGCAGAGGCAGCACTCCCTCCCCTGCAAGAACAGCCTGCACTTGCCCATCAATTGCCATTAAAGTCCAGCCAAAATGTGAGACCTGGGACCTGAATGCTAGCTAGCTGCTAGACAGAGACACCAGGCCAGGGCCCAGGGAAGAAGGACCTCCCCGGGAGCCTGTGGGTGGAAGTCATCTTTATTCCTGCCAAACTTCCCATTCTGTCATTGTAATGTAAAAACCTATGGCCAAGAATCCAAAGTTCAAACACCCACCACAGAGTCTATTCCAGGGCTTCTTGAAGTGTGGTCCCTGGGCCAGCAGCATCAGTGTCACCTGGGAACTCCACAAACACAGAAACTCTTGGGCCCTCCCCCAGACCAATGAAAACTCAGGGGCAGGACCCTGAAGTCTGCATGTTAAAAGATCTCCAGGGGATTCTGATGCCTGCAAGTCTGAGAGCCACTGCTGTAGGGTAACACTTCATTCATTCTGAATATGCACTTCACAGTCTGTGCCCCAGCAAGTCAGGGCAGCCTGTAAAACTGACATTGGTTCCAAGTGTCACTCTTCAAAGTAAACAAATAGCATGCATACACCCTTCCTAACACTTTCATTTCATGTAGTCTATATCCAAGGGGTTGTGTCAGGCCTGAAATCTAAAGGAACCCCAAGCCCCACTCTTTATTAACCACTAAGTCATGGCAATCAGTTGGTGTGTAATAAAGAACT